>NC_000007.14:40846302-41149332 GCF_000001405.40 Homo sapiens | reverse complement strand
ATTAACCCTCTTCGAGAACCCTTCAGTATTGTTGTATCTTGAAAAGGGCTTGATACTGCTTGATCATAATTCATAATCTACATTAATGAGAATGAGATGTATCAATAAAAAGGTGGCAAAGAAATGAAAACAATGGAAAAGGAAAGGTTGTGCTTGGAGCTTAAGGAGGCTGATAAGCAAAAATAAACAGGGGAACGGGAGTGCCAGTCCAAGAAACGAATTGCACAAAGGAAAGTACTTCTCCCAATTTCCTCTGAAACTCTTCACTTATATACCAAAGGAAATACTAGTCTTTCTGCAGGAAATGTTCCCGGGATATTTGTCTCTTCTTACAGCCATCTATATATATATAAATTTAGCCTTTAGTATGTATTAAAGATAGAGAGTTAGGGACCAGTAGAGTGGGAATTTCTTACACCCATTCTGCCTTCTCTGTGGTTTATTTGTTTTGTTTTGTTTGCTTATGTGTAGCCAAGAGGAGCATAAATGTGTGTGCGTGTATCTGAATGATTCATCTGCCAGAGTTGCTAGAACTACATCTTTTAATAGACCAATTATTGTGGTTAGGATTTGGCTTTAGTCAGGTGATGAGAAATTAGATAAATATTCCAGCCAAGCCTATGTTTTGAAATCCTGCCCCTGGGATTAGAGAGAAAGCCCTGTTCATATTGATACAAACCTTCAAAATGCATAGAGTTTTGTAATATACCTGCCTCCACCTGTTTATTCACTGTTCATGGTTCTTCCTCTTTCAAATGGGCTCTGAATAAGTGCTTCCTTTTGCTAGCTTGCTTGACTTCACCAAACAACTTGTGAGCACAGAGGAAAACATTATAGCGAATTGGAAACTCATGACTGTTCAATAATATGTAATACTGCATATGGTTCAGTTAAGACCCACTTGGGACAGAATTTCTAGTTTTGCTCTGTTCTTCATTTTGTGTTTTCTCAGTGTCATTCTTTATGTTATTTATGCCTCTTAACCCTCAAAGGTCTTAGCTGTCTAAAAAATGAGTAATAGGTAGGGCAAGTAGAAATTCTCAGAAAATGTCTTGTTTTTCATAGATGAAAATCATGACTATCTTTGGACATCTTCAGTAATTTAAAAATTACACCCCACTGGTTGAGAAAAAAATTATTTAAATTATGGCCCCAAGCATGTTCAGACATCACTGGAACATGAGGCAAGTTTTAGAATTGCAAAATAGCTCTTAAATTTTTTTTATTTTTACAAAGATTTTTTTTTCAATTAAATGCTCCCTGTCCTGCACCCCATTCCACATCATTTTTAGAATGTTCTCTTGTAGTGACAGTTAGCAGTGCAGTTACATATGGCCAAGGGGCTCACAAAATATTCCACTGGAGTTTTAGGAGCTTAATTTGTGGCATAAATCTCTGTTCTCAGGCTTCTGCTCTCAGACCCCACAAGGCTGTCAAACCATGCCCGGAAGGCAGTCGGACTTAGTTATGTTTTGGCTTTTGTAGCACTTCACGTGACTCTGAGACAATTGTTTTCCACTGGATTTCAGATGAAGCTGTTAGTTCTTCAGGAGTCCCCCATCTGGGTTTCCATTAATCTTGGTAATAGGCTCAAATCCTTTCACACTCATGCTTTGTCTGAATGTGTAACAGAGTGATGGTGAATGGAACAAATTACTAACTTACTGTTTTCTGGTATCCTTACTCACATTACAAAGTCTTCCATAAAAGATAGTACCTTGTGGGTGGGATTTGTAAACAGGCCAAAGCAGGAATAGCTCAAAGAGATTAAATATAAACATTCAGTTTTGTATTAAAGTACATTTTTCTAGAAAGACATTTGTGTTTGTGTGTTTACTGAGGTAAACTTACATGTGGAGAAATCCACTCCTTTAAGTGTACAGTTCTTTTTTAAAAAATGCACATCTTACATAAACCAAAATCTATCATTTTTATTTATAGCATAAGTACAAGTTTTTAGCAACATGAGCAGTCATATAGCTGCCACCAAGATAAGTCTATCACTTCAACAAGTTTTTTATGTCCCTGTGTAGCCAATTCCCTTTTCTCACCCAAAACCCCACCAAGCACTGATCTGATTTCTGTCCCCTAGTTTTGACTTTTCTAGAAAGTCATGTAAGTGATTTATACAGTATTTAGCCTTTTGTGTCTGGCTTGTTTCATTTAACATGATGCTTTTGAGATTCCCCAATGTTGGTACATGTGTGAGTAGTTTTTTCCCTTTTTACTTTCGGGTATCATCCCATTGTATGGATGTGCCACAGTTGTTTATTCACTCATCAGCAGATAGTTTTTTGGTTATTTCTAGTTTGGGGTTATAAAGAAAGCTGCTATAAACATTCATAATGGGTCTTTGCATGGACAAATATTTTCATTTACCTTATGTTAAATGCCTAGGAGTAGAGTTGGTGGATTATATACTTATGTGTTTAATATCATAATAAACTGCCAAGCTTTTCCAGTGTGGCTGAGCCATTGTTGCATTCCCGCCAGCAAGGTATGAGCATTCCAGTTATTCCAAATCTTCACCAGCACTTGGTATTAACAGGTTTTCTGTTTTTGTTTTTGTTTTGTTTTCTTTACCATTCTATCTGTGTAGTGGTATCTGATTGTGGTTTCAATTAGAATTTGCCTAACAACCAATGATGCCTTATATATGTGTATGCCTGTGTGCATATGTACGTATGTTTATTTTAGGGCCGGCGTTACAATGCACATACTGTCTTATACAATGAGGAAATGTGTCATAACCCCACCTTGGGGGATTAAGTTAGGCTTAGTGGGAAAAGTGAGAGCTTTGGAATCAGGTAGATAAGGGTTTGAATTCTGAGTATTCTTTCCTGATTTTTGAGGTAGCAATAATAATACCATCTTCATACAGTTGATAGAAGGATTACATAAGGTAATGCATCTAAAGCAGCTAGCAGAATGCTGCATTCCCTTTTTACTCCACGGCAATACTGGCCTTAATATATGTGAATCTTCTGGAAAAATATCCCTCTTTACAGAGGTTTGATGTCTGAAATTTCAGGAGTCAAAACCTTCATCTCTTGAATGCACTAGGTGAAAGACGAAGTCTTTGGGGTGGGGAATGCTGTAAAGGGAAACTTAGTGACCCTCCAAAGAGTCAGTTGTTTCTTCCTCTAGGGTGTTTTGTGTGATTCAGCTCATATCTTCACCATTGTACTGCTCTTTAATTCACTGGGGAAATAGCTGCCCTTGTTAGTAGACCATGTGCTTCACAGGGATTGGGACTATGTGTTATTTGCCTCTGTATCCCTCCTGGGTAAATACTGCATCTGGCTGGGATCACCTGGTACCTTAGCATTTGCTGTTCTGCTGCCTGAGGACTGGTGGGAGAAAACAATGGTTTCTCATGGAACTGAGAGCAGCCAGTGTTTGGATGTTTAAATTTGTGTTTTGTTACAGAGTTAAGGGTTAGTGTCAGGTTTACATTTCTCTAGCTGGTGTTTATGTACTGAGCTTGGCAAGCTTAGCTGTAGAACTCCATGAGGCTGTGAGAGAATACGTATTTCTTCTCCTTCTTACCCAAGCCAAGAGCGCATATAGTTCTGCTATTCCAGAACTCAAGTAACCCAGGTACTCCATGGAAACCTATCTTTTGAGATGCAGAATGAAACTGGCTCAAACCCTAAACCGTGTGCAGACAGAGCTTTGATTTTCCCAATTCAATTTGATTTATGGGTTATTATTGATATACCATGTAGACCTTTGTATGTCAAATCCAGACTGTTTTCCTTATTGCCACAAAAACAAACAAAATAAATAGTCACAAACCTGAAATTTACCACAGTAATATCACAGCAACACAAACCACTTAAAAGTAAACATTAGACATACCCGTGCTCATAAAAATCCCTATTTCTTCAAATTCAGTCCAGCATTCTATGTTGCCCAGATTTCTTTCTTTTGCCTCTCCAGAGTAAACTAAACAGCAACTCTTTCTCTTATAAAAACCAGAAGATTATTTCCATTTTATTATGAATGACATTTCATTTCTCTCTTGGTTCTTAACTCTCCTGTGTGTGGATCTCCATTTCTATGGTTCTGGTTCTAGACTTCATCACCTCTTTTCAGACTTTACTATAGCCTCATGTTTACATCTGTTGAACACCACAAGATGTCTTTCTAAAGTATGCATACAGTCAGACTCCTTGAGGGCAAGAGAATGCCTCATGTCCCTTGCTTATAAATTACAAGTTTCTTGCAGTTAATACCTAACACCCTCACAATCTAGAGACAAATCACCTTTTTTCCAATGAACTTTTAAACTTAAATATAAGAAAATGATTCAAAACTCTAAAGTATGTCCCTAAGCTACCTCATTTTGTGAGTTTAAGACCAGCATTTCCAAATGCCTTAGAGCTGTTCCTCATGGATGTCTTACAAACTCTTCAAAATCAAAATGTCCCAAATAAAATTTGTTATTTTTGTTATTTTATCCTCCTAAAACAATCCTCTAAGGATTAGTAAATGATAGCCATGTTGATAAGAAGAGATTGATATAACTTAACAGTGAAGACTTAAACAGAGTGAATTTGCTCTCTGATGGCTCAGGAATGAATGGCTGTGGGAATTGAAAAGAATTCTGAGATTAACTAGAATATTTTCCTGTTGAATTTTTCATATTTTGGGGTGGCAAGAGTTATCTGGTTAAGCAGATTTTAAATTTGTATAATTGGTTGATTGATCAATTGAAACTGACATATAATTTGCCAGTTAATGCTCCATCTAAGATAGAAGCATCACTTGAGTAACCTTTCTAAACTAAAAAAAAATGACAGGCAAGTTGTTATGCATTGCTTTGGGGAAAGGTATAATACCACAGATTTTATAGCTAGAGAAATAATGTCCTTCTTAATACCCCTTTTATACAACACTGGTTGCTGGGAAAAGGTTTGCATAGCAACAAAGGGACCTTAAGGAGCAAATGAGTTGAGACCACCACTCCTATTTTGAGTTTCCACATTATTCAGTATTTTATGATGGATTTAGAGGAATCCATATGCAATTCATTGGTAAGAAAGGAAATGAGTGCTTTCTGATGTGCTTCATCCTCTCTCAACCTAAAAGAATGACAAAAGAGGCTTTTGTGATGAAAGGGAAGGAGTATGGACTGAAGACTGGACCCAGAGCCAGAACCTACCTTGTCTGTCATGTGGAGAGTTGGCCTGAGTATAGCATGCATTTGACCCTGACACCCCCGGTGACCCAGCTGGGCTGGCATAGTGGGTGTTTGGCAACAGTAGCTTAGTCCCAGGTCCCACGTGAATGCAGATTGATGAGGTAACATACATTAGTAATCAAGGGCAGAGTCTGCAGCCAGATTGCTGGCTTCAAAACCCATAAGAAGCAAGTTATTTCTCGGTGCTTCAGTTGACCTCCCTAGTACATGGGGGTACTACTATTGCATATTCCCTAGGATTGTTATGAGAATAAAATGAATTAATACTTGTAAAGGGCTTAATCTGTGGTGTACATAGTAACTGCTGTATGACTGTGTTAAATAAAAGGAAGTCTCAGGAAGCCAGTGGCATAGAAGCCTTGATCAAGTATGTCACCAAGGTGGGCAGACTGCCCTCTCTCTAGGACCCAGAGTTGTTTTGCACAGATTAAAATATCATACATTTTAGTTACCTAATAAATAATACTGTTCTCCTAAAATACAGTTTCATTCTATTTCCTTGTGTTTGCGTGGATATTTTAAAAATTAGAATCCACAGTAGCTCTGAACTATTACCTAGCAATACAAACATTTTTTTCCCGGCAATGGCTTTTAAACCAATTACACAAATTTACATGCCGATGTTTTGGTAGTGTTACATAGTCTGTGTCTTTGGGCTTGTGTGTACAAGTACTCAGATGTGTGTAAGTCTAGCAAGTTGAAATCCCTGTTTATAATGAACACCAAACTGGAAAATGGACTGTTCTCAGGGTCTTATCCCATTAGAAATGACATATAATATTCATTCCTCTGTCTTGTTTTGTGGCCTGAAACTGGGCATCATCCCATCTTGTTAACCTCAGAGATACTATCAGACATTTGGTCATCTTCTTTCACTAAGACTAAACATTGCTTTTCAATTTCTAAAAATGTGTTGGTGACCCCTTCCAGTAACCATGATGAAATGACAACATCAGGGAAATAAACAGCATTAGCAAATTCAAACATAGTGTTTTCCTTTAATTGCTCCAGGCATCTGAAAGACTAAAAGAACTATTATATTCCTAGACAGGCTTGGCCTCTGTAGGAGAACAAGTCTTGTAAACTCATGAGATTTCTGTGTTTGGTAATCATTCTCAGCAGATCATTGTTATAAAACAAAACAGGGTATCTTTTACACCTGAAACATATTTTTGCAAAATAGGAATGCTTTATCTAAGCTATGGCAAAAACCTCACTATTTTATTACCTCACTTATCCAAGGATCACTTATTTCACAGCTCAGATCTCTGGAATATGAACACAGATCTGAAATTAACCCTGAAGTAGCTAATTACAACCCCAAAGTACACGTACTTTTTTCATGTCTCAACTTTAGCACCTCTCTACTCCTACTTTAAATCCAATCCCAGGCTGGGCACAGTGGCTCATGCCTGTAATTGCTACATTTTAGGAGGCTGAGGTGTGAGGATCACTAGAGCCTAGGAGTTAGAGACAAGCCTCGGTCACATAGCAAGACCTCATCTCTACAAAAAAGAAAAAAGAAAAAAAAATCAGTTTCACTAGTTGGAGAACCTGGTTTCTCAACCCATGCAGATTAGAATTCATGTATTTCAGGAGGATAGGGCCAGAAGACATAAGTGTTGTCAGCTCATCCTGATTGGGCTTGACCATGCAGGAAAAAGAAATAATAGATACAGCATCTCAAAAAAAAGCAAGGGGTCATTGAGTTTAAGGGTAGGTAACCATTATAACTCAATAACACCAAAGGATATTCTACAGACTACTGAGCAAATATGTCTTCTGTGTCATTGAAAATATCACAATTACCCTGATTTGATAATTATACATTATATGCATGTAGCAAAATATCATATATATTCATAAATATGTACAACTATTATGTATCAATAAAAAAGGTTTAATTATGGCTAGAATAATTTTAACACATTTAGGAAGTTTCCACTAAAAATATTGGCAGGAGCACTGGTTTAAAGTGGCAAACCCCCTGTAAGTGAAAGATTTGCTTACATTCAACAGTTCATTCTCTGTAACTATCTTGTGCCTATGGTTCTAACCTGGCCACCATGAAACATATTCATCCAAGTCTTTCCTAGTATTTTCTACCACATTTTAAAGTCAGAAAGTGCAGGGCTAAGAGCTATATCATATAAAATATTTAACAGGATAAGCTTAGTTCTAGTCTATGAGTTTGTGGATTTATTTTAGTAAGACTCTTCCATTTATCTAGAATTTCACCTATATTCAGTGTCCCAAAAGAGAATATGGAAGATGACTCTCCTCCTCTTCTACTGCCTTCTTCATTTTGCAACTAACACATAGTCTAGAGGCTCTGTGCAGTGCTTTATTCTTTCTCTAAGTCCACCCTTGCTTGATAGAACAGAAAAAAATTGAAAACACACAGCATCAGTGCAGAGACAGCTCAAAGTATGGGCATCAAGGAAGGCTGTCCTTCCTAGAATATACTAGAAGGAAAGATGTGAAAGAAGTGGTGACAATGTGGGACCACTTGCCAATTGAAATCAGAATTCAGAAATGATGCCTCAGTCATATACATGGGATCTAGGATGCCCAATTTTAATGTCTCAGGAAAACTCCAGATATTCAATTGCTGGGCCTGTCATAAACTGATACGACTATTGATTATTTCCTCTAGTAATGTACAGTGTAGCAAATAGCACTCCAACAAGTTCAAGGGCAAGACCATGCACGTTAGTGATGCATTCAGATAGGCCATTGGTTTTGTAATTGATTTAGCTTCTCACAAGTGTCCTTACTACATCTTGGTAGAATTTTCTTTCCTAGGGTCAGTTATGGCCTTTAGAATACAGATGAACATCCATGGACAGAGTAATGTCACTTTACTTTATAAAACTTAAAATTGTCTTTCCTTGAAGATTTGAAAATACCTTTACTAAGCACTTTTGATTTCTTAATGATTTTATTTATAGTTACTAATATCTTCCCACATCCAAATTACTCCTGTACGAGAATCATCATACTAACCTTTTACCCTTATTTGTACAAACATGATAATCACATGTCCTTTCTTCATAGTGATTTTTAATGATCTTAGAGAACACCCAAGATTATTTGAATTGTGGGGCCTGTGACATGTAGTCTCATCATATCCACTTGCATTCTGAAAATGATTTTTATTTCAGTTCTCATTACTTTATGTTTCTTGTTGATGAGACTTTTCATTGTTTTGGACCAAGCTTAAGGATTTTTGTAGGTATTTATAACTGATTTGTTGGTGATGGTCTGAATTGAATTGCAGAGAATCAGAATAAAACCTTTGTCTTAGAATTTTTATAAATTTGTATTTAATTACAATTTTAATGTCTTTAGCCTTTCACAGCACAAACTGCCGACAGAAGAAGCATGTTTTCCATCATGGGGTCATCAAGTAGGTAGTGAAGGTTCATTAACGCAAGCCTTGGGTAAAACTGACATTTGGCTTTGTTGTTCACCATTTTTTTTGCTTTCTCTGAGACAGGGTCCAGCTGGTATCCCTTCTGGCCTTGAGCACCCCTGTGTGTTCTCCTCCTTCCTATCGACCCATACTCGCTGCCTTAGGAAATGTCTGATTTCAGTTTTCATCTCTTTGTATGAATTTAGTGCTAGGTGTTACTCATATTGTGGAGGCAAAATTGATTGACTGGTCTCCTACTTAAAGTATTTCAGGCATCACTGAAGGTGGGAGAGGGGGAAGAGGGCCTTCCCAGTGACCCAGGGGTGAGGCCAGCCTTGATGACAGGAGCTCAAGTAGTCCAAGGTGAGGGGAAAGAAAATCTGAACCAAACTCACCAAATATGAATGAGTTTGGTAGCATTAAATTTTTTCATAGAATTTACTGTACTAAAATTGGCAGGCTGAAAGTCAGATTTATATTTATCTCTTTCCTTTTACAAACCATCCAGCACTTCTGTGTTTTCAAAGTGAACTTGATCATCTTTTATACCTGCCCATCATTAGGCTGGACAATTACATTAAGGGCGTGGGTCAAGGAGTGATTTTGCATCCCTGAATTGAATGTGGCTGCATGTGTACAAGCAACAAAGAGATAAGTGTGGGCAGGGGGAAATTAATGACTGGAGGATAAAAGACAGTCCGCTCTTCACTGGGAAAATGTTTATCAAATAACCTGCTTTTTTATTGATATAACCAACTGCTGTGAACAATTAGATTGTGTCTCAGAACATATATTACATGAAAAGATTTTTTGATACATTTATAAAAACATGTGCATGATCCCATTATCTCATTGATCTGAACACTTCACAAACTGAACCCAGCTTCCGTTTTCAGCCTCGTCGCTAGATATGACTTAACCATACACATGTATTTGAGCTCCATCCTTCTCAAATGAGACAGAATGGCATGAACTCTGAGGTAGTGGTTTGTAAAGTCACCAGGGCATACACAAAGCCCCTGGATGAACTTGGTACATCATCCTGGGGTTTCAAATATTCCTCAAGAAAAGGTAAATAATTCACATAGTGAGTAAATTAAAAACATTGTTTATAAACAAATACATGCATAGTTTGGAATAGAATGCCAGAAACCAATTTTTTTAAAAAAGCAAAAAACTTGAAATTCTGCTTTGGTAAGGTAATTTCCATCCTCACCCCAAATGTTACATAAAACTTTTATACTCTACTCCTATGGGTATTTGGAGCCAGACACCCAAGAAGCACTTTACTAACTACATCAGATAATTCACAGGTTCCAGAACATTCCAGAAACTTGCTTATCTCTGTATCTTTGCTCGTAAGTTTCTTCCAACCGGAACCCTTGGCCCATCATATTTTCCTGGAAGATCCTTACTTAAACATTGTGTCTGGATCAAAAGTCTCCCGCTTTAAAAAAAAAAAAAAGAAAAAAAAATGTTCCTTGAACACATCTCTCCTAACTCCCAGAATAAATCCTCCCTTAGCTATGTCCCCAGCCCCTTATCATTTTTTATCAACAACCCTCACAATATTCCTCCATATTATGATTACTTATTTAACTGTCTTTCCTGTAGACTGAGAGAATTTTAAGATAAGGGTCAATTATTATTTTGTTCTTTGTATCTTTTATACATTCTATGCCTAAAGCGTGTATCAGGTGTCTCTTGAATGAGGAATGGATTTCATTAATCAAATAACAATGGCATACCCATTGGTCCTCACAGGTGGATCCAGTCAAGTAGGTAGGCTGGTGCCTTCTGTGAGACTATGGTTAGTGTATTACAGATGGCAAATATTTTGAAATCAGATAGATCTGGGTTTGAGTCCCAGCTCTGCTACTTCATATTTGTGTAAATTTGATAAGTTATTTAACTAAGTCTTAGTTTTCTCATGTTCAATATGAGGATATAATAACTGCTTCATGGTGTTGTAAGGATTCTGAAATGATCCCTGCAAAATACGTGGCACCTAGTAAGCAGTCAGTATTGTTTTCTTCTCCATATCTATTGACCCTTCCCTACTTGACATAATTTGAAGGGTAAAAAAATGCCTAGCTGTGTAATACTGCTTCTCAATGAATTAGGGTCCTAGGATCTGGGGTCAGGAGAAAAAGTTGGCTGTTTAACTGGATGACTGGGCAGCTGGGGCCAAGGATAAAGTAAATGAAACATCCTGTCCACAATGGGAGGCAAAAAAGTGACAAATCTGAAGCTAAAGATCTGCAATCAAGCATCCTAACTAAAGATTCTAAACCAGACACAGTGGGCTGGCTAGAGGAACAGGTCTGCAGATTCCCCTGGAAGCATCGGTAGGGCTGGGAAACAGACTTCCCTGGGAGCAGAGTTCACCAACTTCAGGAGAAAGGAGGAGTCTGTTCATGCTTTTGAGCTATTTAGAGACTTACCTTAGAATACAACCCCAAGCTTTGAATCTCCACATGTTGTATTTTCTTTCTGGGTGATTTCTAGAAATGACCACTTTTTGCCTGATTAGTAAAATCTTGCTTAAGAGCAACTTGACATTTGATCCGATTGTTTTCTCAAACTTAAAGGCATAATGACAACATCTACTCTCAGTCAAGCAGAAAGCAGGAGCTTAATGGCATAAGGAGAACAGGTGAATTTTTAGAGAAAAGTTAGTTGGGGGGTAACTGGAAATGAGGCATTGCCTGAATTCTGATGGGATATTATCCTGTGATGATGGAGTGGAAAAAGGTAAGCCCTGAACTGAAATGAGTACCTGGAGGAATTAAAAGGAGAGCACCTGAAGACAGATATTGGAAAAATAACATTTTCCCAAGTATCTTTTCAGTTTATACAACCCATTGTGAGATTAGGGGGCTCTGCTTGGACCCCAATTCACCATTCCTTGTGTTGAAAAGAGAGGAATCATTCATCCACACCCCCAGTGGGCATGGATTTAAGAAAGAGTTCAAAGGGGGTTTTTGAAGAATTCCTACGTATCCCTGCCCTTTTTCTCTACAGTTTCACACATGAGTTCCAACTGCAGTCCATTTGGTGTAATTCTATATCTGCACCAGTCCCCTCTTTGCTTTCTTTTGCATTCTCTTTTCTCCCTTCATCTCCCTCCTGCTTCACAACATTGTTGGTTGTGTCTATATATCCACAGATGACACAGCAAGATGAAGGTCTGTTTCCTTCCAAGTATCAGGGCACAAAATGGTAGAGAAATAACTCCCCTTTCCTAACTCCACCTACCATCCTAAATTAATCTTTCACTCATCTCCATTAACACTGGTGGTTTTAATAGAAAGTTTACTAACATTTGATACTTATTTATTTAGAGACAGGGTCTTACTCTGTCACCCAGGCTGGAGTGCAGTGGAGTAATCACAGCTTACTGCAACCTCAACCTCCTGGCTCAGGTGATCCTCCCACCTCAGTTTCCCGAGTAGCTGGGATTACAGGCAGGCACCACCACGCCCAGCTAATTTTTTCAAACATTTTTTTTTTAAAGAGATGGGGTTTTGCCATGGTGCCCAGGCTGGTATCAAACTCCTTGGCTCAAGCGATCTGCCAGCCTTGGCCTCCCAAAGTGCTGGTGATGGCAGTGGCAGCCTGTCTGGAGCAGCCACTGCAGGGACGCCAGCTGCAGTGGGGTTGGTGTGACCAGGGCTGCACACTCTGTGGAACCAACAGGAGCCCCACCCCCTTCCGAGTTGACAGGACGCCCGGTGGTCCCAGGCACAGCACAGCAGCCCAGCCGTGGCTGCGGATCCAGGCATCCCTGTGTTCTCAGGGCCGGGAAACCCCCTCCCCGCACAGGCTTGGAAGTGCTTATTCCCACTGCCTGGCCTCTTCTGCTCCTGGCACCCGCTCCAATTGGAGCAAGGTTGAAGCTGAGCTTGCTCAGGCACTGTCGCAACCTGGCCAGGTGTGTGTGCGCTCCGGGCAGCACTGACACACCAGCACCCCCGCCGCCTCGGCCCCCCTCTGAAGCTTTGGGCACCAGTGAGTTCAGGAAGGCAGGCTGCCGGGCAGCTGAGGACGGCTCACTGAGGGCCTTCAGGCACCCCTCTGCCCAAGCAGCCAGGGCGTGGAGGACAACATGATGATGGAAGACAGGCTCCTGGGTGGAAAGGGGCAGGTCGCTGGTGAAGCCTCACCTTCAAGCCAGGGACAGCTGAAGCCTGGGAGCCAGGCTGTAAGTTCCGGGTGGTGGAGTCCACAGCCAGGAGTGAGAACTTAACGGTGCTTTTTCTGGGCCTGCCCATCGTCGCCCATAGACCGATCAGCATGCACTTCCTCCATCTGAGTCCATGAAAACCCCGGACTCAGCCAGATTCACACAGAAGTTGGGACTGCCAGTTGTGGGAAGGAGCTTTTCTCTTCGGGTGTCCTCCACTCGTCGGGATGATCTTCTTGTGGGAAGGAGATACCCACCGCAGGTCTCCTCTCCCAAGAACTGTTCTGCTGCTCAATAAAGCTCCACTCTCCCTTGCTCGCCCTCCAGTTGTCCAAGTACCTAATTCTTCCTGGGCACAGGACAAGAACTCAGGATCTGCCGAATGGCAGGACAAAAAGAGCTGTAACACCAACAGGGCTGAGACATGCTCCCCTCCCTGCTCTTTGCTACTTGCGAGAGACAAGGAGAAGGGGAGAAGAGCTGTAAGACAAACAGGGCTGAAACAGCACCCCGCCACAACTTGCCACTTTATGGGTGACTAAGAGGAGAGAAGAGCTGCGGCCCTTTGGGGATCCCAGACCTAGGGCCTCCCTGAGCCAGGGCTGTCACGCCCTCTTTGAAGTTCCTGGTGTCTCCAACCTTTTGGGTGCCAATGCCTTCCCCTCCTCCAGACGCGGGTGCCTGCAGCATAAGCCACGTGCCTTACATATGGTCCAGCTGCAGCCTTGCATGGAGCCAGCACCTGTGCCAGGGCCTGGAGCTGCCTGCTCCACTACAGCAGCTGATGTGCCTGGCTGCGTGCAGAGGCTGGACCCTGTGCTTGCTTGTCCACACACCCCTCACCACTCTGCACCTGGCTGGCCCTTGGCAGGTGTGGGATCTGGGTCAGCAGCGCAAGCTGAGCACAGCCTACCAGGCGGAGTGGGCAGACCAAGCCCAGCAGGCATGAGCAATATTCAGGCAGAAGGTGCTGCTGGCCACAGAGGTTTCTGGCTGGTGAAGTGACACCCTAAGGATCCTGTGACACTGGGATTACACGCATGAGCCACTGCACCAGGCCAACATTTGATATTTAAATGCACCTTCTTGAAAATGCATAAACTTCAACTGATTAATAAAAATTAATTAATATAAAGCTTATGGGCACCATTTTGGGACTGGATAAAAACATTTTCCAACAGAAAAAAGATAAACATGTTCATTAACTACCAATTCTCTCAGTAAAAATGTTCCCACACAGAATCTCTGTTACTAATGTATTCCTTTGGTTCAAAGCAGAGGTGTTTTAAGGTAATATGTTGATCCTTGAAGGACTAGTTACTCATGAGAGCTAAGGAAAATATACTGTGTCTTTGTTACTGACAAACAGGCTAAAGTCAGGGAACTCTTCAATACAACTAATTAACACTGTTTTGATTCCACCTACAAATGTCACTGGCATAACATTTGTAGTCATCTTAAGAAAATGTAGTCATTCCAGGCATGGAAAAACAAAATAAAGTACTTGTGAAATAAACAGCCAAGTAATTCAATAAGATAAACTTTTTGAAAACACTTTTGCTGGAAAAAAAAAACCCTCAAAATTTTACATAGGATGTGGTGATAATTTTAAATGATTACTAAGTTAATTAAATTTGAAAGACTTTTATGGGGTCATCTAATTGAACTCCTCTTCAACCACAGAACTACCTAAGATAATTTCCTGTCATTCTGCTAAATGTCTTTGAGACCAGAGATTTTGTAGTTTTCTTCAATAAATCAGCATGATGTCACTGAGTCATGCCTTCACTTTACAGAGTAACAGTTGATCTGCACCACCGAGGTTGGAACTGGTCTACTCCCTCCCTGCTGCAGAAAATAGCAGGGAGGAGGAGAATGGGCTACAAGAATGAGAAGGAAAGGTGTGGCTATTCCCTGCAGAAAAGGCTGACTTTTACTTGAGCCGGGGAAGTTTATTACTTAAGAGAGTTAAGAGCATGCTTGGCATTTGTCAGAGACGACTAGATCTGATTTAAATACATGAGCACTGCTACCCACAGCTACTACTACCCACTGTCATTGGGGGAAGTGGTTACACACCCATGCCTTGTATGTGTAACTTCATGAAATTACTGTTACTTGCAAAACTGCTATTTGGATCAGTGGGGCTTTCCTGATAGCTTGAAATGCTTCCTGCCAGGGATCTTGGTTGCATTTGCATGACTGTGACCTTCAAATGTCCCAAGACAGCACTGATATTCTATGGCAGTAGTTCTTCATCTTTTGTGGAGTATAGTTTCCTTGAGAAAATGAGAAGCACCATGGAAATATGTACATAATTCACATGAGGTTGTACACACAGTTACAGGAAGTGTGGAGTCCCCTCGATGCCCGTCAGTGAATGCCCGAGTCACCTCTGGCCACTGACATTAGAGAAAGTAGTAAGTACAGCAGGCCTAAAGCAAGGCCTCAGATTTTCTTTTTCTTTTTCTATTTTTTCTTTCTCTCTTTTCCTCATGTAAGAAACAGCACCACCAGGAGCAGGGACTTTCGCATATACAGTAAAAATGTACAGTATCTTCAATGCAAAGTTGGACGCGTGCCAACCCCCTCCCCCTCCCCACTCAGAAGCATCTTCATTTGAATTTAAAGGGGTGGATGAGTGACAGCAAGACTCTGTTCTCCTTCTGACAGGGCTTTGGCAGATCATTGGTTGTCATCAAACCTATTCCATTTCTTGCTCCCTGCCAGGAATTCCACCTACATGCCTGATGGCAATTAGTCCCTTGTAGGTGCTAATGAATAAAACGCAGCACGTAGACTTCACGAGGATGAAAAAGCCCACGATCCAGATCCAGAGAGTCACTCCAAGAATCAGTCCCCCACCCCGGCCCCCCCTCCAATATAGCTCTCACTCTGTCCAGCCAAATGCTAGAGCCAGCCAGCCACCCCCCGCCCCCACCCCCTTCTTCTGTGCACTTGGCCATGGAAAATAGAAAGCAGCTATTTGATGAGGACACAACTAAGCAGAAATCAAGATTTTAGAGCACGAAGTATTACTTGTTTTTCAATTTCTGTCACAGGCTGGGATGATACCAGTTTAGGACAGTCTGTGTCAGAGCATTTGAGCTGAATCTCCAAACCCAAACATGCTTTGGAAGAAGCATTTAGAGACCTTGTTGGGAAGCATTCTGCACTGAGTGGGGGGGTGCGCGTTGTATTATCAGTGGTTCCCAAGACTTGCTGATAATCAGATGTTCCTAAGCGGCCTTTAAAAGTTCAGATTCTTCGACCTTGTCTCTGGATATTCTTGGTCAGAAGGCCTGGAATAGAACCCGAAAATCTAAATTTTAGAACAATCTCCCCAGATGCATCTGATGCTCACACTAGATTCAGTACTTCTGAATTGGCTAAGCTCTTGTGTCCCATTCATCTCCAGCACTAGGTGTTGATTGAAAAGTTCTCAAAGGTTGTGCTCACCATTCATTTGCACCTTGACTGTGCTCTGAACATTGAAAAAAAAAAAACCAAAAAATTCTCCTTTGTAATCTGACCACCTATCAGAGGTGAATTAATATTCAAAGATTCTTTTGAAATTGAAGCTGTAGGTGATTTTTAAATTTTTCTTACACTTTTATTATAATTTTCAAATGTTACACCTTTACTGAATAATAAGCAGGGTTTTTCTAATAATAAAAAGGCAGCAAATGTAATTTTTAAAGATCTTTTTGCATTTCAACAGAAACTGATTGGCTCACAGAGAAAACTGTATTTCAGTATAATTCAGTTTCTTTAAATCCTATATGTTTTTAGTACAGGCACTGAAAAAATGTTACTAGGAAAAGGGTTCCTGGAACTCACCAGACTTTCCCATTGACAGTCCAAAGAGTAAAAGGGATTAAGAACCCCTGGTATGCCAAAAATTAGCTTATTATTCCTATTTTGCATGTATACAAGTATTGTCACCCTAGGATTTCAAAATACATCACAAAACAATTGCAGCTAAAGCCTTGGAGTGACCTGTGCTTGCAGCATGGTCTCTTCTAATGGTAGCAAACCAAAGAAAGTGGTAAGAAAGAAATTTTTTCTTCCAGTTTTCATGGGCCCCAAAGGTTAAGATAGCTTAAATAAGACTCCCCAGAGCATTCAAACTCCCTCATGTTTATCAGAAAGAGAACTTAATCCAAAACCTTTGAGGTTTGTCCTTCTCTAGTCAATATCTATTTCGGCAAAACAATCATGGTTCTAAAGTATAACAGTGAAGCAAGGAAGAAAGGAGAGATTTTTCTTTCTGATAGTGAAATGGGCAGGTGCAGTTGAGACGGAAAGGCCATAATTAACACATTGTTCAGCCAAGGCACTGTAGACGTCCATGCAAGACTGCACAAATCCTCCCCCTGCCCCACACGCCTGAGTTCAAGGTTTTGCAAGAAAGGAAGCCAAAGGTGCCCTGCCATTCAAGAAACAGACCCCTAGAGCCTGAACTTCAGTACCCTCGAGGTACACACAGAGGAAATTCTACACTGCCAAGCCAGTAAAATTGGATTGTGTAAAAACTCGTGCATTTTAAACCACATAAGAAAGAAAAGGAAAACACTTTTTAATTGGACATATAGTTATGTGGCAAGACTTATACATGTATTGGAGTTTTAAAAATCTAATCAGATAAATATTGTTATTTCTATGATATAGATGAGAAATTAAGCCTGGAAAGTTATGTAATTTATCCAATGTCAGACTCTCAATTACTTTATTTTTAACTGGCTGAATCCTAGGACAAACATTGACTACCTTTATCTATGATCATATTAAAGCATTGTAGACTAAGAAAGGTGGCTAGCACAGGGTTGGAAAATTCCTCGAACTTCCTCTCATCCCATACTTGTGGCAGACCTCATAAATTTGAAGTCTGTGCTATTTCTTTCCCGGCCCAGAAAGCTGCTCAGTGGAACATTTCAGGAAATCACTACAAATCAGCTATAGCCAGCACATAGGTGGCACCTGGAGTCCAGGGCAGCCAGGTTCAGGGGACAGGATGGGACTGGAGAGGGAGCAGGTAGAGCTGGTTGATAGGAGCTGCCCTCCCCCCCAGCCCCTTAGCCTCTTCCCCAGGCTCTATGGAAGGAAAATTCTATAGAAACTCCTTATACCTCTTAAAATATCACCTAAATCATTGACAAAAATACTATTCTCTGGTAATAGTTTATTGTGTTCACTACCCTATAGAATCACTCACAGGCTCTGGATTGGAAAGAAATAGATTGCTTTAACACAAAGGATTTAATCTTTGTGGAAGAAATGACTTTCTCCTTGACTAGAGGTTAAGGCAGATTTCTTTCTTTCTTTTTATTTATTATTTTTATTTTTTTTAAATTTGGTAGAGCTTTCCCACATCCCTTTGTGGGTAGCTGCCTCCTCTGCATATGCGTAAACCAGCTGTCCTTGGGAATGACACAGGCCCCCACGGTGTCATGGGGTAAGACAGGTGGGAGGTGTCTGAGAACCTTGCACAGCTATGGTAGGTGGGGCTACTAGCAGTTGTGGGCCAGGCAGTGCTTTGCCAGGGTTCAAAGCCAGGAGGCCAAGGCCTTTGACCTGGACTGCCATCTTTCAGGATGCGGGCCAAGCACTGCGGAGGCCCAATATAGGCAGGGAGTCAATCAGGATAACTTAAGAGGGGAAAAAAAAAGACTCTGCCTTTGCTCGAGTTCTCCAGATTGGCTCTCCAGATGGCCCTCTTTTCTCTGGTAAATTATGCAACAAGCTGCTTCAGCCGAGTTTTGCAGACCTGGATGATCTTGAACTGATTTCAACAAACGGGCGGACTCGTGGGGTTGCAGGGCTTTCTCCTAGTCCTTTCATCCAAGGAAGAATACTGCGGAAAGAAAAACCAGATCATTCCTGGTACCAGTCATAGAAACAGAGCAATGCACATACAAAAGTGATCATTGCTTTATGCTTGTCTTTTTAAAAGAAATGGTTTTGGAGAAGCTAACAGGCTGTCATGTCAAGAAAGGTTAGAGTTCATCACTGTTACTCCACAAAGAGGAATTCAGCCTTGCTTATCCTCACTAATTAAATGCCAGAATCACACTAGTTCATTCTGTGCTGGAATGGAAAAAGTAGAAGGGTTGCTTTTCAGCGTAAAGAGGTATGAGGGTCTCACTCTCTGCTGCTATTAACATTTCCTGGAACCAAAATCAATAGTGCATGCAAATGAGTCCCTTATTATTTCTTTGATTTGCAGAATGTCTCCTCCCACTGCACCCTGGTGGCTGAGGCAGAATGGATTAGCTCATCGGGCCCTGGGAGTGCTCTCAGTGCTGAGGAACACAGGGTGAGGGTGGGCAGTGGGTGGCAGGGCCACTCTGTGCCTTCCCACCCCCCGCAGCAGGATCACAGTCCCGATGCGGCTTCTTCCTGTCCCCATGGAAAGCAGAGGCTTTGGAGCCAGATTTGCCACTGAGGAGGGAGGAAGGCAAAGTGGGAACAGCAGGCAGAGTCAATAGGCCAGGGGGCAGGGGGAGCAGATGGGTAGGTGGTGGCTGAGCTCAAAGCTACAACATGAAGGGAACAACTCGTTATGAAGTGCAATTTGGGAACTAAGAGGAGGAAGGAAACAAATAGAAGTTTCTGAGGCAAAATTATTTCTTGAGCTGATGAAGGTATGCAAAAACCATTTGCAATGTACCCAACCACTGGTTCAACACAAGCTTATTAAGTGCCTTTCAGACCCTGCACCATGTGTTGGAATGCAAATAGGAACAAGATATGGTCCCTGCTCGTAGTCTCAAGCAGTGAGAGCTTTTAAAAACAATAAAATATAATGTGATAAACAGCCAAATAGAGAAACACTGGGTGCTAGGGGACACAGCGGGGGGACTGACACAGAGGGTGGAGCTGAGGAGAAGCTCAGTGTACAAGGAGGTTCTGTGTGGGATCAGCAGGAGGCTGACTAGGGTTTCTTAGGTGGCAAGAAAGAGAAGGTATTGCTGGTAAAGGGATCTGCAAGGGCAGTGGCATGGAGTAGGGGTGGAAGAGCCCGCTCGTGTATGTCACAGTGGTACTTCTAAGACAGCCATACTGACTGAGAACAGGCTACAGGGATGGAAGGTGGTCATTTACTCCTGGATATGGAAAGAGGCTGGCATGGGATTACAGGAACCTTACATGTCATGCCAAGAACTTTGGGTTTTCCTTTGGAAAGTAGAGCACATTTGAAGGAGTTGATAAGAGGAAGTAATAAGATTAACAGAGAGAAAGAGAAAGAGGTTGGGAAAGGATCAGTGACTGTTTGAATCCTGATTCCCCAAACCAAAGATGCCTCAGCTTTCCTTCCAGCATAAAGCCCCCAACTATCTATTACAGCAGGGCCTGGTCCATTTGGCAACTCCAACTATAATTCACAGCCATTTTGATTATTGATTATGCCTCTGAGAAGAGAACCACTGTAACCTAACAGTGAAGAAAATGCTAGTGTGATTAAGTAATGTGTATTCATTCACTTATTCAAACATTATCTGTTGTTCTCTAGGAAGACACTCTACAAGTCAAGCTGGCACTGGTTAAATTATAAGATACACTACAATCTCGTTCCCTGACCTCTTGAAGGTTTTGTTGATAAAGGAAAAACGTAAACATACAAGTAAACACGTAAGTAGAAATCATGTTGCGTCAAACAAAGGAAAAGACCAGAAAACCAAAATAGAAAATAACAGGGTAGAGGGAAGGAATCAAGTTTGTGTGATATGTGAGGAGGAGTTTCATGAAACGGGTAAGGTCTGTAGGAGGCCGGGGAGAAGAATGTGGCACAGAATGAGTGAGATGATGTTGGAGAAACTGTCAGAGGCCAAAGTATACATGGTCTTGTAGGCAGGTTAAGAGGGGAGTCTGTTATTCTATATTGAACTGAAAGCCATTGAACAGCATGATTTGAGTTTTTTTATCATCACTCTGGCAACTGTGTGAATGAATAAGAGGAAGGAAAGATGAGAGGTGGAGAAGCCAGCTAGAGGGCAGCAGCTAGGGGAAGAGATGATAATACCTTAGAATACAGCCATTCATGAAAAGGAGAAGAGCAGGTGAATATGACCACTTCTGAGGAGACAACAAAACAGCAACTAGAAAGCACTCTGTTTAAAATAGAAGAAATTAGAGGAAATTGAATCTGTGGAGTTACTAATTAGGTGACGAAATTTCTGAGAAGCCCACAGGGGAAAATTAGGTAACCTGGAGATTAAACAACACCTTCTCACCTGGTCCCACTGGCAGAGAATGATGAAGGCTGGAGGGACCTTCATTCATCCTCCAGGCTTCTTGGCTGGAGGGACCAGGTGAGAAGATGTCATCACTGGAGTTTGCAGCCAGAAGTCTCCTGATTGAAAGCTGGAGTTAAGAAGACACCACCTCAAACGACTAGAGAAAGAAGGGCCCTGTTCTCTCCTTTCCTCCTGCTCCATTATCCTGTTGATGCCTCCCATGGATGGAACACAACCAGAAACCAGCTGACATGGGCACCTGGGAGCACAGCTTCCAGGGCTAAATCCCCTATATTATAGAAGAGAGAAGAGAAAAGATCAAGAATGGATCTGAGTATCCAGGGCTGGTGTAATATACTATCTGTATTTTAAGGGAGACTTGACATGACTTGGTGATGTGTGAGATATGGGAAGATAAGCAAGGAAGAAATTTCAAGAATGATCACAAGGCTTCTGACTTGAGCACTTCTGTACAGAGTGGGGTGGCATGGACAGGACAGGGAAGGCATGGGGCCGAAGGAGACTTGGTGAGAAGAAGGATAGAAATTCAGTTTGGGAGATGTTAAGTGTGAGATGTTCATTAGATGTGAATTCAAGAAGCTATTTGAATCTGGCATTTAATTTGCAGATCTTGAGTTCAAAACAGAAGAAGTCAACCCTTTTGGTTTGGAATTTGTCAAAATTAGGCTGTATTTACAGCCATGAGAATTGGTGAGTAAATCAAGAAAGAGAATTTAGAATAAAAAGGCTTAAGACTTTTCCCTGATGAAGACCAACACTTAGAGGACAGACAAATGAGGAGGAATTGAGGAAATGTGGAAGCCCATCTTACCAACACAAATAAACACACAAACAAAACCTACCACTCTTTTTGTTTGTTTGTTTTGTTTTCTTTTTTTTTTTTGAGACGGAGTCAGTCTTGCCCTGTCACCCTGGCTGGAGTGCAATGGCACGATCTTGGCTCACTGCAACCTCTGCCTCCTGAGTTCAAGCAATTTTCCTGCCTCAGCCTCCCAAGTAGCTGGGACTACAGGCATGTGCCACCATGCCCAGCTAATTTTTGTATTTTTAGTAGAGACGAGGTTTCACTGTGTTAGCCAGGATGGTCTCGATCTCCTGACCTCATGATCCACCCGCCTCAGCCTCCCAAAGTGCTGGGATTACAGGAGTGAGCCACCGCGCCTGGCAAGACCTACCACTCTTGACTGACAGCAGTTTACCTTCCAGCTACCACCTATATTTCTGCTCCCCCTTTTCAGCAAAACCTCTTGATTCAGTTGTCTTTATTCATACTCCTCAATTCCTCTTACTCACATTCTATCCTGAGCCCCTCTGCCTAGGCCTTCAACACAGCTACTTACATCAAAGTCATTAATGACTTTCACATTTCTAAATATAATAGTTAATTCTCAATTGATCCTACTTGACCCATCAGTTGGCTGACTGCTTCACTTAAGAGGATGGAAGGAGGAGCTATTAATAATTATGCAGAGACAACAGATTGAAGCCTGTCCTGGGCAAACTAAGAACTGTAGTCTCTCTATCAGCATCAGGAGACACAGGTTTTTACCCCCTGCTCTTTAAAGAGTTTATCTTATTTGACTTTCAAGGCACCACATCTAGTTTTCTTCCTCGTTCAATGTCAGTTGTTTGCGGTCTTCTGTGATGTTCTTCTCATCAGCTAGACAACTACACTTTGGAGTACCCCAGGGCTCAGACATTTTCTTGTCTTCAAAACCCAATTTCTTGGTGATCTAATCCAGTATGATGACTTGCGAATCCATCCATATGCTGGTTTTTCTCAAATGTATCTCTCTTTATTGAAATGCTACCCAAACTCAAATATTTCATTACGCAAGTATACCATCCCTACAACCAAAACTCTGATTACCCTTCCCAAACCTGTTTTGTCATCTTTCCCATTTAAATTAATACAGCTCCATTCTTTTTAAAAAAATTCATGTCGAAAAGCTTAGAGTCATTTTAACTTCTTTCTCTCTTCTTTTTTTCACACCCACATCTAATCCATCAACAAATACCATCATCTGTACCTCCATGTATCTCCAGAATTCAATTTCTTTTAAACACATCCACCACAAGTACCCTGGTTCAATGACCAGACAATCATAGCCACCTCCCTGTTTCTATCCTTGTCCCCAGGCAATCTCTTCCCAATTCAAAAGCCAGCATGATTCTGTGAGATGTGTTGGATCTTGTCACTTATCAGCTTAAAATTGTTCATATGATTCCAATCTCACTTGGAATACACAGTCAAAGTCCTAATATTCCCTACTAGGCCCCTAATTTCCCTTCTCACTGCCCAGACCTCATCCACTGGCCTTGCCTTCTCCATCTTCTTCAGACACAGGCCTCCCTTATTGGGCATCTGTCCCAGCTATTCCCTCCTGGAAAAATCTCTCACCACTTATCCCTGAGGGTGGCCCTCCATCTTTATTGCTCACATGTCACCTCAGTGAGAACTTCTCTAATCTCCCTTTTTAAAATTGAACGCCTTCATGCCTCTTGATACCTCGTAGTTTTACTTTTCTCCTTAACATTTATCATTATCTCACATACTATGCATTTTAGGTATTTATTTTACTGTTTGTCTCCCCATGCAGGAATGCCGGCTCTATGGGGTTAGAGATTTTGTCAGTGTTGTTTACTACCATATCCCAGCTCTTGGAACTGTACCCAACGCAGTGTACAAACTCAATGAATGTTTGTTGAGTCAATGGTGAATAAGATGGGTGGGTCATAAAAGAAGAAAGGAACCCAAGAGAGGATTGTGTTACAAAAGCCAAGAGAAGGGAATGTTTCAACAAGAGAAGAGTGATAAACATTGGTGCCAGTGCTGTTGAGACAGCTCCTGAGATGGGATTTGGCATCATGGAGTTTTCTGACTATCTTGGGAAAGAAAAGGCTCAATGAAGAGGTGGAGGAAGAACACAGACTGGAGAGAGATATAGACTGGAAGGAGTGAAGACTGAATGGGAGGACATTAAGGGGTCACTACAGCATGGGTAGCCAAGAAGCTTGGCAGTGACAGACAGAGGAGGGAGAGAGGACTGAAGCTGAAACGAGTCAGTGTCATCATCAATACTCAGCCAAGCTTCAAAACAAAGATGTTTCTTTGATTCTTCATCACTCAACCTTACCATCCAATCATAAAATTCTCACAATTGAATCTCACAATTGAAAGACTTCTCAATCCCACTCCTTATTTCTATTGTCACAGTTCAGTCTTTTAATTTATTACTAGTACAGTCCTGTGTTGCTTAACGAGATGTGGATATATTCTGAGAAATGCATCATTAGACAATTTCATTACGCGAACATCACAGAGTGTACTTAACACAAACCTAGACTGTATAGCCTACTACACACTTAGGCTATATAGTATAGCCTACTGCTCTTAGGCTACAGCATATTCCTATATGAATTCTGTAGGCAATTGTAACACAATGGAAAGTATTTTTGTATCTAAATATTACAAAGAACAGTAAAACTATGGTATAAAACATTTTTTAAAATAGTGCACCATATAGGGCACTTACCATGAATGGGGCGTGCAGGACTGGAAGCTGCTCTGGGGAGTCAATGACTGAGTGGAGAGTGAATGTGTAGGTCTAGGGCATTACTGTACATTACTGCAGACTATAAACACTGTGCACTTAAGCTACACTAAATTTATATTGAAAACTGTCTTCAATAATAAGTTAACCTTATGTACTGCAACGTTTTAACTTTATGAATTTTTAATTTTTTTATTTTTTGACTCTTTTATGGTAGTTTAAAACATCAGCACATTGTACAGCTGTACAAAATATTTTCTTTCTGCATATCCTTATTCTATAAGCTTTTTTCTATTTTTAAATATTTTATTTTATATTTTAACATGTTTAACTTTTTTGTTAAAAACTAAGACACAAGCACACACAGTAGCTTAGGTCCACACAGGGTCAGGATCACCAATATCACTGTCTTTAACCTTCACATCTTGTCCCACTGGGAGGTCTTCAGGGTTGCTAACACACATGGAGTTCTCATCTCCTGTGACAAAAAAATGCCGTAACCCTAACCCTAACCCACCTAAAGGATCTTCCTGAGACTGTTTTATGGTTAACTTTTTTTAATAAGTAGGAGTACACTCCAAAATAATGGTTAAAAGTGTAGTAAATACATAAACCAGTAACACTGTCATTTATTATCGTCCTCCAGTATTATGTACTGTACATAATTGAATGTGCTAGATTTTTATACAATTGGCAGTGCAGTAGGTTTGTTCATACCAGCATCATCACATGAATAATGTGTTGTGCTACGATGTTACAATGGGTTATGACATCACGAGGTGATAGAAATTTTTCAACTCCATTATAATCTTATGGGACCACCATCGTATATGTGGTCCATTGACCAAAATTTCATTATATGGGACACGACTATATACCAATAGCTTCCTTATCATCAGTAAACAGTCTGGCCTCTGGTTCACTGCATTTTTGGAGTTCCCTGCAGGAGAAGGACATAGGCTATGATCACAAGATTAAGAGAGGTAAGGGCAGAAAAGAAACTGATAAAAATAGCAGGGGTACTCTTCCAGCCGCTACTGTTGCACCAAAACCAAGTCCAAAAAGGTATACCAAACTTAGGATACCCTTAGCAAAATCAATAATCAGTGGATAATGGGTGTAGGAAAAGTTGGGCGTGGCAACCAGATTTCCAGGCAGCAGCTATTCTCAGCACCTGGTGATTCTGTAAACTAGGGAAGGGGATTCAAGTTAAGATGTGAGAATACTGGTTCAAGGTCTATGCCCAGATCAAAGGAAACTGACAGGAGTAAGCAGGAGAGCTGTGGTTCTTAGCCGATGGGCTGAAGCAATGACATGGGTACCAAAGACTGGAATGAAGAGATTGAATGGATGGACACCTAGAACCTGAGCGAGATTCCTGGAACAAGTGGGTCATGTGGGATGAAGGTAGGCAGGGCAACTAGACTTTTAGGTTCCCAGGAGTCCAGGACTCCAGGATCAGGACACCAAGATTTTTTTTTTTTTAGACCTCATTTTCTGGAGGCAAAGAGGCTATTCCTACATAACTTGGTCTGGTTTTTATTGAAGTTGGCTCTGAGATGGGGAAACAAACAAACAAACAAACAAACAAGCAGGCTATAAATGACCCAAACAGGTCTTCATGCCTTCATTCTCTCCATTAGTTCCATTTCCTCCTCCTCAGGGTCACTAGAGTTATCTTCCTGGGGTACATTCTGATCACACCACTTTTGTGACTTAAATTACTTGGTCATTTTCCATTGTCTACGAGATAAAGCCACACCCATAGCACAGTAAACGAGGCATTTCACAACCTGAGTCTAATTTAGCTTGCAAACCATGATGTTCCTCCTACTCTCTCCAGTCTCAATCCATGCAAACAAGGGCTGCTGCTCTCCTTTTGAACTCCTCAGGCTTATCTAATGCCATTGTTGCTGCAATCCTCCTGCAGCAATGCTTCCTCTTCTACTTTCTCTATTGGAAGAATTCCTATTCGTATGTGAACGTCCTTTTTATCATCAGCATCTTCCCCAGCCACAGAATGCCATTAATCATTTGGCTTTGTTCTTTTTCATTTTAGTTATTTGTTACTATTTAAAAAGAGTGTATTTACAATCTATCCTGTTTCAAAACAGGTTTGGATCTCATAAACAGTTATAAACAGCACAGTAATATAAATATTAGGATTTTGAGGAAAAAAAGAATAAAGAAAAACAGCCCCAGGGACAGAAAATGGAACCAAGAATGTGTCTGATCCAATCAAGCATACCAAGGAGTCCTGTACAGTTGCTAAAACTGGGCCACAAATTGAGCATTAGGCTTTCCCACAGCCAAGATGAGGAGAGAAATGTGGGTAGTCACACAATTTCTTTTGCCCATAATATAAACACCAAATAATTGGTCAGTGGATGCATAGCTATTCTTCACACTTACACTAAAAGAGAATTTTTTTCCCCAAGGTTT
This sequence comes from Homo sapiens, assembly GCF_000001405.40. Lineage (NCBI taxonomy): Eukaryota > Metazoa > Chordata > Mammalia > Primates > Hominidae > Homo > Homo sapiens. The sequence goes on along the minus strand of NC_000007.14, from coordinate 41,122,271 downwards.
ACTCATGAAGAATAAACTGCATAATGCAACAGAAAACACTCTCCACAAACATCTCTATGGGAGAAACAGCTGTTAGTATCCTAAGGCATGCCTTCAGGATTTATGACATATCAACAAAGCACAATCAGTCAAACCAATTCTACAGAGGAGACTGCTACAGATTATATAATTCTCAGTTCCCCTGACTTTGTTTAAAAGGGCAATATTTTTGGACTAAGATATCTGAAAATCTCTCCAGCTTCCTTACCTCCCTAAATTTAACACACATTTTTGCATACATTTTTTATTTTTGGTGTTCATAACCCTTTTAAAACCCTTGGGCCTCACAATTTAAGGATCTCTAGGGAAATAGACTAACTATCCTTAGGAAATCCTTTATACGTGTTGCTTTGCTAATACACAGATAATTTGTGTTTCCAGTGGAATCAGAAGCAAATCCCTTAATATGCCATCCTGTTGCTAGTTACGGAGGAGATGGGTGAGAATGGCATCTCCCAAAGAAAAACTGAGTCACCTATCAATGACACATAACTAAATAAAAGATCATCATACCCTAACTGGGAAGTCAGACAAAGAGAACTTATAGGCAGAATAAAAATTACCCTTATAAAATAATTTTTGAAAGCTCTCTAAAACATAAAAATGAGCCATTGAGGTCCAATTTTCTTCAATTTGTATGATCAAAATAATTTGTCTTACAAATTTTACAGGTGAGTGAAAGGGTTTCCCAGCTTAACCATAAAACAGCCTCAATAAAGCCCATATGATGCCTAGCTTTGATCAGGAGATAATTCTTGTGTGTGCTTGAGAATTATGCCAAGCTAAATAAATGAAGTAGCTTGCTGAATGAGATTGCCAATGATGTGTCAGGCAAACATTAAGGAACTTTCATTTTAGGTGATATTATCTGGCAATAATTAGATACAGCCAGTGCCCATGATTCCCTGCTCTTAAACACTGATCTAGGAATGGTCCAGATGTTGATTTGCAGGTAGGCATAGTGGTGCAGCCAATAACCTCTTGACATTCCTTCTGGTGCTAAGATGCTCTGCTTCTCTCAACAAGCCTGAGTATTAATGAAGAACAACATCAAAAGCCACAAATTAGAAGCAAATTTCTTAATACTTAAGATAATCGTTCAGCGTTTGGCTGTAGCATTTTAAAGCTTTCAAAATGTGATGACCTGGGTAAAGATTTCAATAAAAACAACAGTTCAATATCATTTTGAACTCAGGTGTTTATAAATATAACACATTATGATGCCCTGGTTCCATTTTTTTAAAACCCATTTTTTAAAAAAATCATTAAAATCCATTAAGAGTATCTTTGTATTAGAAGAGAACTGGGCACAGTGGCTCACGCCCGTAATCCCAGCACTTTGGGAGGCTGAGGCAGGTGGATCACTTGAGATCAGGAGTTCGAGACCAGCCTGGCCAACATGGTGAAACCCCATCTCTACAAAAAAATACAAAAAATTAGCTGGGCGTGGTGACGTGTGGCTGTAATCCTGGCTACTCTGGAGGCTGAGGTGGGAGAATCACTTGAACCCGGGATGCGGAGGTTGCAGTGGGCCGAGATCGCACCACTACACTCCAGCCTGGGTGACAGAGCCAGACTCCATCTCAAAAGAAAAAAAAAAAAAAAACATAACTGGCTGGCCACATGTAGGAGAATGAAACTGGATCCTCAGCTCTCTCCTTATACAAACTTGAACTCAAGGCAGATTAAAGACTTAAACCTAAGATGTGAAACTATAAAAATTCTAGAAGTTAACATTGGAAAAACCCTTCTAGACATTGGCTTAGGCAAGGATTTCATGACCAAGAACCAAAAAGCAAATGCAATAAAAACAAGGATAAATAGCTGGGACCTAATTAAACTAAAGAACTTTTGCATGGCAAAGGGAACAGTCAGCAGGGTAAACAGACAACACACAGAGTGGGAGAAAATCTTCACAATCTATACATCTGACAAAATACTAATATCCAGAATCTACAATGAACTCAAAGAAATCAGTAAGAAAAGAACAAACAATCCCAACCAAAAGTGGGCTAAGGACATGAATAGACAATTCTCAAAAGAAGATATACAAATGGCCAACAAATATATGAAAAAATACTCAACATCACTAATGATCAGGGAAATGTAAATCAAAACCACAATACAATGCCACCTTACTCCTGCAAGATTGACCATAATCAAAATATCAAAAAAAAGTAGATGTTTGTGTGGACGTGGTGAACAGGGAACACTTTTACAGTGCTGGTGGGAATGTAAACTAGTACAGCCACTATGGAAAACAGTGTGGAGATTCCTTAAAGAACTAAAAGTAGAACTACTATTTGATCCAACAATCCCACTACTGGGTATCTACCCAGAGGAAAAGAAGTCATTCTTCAAAAAAGATACTTGCACACGCATATTTACCACAATTCACAATTGCAAAATCGTGGAACCAACCAAAATGCCCATCAATCAACAAGTGAATAAAGAAACTTTAGTACACATATACAATGGAATACTACACAGCCATAAAAAGGAATAAATTAACAGCATTTTCAGTGACCTGGATGAGATTAGAGACTAATATTCTAAGTGAAGTAACTCAGGAATGGAAAACCAAACATCGTATGTCCTCACTGATATGTGGGAGGTGCACTATGAGGACACAAAGGCATAAGAATGACACAATGGACTTTTGGGACTTTGGGGGAAGAGTGGGAGGGGGCGAGGGATAAAAGACTACAAATATGGTGCAGTTTATACTGCTCAGGGAATGGGTGCATCAAAATCTCACAAATCACCACTAAAGAACTTACTCATGTAACCAAATACCACCTGTACTCCAATAACTTATGGACAAATTTTAAAAAATTTAAAAATTAAAAATAAATAAATAATTATGAAAGTAGGCAATACACTAAGTTGCATATAAAATATCATAAAAGATAGTGATATGGTTTGGCTGTGTCCCCACCCAAATCTCACCTTGAATTGTAGTTCCCGTAATTCCTACATGTTGTGGAAGGGACCCGGTGGGAGGTCATTGAATCACAGGGGCAGTTACCTCCATGTTGTTCTCATGATAGTGAGTGAGTTCTCACGAGATCTGATGATTTTATAAGGGGCTCTTCCCCATTTTGCTCATTCTTCTCCTTTCTGCCACCATGTGAAGAAGGATGTTTGCTTCACCTTTTGCCACAACTGTAAGTTTCCTCGGGCCTCCTTCACCTTTTGCCATAATTGTAAGTTTCCTGGGGCCTCCCCAGCCAGGCTGAACTGTGAGTCGATTAAACCTTTTTCCTCTATAAACAAAAACAAAAACAAAAACAGACAAAAAAGAGATGGATTTTTTAAAAACAATAGTTCTCAACTGGGGCACGATTTTACTTTACCATCCAGGGGACATTTACCAATCCCACATCTGGAAACTTTTTTTTTGTAGAGATAGGGGTCTTGGCCACGTTACACAGGGTGGTCTTAAACTCCTGGCCCCAGCCTCCCAAATCGCTGGGATTACAGGCATGAGCTACTGCACTCAGCCAAAGCGACATTTTTTATTGCTGCCACTAGAGAAGGGAGTGCTGCTGGCATCTAGTGAGTGGAGGGCAGAGATGCTGCTAGTATAAAGTTACCATGGTTTAGTTTATTTTAAAGACAGCCTCAAAAGAAGCCCTGAACTAACACAGTATGAAGGCAGAGCTGCTCTCTGATGCAGAGATGGGGGCAAGGTGAAGTCAGATGCCCAAGTCCAGCTGACTGGAGCTCGTAGTGGCCCCTGAGGTGTCTCTGCCAAAAACTGCACTCCACAGAGCTCAGTGAGGAAAACCTGATGTAGTGCACATAAAATGTGGCTTTAAATCCTTTAGATCTACATTATAATCCCCTGCATTGACTGCCTACTAATTTCATCAATTTGGGTAAGTGATTTACTCTCACCAAGCCTTAATTTCCTCCTCTGAAAAGAGGGAACAATCATGCTCACTTCACAGGGTCATTGTGGTGCTAATAAAATGTAAAACTCCAAAACCAGCACCTAAGACACGGTGCTTAGTATTTGTTAATTAATTTATTTATCATTTGTTTATTTTTTTGAGATGAGTCTCACATTGTCGCCTGGGCTGGAGTGCAACGGCACGATCTCGGCTCACTGCAACCTCCGTCTCCGGGGTTCAAGTGATTCTCCTGCCTCAGCCTCCTAAGTAGCTGGGATTACAGGCCCACACCACCACACCCAGCTAATTTTTTGTATTTTTAGTAAAGACAGGGTTTCACTATGTTGGCCAGACTGGTCTCGAACTCCTGACCTCGTGATCCACCAGCCTCGGCCTCCCAAAGGGTGTTAATTTATTTTAAAATAAATTCTTGTCATCCTATGAATGTCAGAGTTGGCCCCAGTAATACTGACTGAAAGATCTTTAGTGTTTGAGGCTTATGACTATATATTGATTCATTAACACATTTAAACTATTATGAAAGACTTCATAGCAACATTATAAAAAGAAAAGGAAGACATTTCAAAATCCAGTATTTGCAGGACTAGTCACTTACCAAAACAACCCATGCATTTAATTAGCAATGATCTATAGCTTGTTTCTACAAAACATAGATGTGATTTATTATTGTACCGTAGGCATGCAGAGTAAGAATGCAAAGTTTATAGCAAGAGTAAGATATTAGACATCTATTGTTTTGCTTGCCTAGACTAGCATACAAGCTTCTGCTGGGAAATCCTTCCTCTATTTTAACTTTGGGGTTTACGTGGGAGCTTCTCTTGGTTTATAAATCCTTCCCCTTGACTACTATTTATGGTCACTGGGAAAAGATACCTATTCCAAACTGGAAAGGCATTGGTGTCACCCTCTAGCCTTTCCCTACAACCATTCATCAGTGATTGGAACAGGTATGAACTCCTGATCCAAAATGTACCAGCAGATCCCTTTCCTGGGATTTTTGAGCTTGGGATCAGAGGGAGAAAAAACAAGTCTTTGGTCTCTCTGGTGGTGAAATTGGAACATATAACCCAGCAGGTGGGTTTCCTGCAATCTGAAAAAATGAAACAGGAAGGAGAGATGTGGGCATGTGTGTATATTGTAGTGGAGGCTGAGGGTAGGGAAGAGAGACTCCTCTGTCCCAGGTACAGGGCTAAGGCCTGGCCATACATTCAGCAGAATCCCCCTCCTACCCTTTCGTTTCCCAACATATAGTTATGTGAGTCAAGAAATTCTTCCTTTGTGCTAACCTAGCTCTGTTTGGATTTCTACCACCTAAAACCATAAAAGTCTTGACTAATTCAAGTGGGTTGCAATAGTTGGAAAAAAATGCTGTGTCTCTGCAGGTGTCTAGCTGGAGGCTAATTATAGTGAGGGCTAAAAGAGTAAGACATTAGTCAGAAGAGCTGTAGTTCAAATCTAGACCACCAGCATTACAAGTTAGTTGTGGAAACTTAAAAAAGTTAATTAACTAAATAATCTATTTAAGTTTTAGGTTCTTCATCTGTGATTCAGTCAGGGTCCAGTTAGGAAACTGAAATCACTCAGGTTATTTTAATGGAGAGAATTTCATATAAAGAACTGTTAATTATGTATAGAAGAACTGAGAGAGTGAAAGGAGGATTCTAAGGTATCATGGAGGGCACAACCGCAAGAAAGAGCCACCACCCATAGGGCTGGGGAATTAAGGAAAGAAGCTGGAACTTTCAACCCTTAGAAGCTTGGAGAGGTAGCTCTGTGGTGTGGGAATCCAGGCCTACAAGAAGGCCCAGTGTATTGCTGGTGTCTCTGAGAAGAATTTCGTAAGCCTGATTCTGAGTTGGAAAAACTGCTAGCTAGATTCAGCTGCTGCTCCAGAAAGGCAACCTCACTGCTAGAGTGAAGAAGCATTGGAGCAAGAATCAGACAGGAACGAGCAAGTCCTTCTCCCTGCTCCAGCTCTACAGTCTCCCCCAGTCCTTGCACTGGCAGAGTCTAATATGGTACCCTCCGACCAGGCAGAAAAGTGGTTTTCAGAATCCCAGGCTCACTTTCCCAAAGCTGATAGCAGAAGGGTGAATTTGAAACTGAAAGACAACAGCTCGATAATTGGCACAATGTTTAAGGATAATGAAACATGCTTCACCAGGATTCGGGGAATGTAATTGACATAAGTCTAAAACCGTTACCTGAAAAGAAGCAATCATGAACATAATGTCCTCTCTTCTGATAAAATAAATAAATAAATAAATAAATAAATATTGGTCTCATAAGGTTGCTGGAGAAAATAGTAAGAGTGTCTAGGTGTTGCTCCTCACTGAGGAAGTAGAGATGAAACAAAATCAACTTCCTGAGCACTAGTATTTTCTTCCTAGTTATTCCCTGCAAATCAGATTTCTCTTCTCTTTCATCATTTGCTTTCTTAGAATGTCTTTATTATCAGCTTTTATCTATCCTTCAAAACCCAATACATATTATTTTCCCTCTGGGAGCATTTTTCTGAATGTTCTAGCCCAAAATGATTCTTCTGTCCTCTTAGCTCTTCGTATATTTACTATGCTTTTCTTTCTTTTTTCCAAATAATGGTGAAATGTAATATGCCTAGGGTTCATAGATGAGCCTGGATCTCTCAGAATTAGAGAAACTTTTCAGATCCCTAATTCAGTTATGTGAAGGAATCAGTAAGAAAAAAATGATGGCTGAGCAGAAGGGCCAGCCATACAGTCTGCATCACAGTGGGATTAGGAAGTAAAGCTGAAGTAGCACACTCTCACGGATACCCAGCCCCCTGTCCACCTCCAAGCTCAGGGATAGGACAGTAATAAACTATCTTCCATTTCTAACTGTTTGTGAGGAACCTAAGAATATCCTGCTTATCTAAATTTGTATTAGTTCTAAAATTGAGCCTGTTTATGTCTGAATGAGGCTATGCTTGGCTATCGTTATGGGCTGCCGGGGATTGACTAAATTTGACATTGCTTAGATTAAACAATGCTTTGTATCCTCATGGGTCTCTACCTAGTTCTTTGATGAGTGAGTGTGCAGAAGAATTATATTCATTCTTTCCTGTGAAGATGTGCCTTCCCTACAGACTGAGACGGGCACTTTTCCAATCTTTTACCAGCTCTGTCCCAGGATTGCTCTTAGAGTTTTCTCTGGATCCAAATCTGAGACATTATCTCATTGTACAGAATTTCCACAATTCACAATGGGCCATCATCAGTGAAGACCATGGTGGAACCCAGAAACTATATGGGTGAGCAAAACGTTCTACAGATGAACACTGCATTCTTCCTGGAATAAACCCTTCTCATTTAAAGATTTCCTGTGACAGGTGATAACAATCTTCTCCAATTACTTGTAAAAGTAAGTTGACAGTACAAAATTTCTTTTGAAGGCACTCTATTAAGTACATTTCAAACAATGTTTACTGTCAAGCCAGGAATTCATGCCAGACAGGTAAAATCACTTTCCTTTATAAACCTATTATTAGCATCAGATAGACAATCGGGTCTGCAGAAAGAGTTTTCATTAACATTCACACATTACCAAGGGTCAAATATTTCATCTTTTGGTCCTTTCATATATAATCCCAATGAAAAATATAGGTATTATTTATTACTCTGTATACGAAGTCCTATGCTAATTGGTTTATACATGTATTTGACACTGAGATAAAATACTTACCTTGGGTGGAATCCATGGCCTTTGCTAATTTTTAGGCCATGTTCTTTATGCAAATGTGCTTACTTTATTAGTTTTGCTAGAAATGCTTACTGAATGTGATGATTTCCTCTTGGTTCCTTGCTTTCTCCTTTCTAGGCAAGCAATAAGTAGTGAAATGAGGAAAGATGGTTTCAAAACATACAAAACCTGTTCCTTGTGTAGATACAGCTTAAAGAATATAAACAGATGGATTTCTCCCACAGGACAGGTCATCATACCATCGGGGGAAAATGAGTTGGCTGCTGCTGAGTTAAGAAGCAATGAAGTCATTGCTATGCACATAATTAAAATGTGATATTTCAAGAGGAGTGAATCCAAGGAGGAGAAAAGAAAAATTACAGATAATACATACTGTGGTTGTGGCTTTGAATTAATATGTGCCTGGGTGCAGAAGAAGCAATGCAAACAAATGTCAGCCATCAAAAATAGGCAAAATGACAATACATTTAACTCGTAACTTTATCCCCCTGCCCCCACCACACATGCTTAAGGGTAATAGTATTCATTTTTGCTAAGCTCATTTGAACTATGTAAGTGTTGTTAGCAGACTGGATTTAGAATATATAGAACAGCTTGATGCACCCATTCCAATGTCTAACAGAAGTCCTGGTCAGTGTTTAACAAGACAAGTCAATTGAAAAGACCTGGGCTGTGTCATGCCCCTGGCAATGATGCAGTGATGCTTTTGTATCTACATCTGAATTACTAATTGGATCAATTCAGGAGAGAAGCTCTTCTTGTGGCTGTTAATCAGCTTACATAGGTATGCTCCTTTCTAGGCAGATTTAGGCCTAGATAAAGATGGGAACACTACAGGATTTTGAACAATAGCCCTTGTCCCTTACTTTTCAGGAAACTGCCTAGTAAGGAAAAAACAGCAGATACACAAGCAACTGTTATCTTGGGTAAAAGAGATTCTTTTTTCTTGGGACCATATCAGTTTTGTGTTTACAGATCTTCTAAGGCTATATCTATATGATGACAGGCTTTCTGGTGAAAGCTGAGAAATTCAGTTGCAAATATGAATGCTACAAAATGTGTGGCTATTTGGCAACAGGAAGATCAAACATCTGGATCTTTGACTCAGTTTTTCCATTTTCACCCAATATTTTCATATCGTGAAAAACACCAATTAAAAAAAGCAGCCAATCTGGTGTTTTGGCTTTCTTACCAGCCAATTTGTATCTCAGAATGGTTGGTCCAATTGATTGTGCTGCTTTAGATGGCCAAAATGAACAGATCAAGATAAAAATAGTTGGTTAGGTGGCTGTTCTGATCTGGTTCAACCAATATGGTGGAATTTTAAACTCTAACTGGTACATGCTTTACAAACACAAGTAATTTCTAACGTCTCAGAATTCAGCAATCTATGATTGGAGGTAGATAACTGTCACGTCTTCCCATTTCTCCAGATAAAGAAATGGACATATATAAGGTGATCTGCTTTGGAAAACACAGCAAGCTGGTGTTTTTTCTCTACTAGAACTTGAGGGTTTCTTCCTCAGTGGGGATTTGAGCTAGCAAAGTGAGACCAAACTACATGAGTATGCCCAGAAACAGAGTGGCTGGCTCAGCTTACTTTTGAGGGTCTATGGAAAAGGAATACTGCAAGACTACAGAGAAAAAAAAAAAAAAAGTAAGAGAAATCTTACTGAAATTTTGTTTTATTGTGTCCTACATTAAGACTTCCAAATATTCTGATTTTGGAGAACAGCCTACATTTGGGCAGGGCGGGGGCTATGAACCAATGTTAGTAAACTAAATGCATTTCATTTCAGAAAATGAAAGGGCGTATGTATTAGGATTGAAAATATTGAGGTTATGATACAATTTTTGTACAATTGCACTTGAGTAGTAGATCTAATATTAAGTGGTAGAAGTTCTATTCAGGGAATAGATAGATTTTTGGTAATATTTGAGTAATCAGGAACTGTTTTTTTAAAAAGTGCAGTTATATATCTAAGTACATCACCTTTGCATAAGATATGCCACTTTTTCCAATAAAGATTACCTAGATCTTTGAATACAAGTATAAACATTTTTGTAGGCCTGTATCTAGAATTCCATATGATGATGATTCTATAGCTGCCTTCAAGGATGGCATTTTTTTCCTCTGGCAAGGAATCTGATGCTATGGAAAGATTAAAAAAGAAAAAAAAATACTAAGTCAAAGAATAAAATTGAAATAATATTTAAGGAAAATTATTTTCTTTCCATGTATTTTTAAATTTTGCAGCTTTCAAAATAACCCAGCATACAGTACCCCTCAGATTGACTGACTCATCCCCATGTCCACACACTTTCTTTAAAAACAGAAAAATCATTTCTGAAAATGATCAAAACATAACATTTTGCTGGAACAGATGCCTTGCCTGCGCTCTGTGCCACATTTTTGTAGTATTTAAAATGAACGTTTCAGTTTTAAACATGGAGTGACTAATCGCCAATGGGGAGGAAAGAAGGTCCTGTGGGAGTCAAAGCCAGGGTCTTCCTCTACCCCATTCGTGAGAAACACTGGAGCTTAGAATTCGTGCACACCAAACACTTCTCCTGGGGCTGTCCTTCTCAAGATCATTTTTCAACGAGAAATGTTTTTGAGTATTTGACTATTGAGTTCAAGGAAGGGAGTAATTTTAAATATCTGAGACTGATATGCACTTTTTAATGATCTATTTGTTATTTAATTTTTGCATCTTTTTTTATATCCCTTGCTTTCTTTTAAGTACCATCTGCATTTTAACTTTTCAGGATACATTCTAAACCCCAATTTAGTACTGTATAGTACAATTTAGTATCCCAGATTTATATCTGTTGTTCCAGCATTAAGTATTAGCTGTGGTCCCTTTCTCTCTTAAAACTGGATCTTTTATAAAAGTAAAAAGTAGAACCGAAGATACTACAGGCTGGGAAAGAGAGGGGGAAGGAGGTCATAGAAAGAGATTTGTTGAAGGATACAAAATTATAGCTAGATAGGAGGAATAAGATCTAGCATGTGATGACACTGTAAGATGAATAGTTAACAATAGTATATTATATCATTTCAAAGAGCTAGAAGGAGGATATTGAATGTTCCCAAAACAAAAAAAAAATGTTTGAGATGATAATCTGATCTATACATTATGTGTATCAGAACACCACTGTGTACCCCGTAAGTATGCACAATTATGATGTGCAATTTTTTTAAATTGGCCTGATTTGGAAGGTAAATTATGTGGAAACCCTAACTGTAACAATCCTCTCTCCAAGAAAAAATACACAGGATTTAATTTTTCTCATGTTACATTTTTTACATCAATGGATTTAATGATGAAAGGGTTAAAATCAGGTGACACTTTAAGTCACATAGACATCTCCAAATTTCTACAAGTCTAAAAGAATGGCTGTGATGTGTACTTTTCAGCAGGGTATCTATCACTGTGCCTTTGCACTCTAATATTCTGCCAATCATCACTATACAGATCGGTAACTCGCCCAGGAGATGACCTCTGTCCCTCACTTCCAGCTCTGTGTCCATGCCTCTGAAACCTGGACGATCATCTGGGGAAAACATTTTCCACAATGAAGATCTTATACGTCACTGCAGCATACTAGGATCATATAAACATCCTAATAATAATAAATAATAATAATAAGTATTAGTCATTGTCAGGTCATATACAGTAGGACCAAAGTGCTGAATTTATTCATAAATGTTTTGCTCATTTCTAGCATTAGCACACCTGCAGGTTTTGGTGTGCCATGGGCTCCAGAGTTTCTTTTGTCCCAGTGAAGTTACTCAAATTCTATAACTTCCGCTCTTCAGCGGGAAATGGGGTATTCATGGAAATAAATTATCAGACCAGTGTACTGCAAATTTGAAATGTTTTTAAATGGTAAGGCAATTGGGCAGAACCTAGAGTTTGCCATTATGATGATATGCCAGTCTACCAGAATTTTGTAATAATAATTAAAGCCAATTTGCTACCAAGGTAACAATGAAATGTAGACAGAGTAGGGGTCAGAAATGGCATTTAATGATCCTCAGTGTTGCAGTTTATCATAAAGCACTCATACCTCATCTTCCTCACATTATTGGTCTAATACTATATCTACAGTGTTTCTCAGGGGCTTAACCACACATTACGTAATGCTGAGTTTTCCAGAGAGGAGTCATGGCTCACACCCTCAGAGCAATATGGTGAATATATAGAAGGGCTATGGCCAGGTGTGGAAACAGACAGGGATTGGGGCTATGCATTCTTACTTCTTTAGGTCATCCTCATGTATCATTTTTTTTTTTGGAAAGTACCATATTAGTGGATTCCTGAATTACACAAGACACTCTTTGTCTCTCCCAAATGAATGGCACCTAGACCAGAAGGAATGGTTTGATTGTAGGATAGAATGGAGGAATGGAGAAATTGACAAAACATTAACCTAAGCAGAAACTGCCTAACTATCTTGTTTCCACTGAAACTCTGACATATAAAATAATCAATACATTTTTATAAAGTAGTTAAAATTTATTTTTTACTCTTCCTCATACTAGAAAAGATTTGAGAAGATTGCACATGTGTCACATGCAAGAAGAAGTCAGAAAAACTGAAAGATGTGACTCTTTGGCATCGAATACCTTAAAATGCTGTTGAGAGTCAGCAATATGAAGTAATTGTCCTATGTTATGGGAGTAAATAATTCTTTGCTAAATTATGTTACATGAGAAAATGTGACACATATCTGAGACCATCTCAGGTATTCCAGAGTATATCATATATTCCAGAATTATAATGATTTCTTATATTTTATGTCATTTTTCTATAGGTCCTCTTTCTTCAGACTGAAATATAGCCTAGAAATCTTGAAGACATCTAGAGAACAATCACGTTGATGAATATGTGCATACTTAATAATGCTATAAGAAAAGATAAAGAATAAGTGGGGTCTTAAGTAATTATACATTGGTCAAAGGAAGAAAGTTGAATATCTCAGGCAATTGGCACAAGACAAGGAGGTCCCAGGAAATTTCAAGACACTAAGAACGCGAGTTTGAAAATGTCATGGATTAGGAGAGTGGAAGAAAATAAGGTTGCATGCATGGGGATTCTTGGAAATCTTTAAAATGGGGCAATGCAGGAAAGACTCATCCCAGGGACCCCCAAGGCTCTGATTAAGGAAAGTGACCCGGTATCGTTGAATTTAGAAAGGTTGGTCCAGTGTTATAGCATAAGGCAGGGAAAAGGCAGAGATGGGGAATCCAGACCAAAAGTTGGTGTAATTATCCAGTTATGAAGTGAGAAAGACCTCAAAAGCTTATTTTTTTCAGTCAGACAGATATATTTTGCTGTTGACTTGTATGGCTTGGCTTAATCAGTCACTTGCCTAATTTCAATAGACATACATTTGGGTAAAGGTAGTTTCTAAAAACCAAATCACCTCAAAGAACAAAGTTTGACCATCATTTACAACATTCTAAAGAGCCTCACATAGTATTTTAAAGCAATGGCAAAACATGAATGGCAAAAATATTTTCAGCATTGACATCATCAAAGAAGAGAACATTTTGGTCTGCCCTGCAAAAACTGTCATATTACAGTATCACAGCATTCCTCAAAGTGCATTGTAGAGCATTGATTCTTTGAGGACATTAGTAGGTATTAGGGCAGGGAAATTATTGTGTGTTCAAATATATTTGAAATGTGAGAGTCAATAAACAAGATCCTTACTGTAAGATTTCTCAGAATATTTATATCCCAATGGGGATGTCCCCATTATCCAAGGACAATATCCCAATGGCCTTTGTGCATACATGTTGGAGCTCTAGCATGTAGCATTTCCAATTAGATTTGACCATGGCACTCTACTTTCATGTCCCATCTCCTAGTACTAGTGTGTCACTGAATGCACAGTAAGAAATGCTTGTATATGCACATAGAAGATTACATTATAGTCTTTTGTGCCATGTAGATATATAGATAAAACATATTTTAAAGATATATGCATGTGTAATTTCATTAGGATGAAATTATTTCATAACTGCAAAGAATTCAAGTTATTCATCCTTTGCTAATTGCCTTTGGCTTTAAGGCTTGTCAGAATTCTTCTGCTCATTAAATTCATAATCTCCTTCTGAGGGAGCGTTGAGGACGACTTCACTGGAGTGGCTCACCCACACACAGCCCCCAAATCAGGCTGTTCATCATCTGAGTGTTTTTCTTCAAGCACACAAAGAAACTATTTTCTTCTGGGTAGGGGCTTCCCCTGACCTCCCACCCACCCTGGTTAGGTAAAGAGTCATCCCCAAAGAGATGTGTCATTCTTGGAACAGAACATCCCTTGGCAAACATTCACTGAGTAATCATTCAACTAGAAGCATAAATCTACCCCGAGGGTCGGAAAAACCCATAGTGAAAGAGAATAATGGGCAAAGGGAATTGCATTCCAGGCTATTAAAATAGACACGGGCACTGAAGTGAATGTGCTGAAATGAAACAAAGGGAATTCTCCAAAATTCAAACATGGAACTCTGGGTGATAAACTCTCGACCTGGTCCTGATTAACTCTTAAGTCACTCAGAAGAGATCATCATTCCCTTTTACTCGGGACAGTATGGTGGTTGATCCACACTGGGCCATTTCCTGTTGACTTCAACACGGGGCTGATGGTAAAAACAACCTTTCTTCTTTTTCCCCTATCCTTTCTTCTCCACGCCCCTTCCATATGTGGCTATCATGTTGACCCTGCAAAAGATATTAGACAAAAAGTGAGTCAGAGCTCAGGATTCTCCGGTGAGTCAGAGCAGCCTACCTGCAGCCAGACAGGCCTGGGGCAGAGAGCAGCATTGGCACCAGCTCTGCTCTGTAGGTTGGAACGGGAGCTGAGAGAGCTGTACTTGCTGCAGAGGCTGGCGGGGAAGTTTCTGCTGGGTGGGCTAGGCACAGGTCCAACAGGGATCAACATGTTCTCGTCACGATTCAGACAGACGCCTGACACCAGGGGGGATCCAAGCTGGAGCTGCCCAACAGGTGGGCAGAGCATTGCTCAGAAATTCAGACTGGCCAGGGGCTTGATTTTCAAAGAGGCAGGATATGGAAGTGGTTGGAACATGGGCTTCTGGTCTCATTTCCATCCCTTGTAACTGTGATTGTGGACAAGTTACTCAACCTTCCTGAACCTTGGTTTCAGATAGTGTTACCGAGGCTCTTTTAAAGGATACAAGGAAATAAAATACCCAACATTTATTCAGCACCTACTATACTGTGCAAAAAGTCGGCTAGGCATGATTACATTTAATCCTCACAACAATCCTCTGGAAGAGGCCTTATTATTATCTCCATCTCTGAGGTGAGGAAGCTGATATTCAGGTCACCATCTAGTAAGTGATAAATCCAGACCTGAGTTCAAGGGCCAAAGTTTTAGCCAAATACTCTCACCAAATCCAACTCTTCTCTGGTAGTAGGATACTCCTACTGCTGGTAAGAGTAGGAATGACATTCTTAGCCCAAGTTCTTGATGGATAGTGCCAACGCTTGGAGTAGGGGAAAGGGCAAGGTGACAGCAAGGCTGTGGTCTTCTTAGTCCAAAGTCAGAGCTGAGAAACTCCTCAGCTTGTTAGAAAGGATGCCAAAATCTCACAGAAGGGACTTGAGAACAGAAAGGCATCCACAGAACTCTGGCTTCAAAGTGAGGCACCATGCAAGTGGGCAAAAAACAATGAAGAAGTGCAGGGATCAGCGCAAGGACATGACCCTGGATTAGCATCCAGCACAATCCAGAAAATCAGGAAAGAGTATGGCAGTCTGCTACATGGAAGGTGACTGTGTCCCAAAGACCACTGCAGGACTGCAAGAGGTTTAGGATAGGATGCGTGGGACAAAGACAGTCAGTGTTAGCTCAAGAAATGGAGCTATGGCTGGGCATGGTGGTTCACGCCCAGCACTTTGGGAGGCCAAGGCAGGCAGATCACTTGAGGTCAGGAGTTCATGACCAGCCTAACCAACAGGGTGAAACCCTATCTCTACTAAAAATACAAAAATTAGCTGGGTGTGGTGGCGTGTGCCTGTAATCCCAGCTACTCAGGAGGCTGAGGCAGAAGAATTGCTTGAACCTGGGACACAGATGTTGCAGTGAACCAAGATTGTACCACTGCACTCCAGCCTGGGTGACAGAGGAAGACTCTGTCTCAAAAAAAAAAAAAATGGAGCTACAAATTAAAACACAGACAGAAAGCCAAATGCTGCGTGTTCTCACTTATTAATGGGAGTTAAACATTGGGTACACATGGACATAAAGAGGGCAACAATAGACACTGGAGAAGGGGCGGTGGGAGGGAGGGTTGAAAAACTAACTATTGGATACTATGCTCACTACCTTGGTGACAGAGTCAATCATACCCCAAACCTCAGTATCATGCAATATACCAATGTAACAAACCTACACATGTACCCCCTGAATCTAAAATAAAAGCTGAAATTTTTTTTAAAGTGTTACACACAGTTGCTGGGAATGTAAATTAGTTCAGCCACTGTGGAAAGCAGTTTGGAGATTTCTCAAAGAACTTAAGACAGAGCTATCATTTGACCCAGCAATCCCATTACTAGGTATACATCCAAAAGAAAATAGATCATTCTATCAAAAAGACGCATGCACTTGTACATGTATTGCCATACTATTTGCAGTAGCAAAGACATGGAATCAACCTAAATGCCCATCCATGGACACTTGGATAAAGAAAATGTGGTACATACACACTATGGAATACTGCACAACCATAAAAAAGAATGAAATCATGTCCTTTGTGACAACACAGATGGAGCTGGAGGCCATAATCCTAAGTGAATTAACAGAGGAACAGGAAACCAAATACTGCATGTTCTCACTTATAAGTGAGAGCTGAACATTGAGCATATATGGACACAAACTTGGGAACAATAGACACTGGGGACTGCTAGAGGTGGAAGCGAGGCATCAGAAGTAAACTACCTACTGGGTACTACGCTCACTATCTGGGTGCAATATACGCATCTAACATACCTACACATGTTCCCACTATATCTGCAATAAAAGATGATTTTTTAAAAAAAATAGTATATTGTTTCTAGCTAAGTTTTGAGATAGTTTTTACACATCAACAGATAACCTTGACCCTGATGCCCACTTCCAATTTGAGCCCTCAATTCCCTTTATTTAATAAATCCTTTAAAATCTTAAAAAAAAAAAAGAAGTAGGGCTAGAATAAATTTGCACTTAGGGATATTAGGGGACTTCTGTGGATTGCTTCCAGAAGGTTAAAGATTAAAAGTCATTCCAGGTTATTTCTTCAGTAATGTAGTATTTTCTAGTGTAGTTTAGTGTGGAGTGGTGTGGTGTAGTGTAGTATACTGTAGCATAGCATAGCACAGTGCAAAGTAGTGTGGTACAGAGTAGTACAGTGGTGTGCTGAGGTGTCGTGTAGTTTGTTGCTTTGTCATATATAGAGAGCAATATGGTATAATGCAGTGTGAGACACAGGGTTGTACAGTGTAGTATAGTGTAGTTTAGTTTGCTGCAGTATCATTATATTAGTAGTGTAATACAGTAAAGAAGGAGCCATGGAGCTGAAGTCAGGAAACCTGAATTCTCATCCTTTCTGTGCCATTAGTAAGCTGCATGGCCTTGGATAAATCAAGTAGTCCTTTTTTGGCTGCTTTTTTCTGTAATATATAAAATGAGGAGGTTGGAAAAGATGATCTAGAAGGTCAATCCTGAGACATCCCACAGCTTGGTCTTACTCATGAGATCTCTAACAATTTATACTTTCTGCCAAGATTTAGAGATTCCTTATACAGACTTTCCCCAAGTTTAGAATGCCAGATAATGTTCCTGGAAGAAAGTAGAAAAGGGAAAAGGCCATAAATAGATTTTAGTACCAATTCAACATTATGAACTAAGTTAAATGAAAGGTTAACGTATTGCAATCCAATCCTGGCCATAATTCTTTGTTAAATGAAGGGTATTCTTAGCCAAAATACAGGGAGGTCTGGGTAGCTGCACTCCAGCTGCAGAAAGCTTCCTATGTTATATTCTTTGTGCTGGCACAACTGCAGTACCTGGAGAGTAAGCGATCCATTTGGTCAAAATTGCTGGACCAGATAATCATACCAACCCAGGCCTCCATGATTACTGGTATCAAGAGTCAATGTTAAATCATTTCTTTTTTGGAAGAAGTGTGAATTGCTGCTATATTTTCAAGTCCATAATAATGTATAAGGCATAAGGGTAAATTCTGCTAAGAGACTTGTTAAAAATATAGAATATAGAATATAGAAGCTTCTTGCCCTATTCCTCTTCACTTTCTACAGTCCTCCTCAAGGCAACTACTTTTGACTCAGCAATTACTTCAGGTATTTATACATCTTCATATTTCTTAAATAATATGATACTTCTGTCTTTTGATTCATCAATTTTAGACATTATCTGTTGATTTCCCATATTGATAGATTAGGATTTAGCTCTCTAATACCACCATTCCCTCTGTGTGTTCTCTCATATACTCACAATAATACTGTATTTTGAGGTCGAGCCAATAGTCAGTGTTAGTATTATTATACATATGAAAATATTCTTCACAACTGAGCATTATGGTGTACTATGATTCTGTTTCCTTTTTTACTTTTGCTTTTCCTGAAGTTAATACACGCCTTGTCTTTTTATTGACTTAGTTTTCTTTATATGTATTGCTAATTATTTCAACATCTTCCCAAAGCTTGTCAGGTTAATTTTTCATGAGATAAATGACATCAGTAATCCTTCAACAACTTATTAGTTTAATTTTGTTTTGTTCTGAGACATCTCTAGGCTTGTTTCATAGCTGTCATCCTGGGACTTCCCTTTGTCCATCATCCTTGGAATTCCCTTGCTTTTCTCCTTGTTTGGGTTCTCTAGCTCCTGTGTGTCATGACTACCTCTTTAATGACATACTTCTTTGTTTTGAAGAAGCAATTCCTTTAGCTATTCTGCCAGATTAAAAATATAGTATTAGAGCAGAAATCATGGAGATAACAGCCCTCAACATGCCTGCCTTTTGAGTCATGATGTTCTAATATGGACTGGCTTTTTTGCAGCCCCTGGGGCACTATTGTCATTCTGGAATCTCCCTTCCTCATTGTTGCCTCTAGTTTAACTTGACTCTCTTGCTTTCTGAATTCTGTCTCTTCCTCTTTCTAGATTACTACCTCCTCTGCTAGAAAACATCTGTTAATGCCTTTTTGAAATGGAGTAGAAGGAAGGCAAAGTATTTGAGACATTGCATGTTTGAAAATGTCTTCATTTTTACCCTTACAATTGATTAATAGCTTGGCTAGGTATAGAATTATAGCAGGGAATTCTTTTTTCCTTCAAAGTTTTAAAGGCATTGTTCTGTCTTTTTTTTTTTTTTTTTTTTTTTTTTTTTGCTTCTAGTATAATCCAAAAAGTCAGATTCCATTCTGATTCTTGATCCTCTGTATAGACTTTCTTTTTTCTCTCTAGAGGATTTTTTGTTTCATTGTCTCCAGCACTCTGAAACCTTACAATGATGATCATTGGTGTGGATCTATTTTCATCTGGTATTGGACACCCTGTAAGACTTTCAATCTGGAAACTCACCTCATTTAAAAAAAAAATTACTTCTTGGATGATCGTCTTCAATCTATTTGTGTGCTATCTTTTTCCAGAGAGACAAGTTATTCAGATGTTGAGCCTTCTGGGTCTTGTCCTTTACTTTTTTAAACCTGGTTTCCATCTTTTTTCATTTTTCTGGAATAGTTCCTTAACTTTATTTTCTAACCCACTGTTGAGTTTTCAATCTCTGTTATCTATAAGATTTTATTTTATTTTTTATTTATTTGAGACAGAGTCTCACTCTGTCACTCAGGCTGGAGTGCAGTGGTGCAATCTTGGCTCACTGTAACCTCCGCCTTCTGGATTCAAGCAATTCTCCTGCCTCAGCCTCCCGAGTAGCTGGGATTACAGGTGTGCGCCATGACAACTGGCTAATTTTTGTATTTTTAGTAAAGACGGGGTTTCACCATGTTGGCCAGGCTGGTCTCAAACTCCTGACCTCATGTGATCCACCCGCCTTGGCCTCTCTAAGTGCTGGGATTACAAGCATGAGTCACCGCACCCAGCCTGCTATCTGTAAGATTTTAATTTCTAAGGGCTTATGTGTTTTCTGTATATTCATATACATAGCCATGTGCTGCATAACAACATTTCAGTCAACAGGGGTCCATAAGATTATAATGGAGCTGAAAAATTGCTATCTCCTTGTGATGTTGTAGCTATCATAAAGTCATAACACAATGCATCACTCGTGTTTGGGGTGGTGCTGGTGCACACAAACCTACTACACTGCTAGTCATAAAAAGTATAGCATTTATAAAAATGTGCAGTACATAATACTTGATAATGATAACAAATGACTGCATTACTGTTTTATGCAGTTACTGTACTGTACTTCTCTTGCTTTCCTTCATCTACCCAATTCCAGGCCCTTTCCTCTGGTTTCTTAATGTGTACTCTATTGGTGACCCAAAGCAATGGCTTCAGGTCTCACCTTTATACCTGGACTCTCAGATTTACCTTTTCTTTTGATTTCTGGGATTTAATTTTCATCTCTTTACTTCCTTTCATTTATCATATCCAAAACTACATTTCTTTCCCTCAAGTAGCCAAGATTCTGTAATTGCCCACTCATATTAATCACTCTACCGACACTTACGTTACCTGGGTGAGAAATATTCGCATCCATTTTCATTCATTCTGCCCCATTTCTAAAGCAACCAATCATGACATCTTGCCATTTTAACTTCATAATGTCCCTCTTCTTTGTCTCTTTATTTTAATAACTTCTGACCCATTGATCATTGTTGCTTTTAAGATAGTCCCTGGCACTACTAGGAGGTCAACCATTTTGTTCTTTTCAGTAGCCAGATGCCAGCAAGTTACTGTCTCTTCAAATTAAGCTAGGTCATCCTGCTCCCCTATCCTTTCACAGTTTCTGAAGTTGGCTTCTATACTCAGTTCTAATTCTGACATCACACTAGGCAGTGCTGGGCATCATTCATCCTAATACTCTATAAGTGACCTTTGTTTTGTCTTTGTGTTTTGCCGATGTCTCCTGTAATGTATTGCCAAGCAAAATGTAGTTCTGTAAATGCAGTCTGTGCCCTCCTTGCTGCCTTGATGCATGCCAGATCTCGCTCTCCTGAATATGTCAGGAGCTTGAAAGCGGCATCAAGAGACTTCCAGAATTTCCATGCAGCTTACCCATATATGGAAATCCAGGAGATTCCTTTCTTATCATCTCTCCATTGAATCATAGAGCAGGAGAAATATTGATGACATAAAAAGCCTAACAGAGAAATATAGTCCTATCTTAAAAGAGTTCCAGAGGTATGTGGAGATCCTTCTCAGTAAGAAATTGCCAACAAAGGGAGCTCCACAAGTCAAATAATAATCCTCAAGCCAAAAGGGTGTTGTTATGTTTAGCCTCTTTTTCCAGTACCCGAAGCAGAAAATGGCCTCTCAGTAGGGTCAGATGGGTCTCTCCCCCAGTGAAATAACCTCAACTATGAAACTCTACAGCACATCAGGTGGGAAGGGAGTCACAGAACTTCCTAAGATTTATTACCTACAAACTTGGTACCCATGATGAGCTCCACTCATCCTCCCCAGATTGAGAAACTGTATAACACTCGTACAGAGATTATCCCCATTAGACTATGAGTTTCATTTCCTAGTATACATACAGCAAAATCCTGCATGCATAGCAAATAGAGAAGTGGCTTTTGATATAACCTTTTCAAAAAAATCTTATTTGAAATCTAAATATAGAAAATGGATAAGATTAGAAATATTTTGCTTGGAGCTGGCTAGGGGCCTCTATGAAAGTTCCATGTAACCTATGGAGAACACTAGTGCTCTGGGAAATATAGTTTGAAATAAATCATAATAAATATCATGTATGTCCACATTTCAGAGAGTATGTTACAAATGCTACTGTTCTCTAAAATTAACTTTGTCCCCTTTCTCCAGATATATTAGCGACAAACTTACGATGATTTGGGCTTAATGTCCTTAAGCTGGTTGGATTGGTGATGGATGGCATCATTCAAACCTCCCAAGTCTAAGCTGATGGGGCTCCATTGACATCAACACAAATATCAAATCTCAGGGTCTGTGCGATGAGCAAGAAAATCTTGATTCCAGTTTTCTTTCAAATTAGTCCCATGTGCTTACAATTGAATGAATTATTTTTAAAATAAGAATGTTACCAAAATGCCAGAGATTGGGTCCAGGTCTTCTTGCTCACCAAGCAGAAAGCTAATCACTGGGACAAAGAGTATTACCAGGGCAGAAGACTTTATATTTGGGTAACGTCAATTGGGAGAACAGGAGATAAGTCTCAAATCCGTCTCTCCAGCAAACTAACATTAGGGGTTTATGTAACGTGGAAAGTGGGGAAAACAGGAATTAGGGAGGGGCAAGAAAGCAATCAAGATGAATGAAGGTTTGACATCTCATCCTCTGGATGTGGGGATCTAGTGGGTTTCAGTTCTAAACAAGGAACTCAGATGGGACAAATGTAAGTTTCAAGTTTTAAGACAAGGAAGGCCCATTTCTACGGTTATTCAAAAACCTAAGAACAGATCATCTCATTGTTTGTGGAGATTGAGGTTTGCTACATTCCCCAATGATAAAATAGAAAACACCTTGTTTCATCACAGAATACTTTTTTACCAAAGAAGTGTTCAGGCTTTCAATGCACTTATAATTTATGTAAGGCAATAAGACACTAGTGTACTTGTTTTCCAGTTTTAGACTCATAGAAATGTACTTGTAACTTGCTTTTTAAGTAAGGAAGAATATTCTGCATCTTATTCCAGAAGTTGTGTTTTGTCCCCTTCTGCAATCCTACCATGCCATGCCTATATATGAAATCTCTTTGAAAACTATAGAAGCATAGGAGTTTTATCTTTAGAAAGTTGCCTACAGCTTCTAAAAGCACAGTAGTGTAGCTTATCAATTCAATTAAATTACCCCTGTTGTATCTGTGAATTCTGGACATGACTCAACAAGTTATTCTATAGACTTGAATAACTGACTAAATGAAATGTAATTTCAAAGCCCTTTTTAATCCAGTTGCCACAAAGATTTATCTTTCAAATCTTAAAGCCAATAATCCCATGAAGACAATTAGTAGTTTCTTTAAATTAAATTCTACTTTAATGTTAACAGGTCAGCAGCCTTTTCTTACTAATGTAGCTCATTCTAGAATAAAATATAAACATCCTTTGTAGAAAAATACGCTAAAACTAAAACTTCGACTTAAGTGCCAAAACACGATTTTAAATTTCAAAATGAAGGGCTGCATCGAAACGCAGAATTCACAGAGAAAATGGTGAAGAACCAACCCCACAAAGCCTTCTTCAAATCAAGGCCATAAATGGAAGATCAGAGTATGCAGGGAAGGAGTTGTGAGGTTTCAAGAGAATTTCTATTCTCTGCTATGTGGGTGAGTCACTTTCAACTTAAGGGGATCTGTTGGGGGGTGCGTCTGGGAGTGGGAGTGGGCTGTTGCTAGCTACTCTGTCTCAAGCATAGAGCAGATGGAGAGCTTGAAGCATGTTCCTGGAAATGTGGGCCCATCTTGAATTGGAGGCTTATTCTTGCCCGAGAAGATTTAAAGTGGTCTCTGGCAGGGCACAGAGAATAGATGATTGCATTTGGGAAGGAATTAATCTCTAATTGATGGCAGGGCAAGGAGTATATGAGTTTTTCCCATGGATCACACAAAAAAAGAAGGTCTAGAGCTATTTAGGTCTAACTCGAGAGGATGCTTGCAAGGAAGGGGATTCTCAGAAGCAAATGGGCACGGCAAGGATCATCTGAGAGCCAGCATCGGGGTGTGTAGGAGCCAGTGTGCTGCAGTACCAGTCACTGGCCAAATAAAAACGTGAGGAGCAGAGAGAAAGAGCTAAACACACCCCTTCACAGATGGTGAGTGGCTGCTCAATATAGGCCCTAACATGAGGAAGGGCTGAGGGAGTGTAACCCTAGAATAAAGATTGAAGTGATGTTATCTTAATCTGAATGTGCTGGTTTCACAATGGACTGGTTTGTAATTTCAAGTGATTTTAGGGCTGTTTGTGGCCTAAGTTTGATTGAAAAAGTCCTGGTGGTGGGAAAACAATCCCTTACCCCTGCACATACTTTAAAGGAATAAGGAGAGACAAAGCAAGCTTGCATTTTCGTTACATTTTGGCTGCGTTTTAGTCGTGGCTTTTCACATTCTGAATTATATTTAGATTGTTGAATTGAATTCAGTGAGTACACAATCCTTGCTACGAGGACAATTAGTACAATTAAATAAAAAGAGTGTGTGGTTTGGGATCAGAAAACCTGGATTTGTATGCCATGTCTTTGCTTAACTCATAATATGACCCTGAGGAACTTAACCTCTCTGAGCCCTGGTATCTTCGTCTATTGATTGAGAAACACAACTTGAGATTCTTTTGAGTATTAAATGAGATAATGAACAGAACAGCAATTCTGGTAACTGGCACTTGGAAAGTATAATAAATGGTTACTCTGTAGGACACAGTCATATAGATGCATTTTTTTAAGTGAGCTTAAAAAAAGGAATGCTGGTGTGTGTATTAGAAGATAATTTCTTTATAATTATGAACAAGTTCTCTCTTGTCTTTGGAGGAATCACTTTTAAAATGCATTAATCAGGCAGCCTGTGGACTCCTTTCCACAGTCATATAAGGACATCCATACACACAATAACAGTAATCATCAGTCATGCTAATGCTGGTTAGCCACAATGACACACACCTCTGAAGTGCATATTCAAAAAGGAACGTTAGAAAATATGTTTTTAAACACATGTCTCATAATAATGACTACATCTTGAGTAGCGACTAAAATAGACTGACCTTGTGCTTTTTTAGTGTCCAAAAAATGTACATTCAGCCCAGCAAAAACCTCAAATGGCTTCTTCCAGGCGGTTGAAAAACTTCGCCGGTGAAAAGCCACTCATATTTTGGCGGAGGATGAACCTACAAACTCTGCTGATTTTTTCCGACACGTAAGATTCTAAACTGTTACCGCGTGGACATTAACACGACTAAGGCAGACTCTCCAGTCTTGAAGGAACTTAGCCACGGAATTGAGCAACAATAGCATGGATGAACACAGGAACAAAGAAAACGTTTTACCTGCCTAACTCCCAGAGGGGTGGGGTGATGGGGAGGAAGGTAAAAAGTGCCACAGAAGTTCTAAAAGGATCAGGCCATCATTATCCAAACCAACCACCCCTGCCCTCCACTCAGGCTTTATAATTATATGGTCCTTTGCCCCCCTCCTTGCCTAGAAATTTCCAGAAGACCACAGGAATGATCCACTGTGGATGATGTCATCTGTCTTGCTCACTCCACTTACAGGCCACCCTGATCCAACCCCATCAGGAGGATGCTGTACTTTCCATGACCTGACCAAATACTTCACAGATCCCCTTCATCATCCCTCGCTTTCCCCACACACTTTTTATCATAGTGTGACAAGAAACGCTAACCACAATTTATATGTAGCCTCATTAATCCGTTATAGGGGCGTGCAGTCATTTCTTTCCACTTACATTCATTCAGACTCTTTCTGGTTCCCACTCTTTATACTGTTCACTCTCGATCTGTGCCAGAGACTTTGGAATTTATTTTTCCCAGTCCCACAGAACTCTCTACCTCTTCATGCTGCTAGGCTTTATATAGTTCCTTTTGCTGGAACTTTGACCCACTCTTCATTATTTGACATTTCTTCACATGGAATTTCATCAGCCAGTTATCAGGATATGTTTCCATTTCTCTTTTCACATCATGCTGAATTTTATCACTGATCTTCTCCTCTGTAGGGATCTAATTCTTTACTTTCACCACCTTACTACAAATAACCTTTATTGGGCAAAAATATTCAGAAAAAAAAAACATTTTAAAATGCCTTTATTCCTCCTAGCAATCACCTTTCTCTCTATATTTAGAACAAGTCGACAGAAAATTAACCTTCTCCAAAGGCAACAGCATGCCCTATATATTCATTTGCAAATGCAAAGATCCCTCCCTAAATGTACCTACTAACTCCAGGCATCATTCTTCCAAAGAACAAAATTCAAAAGAGTGTCTATGTAGGATGCCATTTTTAGAAGGTTCATCAAAATCCGTATGTCTCCTTCCCTTGCATATTTTATTATGACCATTTTTTCAGTAATTTATTCATGCTTCACAGGTGGCCCTAATTTGCATCAAAGTAACATCTCTTTTTTTGATTCAGTAAAACTCTGACACTTTCTGTCTTCGTCCTTCTCTAACCTCTTAGCAGCGTTGCGCACAGTGGAACACTGGTCCTGGCTTCTTTAGCATCACACTTACCTGGTTGCCCTCCCACCTCCCCACCACTTTGTTCATCTCTTGTGGGTTCCTTCCTCTCTACCTGATTTGAATGATGGAGTCCTTAGGGCTTGGGCCTGGCCCCTGTTATCTATCCATATTTTCTCCCTTGATGGTTTCATCTTATCTCATAACTTTAAGTACCATCTATATGCTGATGTCTCTCACATTGATATCTGGATTTGTATGTTTAATTATTTGTCTTCTTTACTTGTATGACTAATGAGTATTTTAAACTTCATATGTATAAATAGACCTCTTTATGTCCCTCTGTCTTCTCCCCAGCCTGCTTCAGGCTGAATTTTTAATCTTTTATTAAATGTACTATCAAACACCCAGTAGGTCTAGCCAAAATTTGAGGAGTCTTCACTGATTCTTCTGTTTTCTCTGCTCCTACATTCAATACATCAGGACATCACATAAGTTCTACCTTCAAAACATATCACAAAAATATCCAAATTTTCTCTACTTCCATTGCCACCCGAGCACAAATCCCTATAATTCTCACCTGGATTGCTGCAATAGCCTCTTAATTCACCCTTTGACTTCTCTTCTTACCTTCAAAGATTCATTCTCCACAAAGCAACTGAGCAACCTTTTTTTTTAACTGAAATCAGATCACATCATCACTTTGTTGTGATACTTCCATAGTTGTTCATTATCCTCAGAATGAAATCTAAATTCTCTATCATGACCCATAAGGGCCAACATGGATTTGGCTTTCTGCTCTCATTTTCTACCACTGTCCCCCACAGTCATTTCAAGCTATTGACCTTTTTTCCATTCTTGAAACACAACAAGCTTTTAAATACTTCAGGGCCTTTAGACTTCTGATCCCGCCTTATCTGAAAAACTCTTTCCATAGTTCTACCTCTGAATGGGTTATTTTCATATTTCAGGTCTTAACAACAAAGATATTACCTCCTCGGAGAATGTCCTATGATTGCCCTCTTAGCACTTAGTAAATTTGTAATTCATTTATTTATTTTAGTGTCTATCTCACAAACTAGAATCTAAACACCCCAGCTGTCTAGTTTACCCCTGTTTCCACAGCATTAGACATTCTACCTGGCACATAGACAGGTACCCAATAAATATTTGTTGCAAGAATATATAAATACCTAAATGAATGAATGAATCAATACATGTATCTCTATTTCACTTTTAGTTTTAGAATATATTAAATAACACAAAGTTTTAGAAGATCTATATATTAGTCTTGTAAATTCTTACACTGATAAATTAAAATCATTATCATATCATTTTCCTTACATAAACTATTCTTTGAGGTCATAAAAATAATTTTATTTTAAAAGTAAAGTGACTCAATCTGTCCAAATAGAGTAACATTGTTTCCAGCCTGAAACATAATAAAAAAAAACAAGCAAGCTGTATAGACAATTATTTTTATATATTAGATATATAACGTCACAGGACAATGGCCCCTGAGAGAGAGGATACAAATGACATATATGATTGCCATAGCTTGCTACTTGTGGAGGGTTTCCAGGCCATAGCTCAAGAAGAGGGGACCCAGGAGGTAACTAGATATATTTTTATATCTGTATATAATATTACATATAAGTATATAAAAATATCTGTAAGATATAAAACTATGGGTAAATAATAATAGTGATGATTAAATCAATATACACAACTAAACGAGTTTAAGTAAAAGCATAGCAAAACATGCTACAAAGCATATTCCATGACCCTAAAGAAGACCAGAGTCTTCTTTGCACACATTCATACTTTTTGCATTTGTGTCTACGTTTTTGGTGTTATCCTTCACTAGTTAGAAGTTGTTTGTTTAACAACGTTAAATACCTGGTTTTATATGCACAACTGATAGACATTTCTGCTAATTTTATAGAATTATAGTGCCTTAGTCAGGATCCTTGTAGGAAACAAGAGTTAACTGTGGGGATCTTAATGAAGAGAATTTTTAGATGTGAGGAGGGTATGGGATGTTGAGGTCCCTATGATCATCATCAAAGGGAAGCCAGTAGCATTCCTAAGATGATGGAGCAAATGGAAGAAATACTGGTGCCTAAGCCAGAGCTGGAGCTCTGGACTTGGAGCCACTCATTCGAAGCCGCAGACCCCTGTAGAATTGAAGCATCAAAGCAGAGATAAAGCTGGGAAGGGCTAGGCCACACTGATTCTCCTTTCATCTTCTGTTTCCCAGCTGGAATCTTCCATTGGCCAAACCCAACAGGAGGCCAAAGGAATGATGAAGAGCACAATGGGATCCCCAGGAATAAGGAAGGGCAGAGAAGGCAGAAAATTAATCTTGAAAGGAGCAGAGGGAACAAATGGAGAATAATCAGCATTACTAGTCTGGAAGCCTAATTTATAAACTAATTAGTTTAATTTCTAGATATTATAATTATTGCAATCAAATTCATTTTTGCCATTGGAGTTTAAAGCCTATGTATGCACTTTCTGAGATTTAATTTTTAAGGTTATATTTTTTCTTTTTTAAAAACATTGACAGATAACATTTTTTTTTATCATATACAATATGATGTTTTGAAGTACATATACATTGTGGAATGGTTAAATCTAGCTAATTAACAAATGAATTACCTCACATAGATATCATTTGTAGTGAGAGCACTTAACATTCACTCTCTACATTTTTCAAGAATATATCATCCTTAAGTATCATCACCTTGTTGTACAGAGATCCTTGTTGATCTCTGGAAATGTATTTCCCCTATCCAACCATAATTATGTACGCTTTGACTAGCATATCTTCATTCCCTCCTCCCTCCTCAGGTGACGTGAGTTTTAGTTTCAAAAGTTATGTGTGAGGCTTCCGGTTTCTAGTCCAGCATGTGAAGAGCTTAGAAGTTGACATTTTATTCTAACAGCAAGTAAAAGCTGAACAAACTGAACAATCAACAGTTCTTAGGTACATCAGAGAAGTGAGATCACAGTGCAAAAATGCTGCCCCCCAATAGACAGACAGAAGGATACTAAGAATCACAACTTACCGGGGAATAAACCTATGAGCAGAAACTTCCACAAGAACCAGTGCCAGGCAGAAAAACCTGAACTATAGATAATTGATGACTTGCTGGAGGCTCAGTGGAGAAAAATCTGAGCAATAAAAACACCAGGGGGACAAGTCATGGGAGACCCCCACACTTCTGTGAGTTTTACCTCCAGGAGCTCTGCCAGGTTTGCACAGTGAAGAGCAGAGAAAAATCCCTTTGGCCATTAGGCATGGGGAGGGGATAAGTAATCATTTTAAAATGTGCCAGAGCATTTTGTTCTTCTTGGCAAGGCCTGCCATCGAGAGAAACTACATTATCAGAGTCTAACCTATTGGGGATTTATAGAACCCAACTGACCTGGGGGAGGGAAATACCTTAGTCCTGCTCCCTCTAACCTTCCACATTGGGAAATGGAAATATCCAACTCCAGCCCACTCTAGCTTTCCTGTCCCAACTGCGGGGTGGGGAGGGAAAACTCAGAATGACTTGTGAAATTCTTAGTCTGGGGCACAAGCTCACTAAAAGACTGTGACATAATCATAGAACTATAGAGTGCTTCTCCTTCCCCAACAACTTACCACCACATTGTAAAAGGCCTGTTTATCACAGCTTCTTTTACACAGTTTCTTTTAGCACATTATGCCTGGTTATCAAGAAAAAATTACAACACACACTGAAAGAAAGAAACACAATTCGAAGAGACTGAGCAAACATCAGAAACAGACTGATATGGCAGGAATGTTGGAATAATCAGTGAGGAAATCTTAAAAACTATGATTAAGATGCTAAGGGATATAATGAAGAAAGTAGACAATATGCAAAAATAGGCAGATAATGCAATCAGAGTAATGGAAATTCTAAGAAAGAATAAAAAAGAAATACTAGAGATCAAAAACACTAATAGAAATGAAGACTGCCTTTGATGAGCTCATTAGTAGATTGGACATAGCTAAGGAAAAATATCCCTGAGCTTGAGGCTATGTCAATAGAAACTTCCAAATGAAAAAATTAAAGAGAAAAAAAGACTTTAAAAATAAAACAGATCATCTAAGATCTGTGAGACAACTACAACTATGGGACAAAAGATGTAACATGAATGTAATGGGAATATTAGTAGGAGAGAAATAAACAAAAAATATATAAAGCAATAATGACTGCAAATTTACCCCAAATTAACATCAGACACAAAATCACATATCTAAGAAGCTGAGAGAGCATCAAGTAGGATAAATGCCTAAAAAAGACATCTACATATAACATAACTAAACCACAATAAATTAAAGATTAAAAAATATATTAAAAGAAAAAACACTTTACATATAGAGGATCAAAGATAAGAATTACATATAACTTCTCCTCAAAAACCATGCAAGCAAAAAGTGAGTGGAAAGAAGTATTTAAAGTGTTGAGAAGAAAAATAAATCCTATAATTTTGTACCCTGCAAAATCATTCTTCAAAAGTGAAGGAGAAATAAAGACTTTCCTGAACAAAAATTGAGGGAATTTGTTGCCAGTAGACTGCTAGGCAAGAAATGTTACAAGAAATTTTTCAGAAAGAAAAATAACATATATGTCAGATAGTCACATCTGCATAAAGAAAGGGAGAGCATTAAAGAAGAGACAAGTGAAAGCCAGAAAAAATATTTTATTTATCTTGGATTGCTCTAACAGATAACAGTTTGCTCAAAACAATAACGGCAACAAAGTATTCAACTGTGTATGCTTATGTATATACATATGCTTATGTATAATTATGTATAAGTGAAATGAAGGACAGCAATGTGTCAAGAGATAGAAGGAAAGAATTAGGAATATTTTATTATTGTAAGGTACTTGCACTACCTATGAAACTGTTTCGAGTTATTTGAAAGTGGATTCGGGTTTGTTGTAAATGTGTATTGCAAATTCTAGGGAAATAGGTTTAAAAGAGGGAAAAAAGAAGTATAATCAATATGCTAAGAAAGGAGAGAAAATGTAATCATAGAAATCATATAAAATGTAAATCATATAAAATGCTTAATTAAAACAACAAAAGGAAGAAAAGAGTCAAAGATAACAATAGAAAGAACAAGAGCAACAAATAGAAAACAGTAACATATTAATCCAAACAAACATATCAATAATCACTTTAAATGCCAATGGTCTAAATATACAAATTAAAAGACAGCGATTGTCAGAGTGTGTTAAAAATAAGACCTAAGTACAGGTTATCTACAAGAAACTCACTTTAAATATAAAAATATATACAATTTAAAATTAAAAGAATGGAGAAAGGTGCTAATACTTATCAAAAGAAAGTGTAACTAACTATATTAATTTCAGGCAAAGCAGTCTTCAGAGCAAGAAAAGTTATCATGGATAAAAGAGTGGTATTACATAACAATAAAGCAGTTAGTTCTCTGAGGAGATCTAAATCCTTGATGTGCATGTGTCTAACAGAGCTTTAAAATAGATGAGACAAATTTGATAGAACTTCAAGAAGAAATAGATTAGTCCACTATTATAATCTAAAGTCTCAACACCCCTCTATTATAGAGGGTAGAAGGTAGAAATCCAGAAGGTAGAAAATTACTAAGGACATAGTTGGACTTGACAGCACCATCAAATAATTGAATATTATAATTGACATCTATTCACTACTTCATCCAATGACATTATAATACATATCCTTCTCAAACTTGCATGGAACATTCACCAACATAAAGCATATTCTGGACCATAAAATACTCCATAACAAATTAAGTAAATATAAATTACATAATGGCTATCCTCAGACCACAATAGAATCAAATTAGAAATCAATAATAAAAGAAAGGTAGCTGGAAAATCCCCAAATACTTGGAAATAAAACACTACATTTAAAAACAACACATAAGTCAAAGAAAACAATCTTAAGAGAAAGTTAAAAACACTCTGAACTAAATAATAATGAAAATACAACTTACCAAATATTGTGAGATGCAGCAAAAACAGTACTTAGAGACAAATTTACCAGTGAATGCATACATTAGAAAAGAAGAAAGAGCTAAAGTCAATAATCTAGTTTCTAAGTTAGAAAACTAAAAAAAGAAAAGCAAATTAAATCAAAACTGAGCAAAATAAAAAGTATAATAAAACTCAGAGCATAAATCAATAAAATTGAAAACAGAAAATCAATAGAGAAAATCAAGAAAACCAAAAGCTTGTTTTTTGAAACAACCAATACAATTGATAAGCCTCTAGCCAGGTTTACTAACAAAAAAAAAGAAAGAAAACAAAATTACTAATACCAGAAATGAAAGAGGAGACACCACTATAGAGCCTATGAACATTAAAAAGATAAGAAAAGAATATTATGAACATATCTAAGCTCACAAATTAGATAACCTAGATGACATATGTGTTATCTTGCACTGCTATAAAGAAATATTTGAGACTGAGTAATTTATAAGAAAAGAGGTTTAATTGGCTTACAGTTCTGCAGGCTGTACAGGAAGCATAGCAGCATCTGCTTCTAGGGAGGCCTTAGGAAGTTTCCAGTCGTGGCGGAAGTTAAGGAAGGAGCAGGTGCATCATATGGCAAAAGCAAAAGCAAGAGAGAGAGCAAGAATAGGTGGGTAGGGGAGGGGTGCCACACATTTTTAAATGACCAGATGTCATAAGAACTCACTATTGTGAAGTTAACACCAAGCCATGAGGGATCCACTGCCATGATCCAAACACCTCCCACCTGGCCCCACCTCCAACATTGGAGATTACAATTCAGTTTTATATTTGGGCAGGACATCCAAACCATATTAAAATGGACAATTTCTTAAAAGACCAATCTGCCAAACTAAAATAAGAAAAAATAGACAATATAAGTAGATCTATGTCTATTTAAAAAATTGAATTAATAATTAATTACCTTCTAAAATAGAAAACACCAGGCCAAGATGGGTTCACTGGTGAATTCTACCAAACATTTAATGAAGAAATTAGACCAAATCTCTAAACTCTCTTCTAGAAGATAGATACAGAGGGACTGTTTCCTCGTTGCATGAGGCCTATACTGCCCTACAACCAAAGCCAGAAAAAGATATTGCAAGAAAAGAAACCTACAGACCAATATCTCTCATAAACACAGAAGCAAAAATTCTTTGCAAAATATTAGCAAATCAAATGCAACCATACATAAAAAGAATTATACCACAAAACTTAGTGGAATTTATCCTGTGTAAAAATGCCTGGTTCAACATTTGAAAATCAATTAATGTAATTCATCACATCAACAGACTAAAGAAAAACCCCATGATCATATCAATATATACAGAAAAAGCATTTGACAAAATCTAACACCCATTCATTAGAGAAACTCCTGGCAAAGTAGAAATTAAGGGAATGCCCTACTTGATGGTGAGAAACTAGAAGCTTTCCTTCTAATATCAAGAACAAAGCAAGCATGCACTTTCTTACCACTCCTTTTCAAAATTGTACTGGAAGTCATAGCTAATGCAATAAAACAAGAAAAAGGAATAAAAAAAGAAAAGACAATAAAAGGGTATACAGATTGGGAAGGAAAAAATAAAACTCTTTGTTCTCAGATGACATGTTTGTTTATGTGAAAATCCAAAAGAATGGATAAAAAGCTCTTGGGACTAATCAACAATTATAGTAAGGTTTCAGGATGCAAGGTTAATATAGAAAAGTCAATTAATTTTCTATATACAAGCAAAGAACTACTGGAATTTGAAGTAAAAAACATATCATTTCCATTAGCACTCCCAAAACCGAAGTACTTAGGTATAAATCTAACAAAATATGTACCTGATCTATATAAGGAAAACTAAAAACTCTGGTGAAAGAAACTAAAGAACTAAATTTTAAAAAGATATGGAACATATTCACAGATAGGAAATTTGAATATTGTCAAAATATCAGTTCTTGGCTGGGTGCGGTGGCTCACACCTGTAATCCCAATACTTTGGGAGGCCGAGGCATGTGGATCACTTGAGGTCAGGAGTTCAAGACCAGCTTGGCCAACATGGTGAAACCCCATCTCTACTAAAATACAAAAATTAGCCAGGCGTTGCAACACGTATCTGTAATCCCAGCTACTTGGGAGGCTGAGGAATGAAAATCACTTGAACCTGGGAAGCAGAGGTTACCGTGAGCCAAGATTGTGCCACTGTGCTCCAGTCTGGGCTACAGAGTGAAACTGTCTCAAAAAAAAGAAAAAAAATCAGTTCTTGCCAACTTGATCTATAGATTCAATGCAACCCTAATCAAAATCTCAAGTTATTTTTGTAGATATAGACAAATTTATTCTAAAATTTATTATGGAAAGGCCAAAACCCACAATTGGCAACATGATATTAATGAAAAAAAAGTTATAGGATAGACATTACCTGATTTCAAGACTTACTATAAAGCTATAGTAATTGAAAGAGTGTAGTGTGGGCAAATAATAGAAAAATTGATCAATAGAATGGAATAGAGACTCATAGACAAATATAAATATAGTCAACTAATCTTTGACAGAGGAGCAAAGGCAATGCAATGGGAAAATAGTATTATTTTCATCAAATTGTACTGAACAGCTAAACATCCACATGTAAAAAGCAAATGAATCTAGACACAGACTTTAAACCTTTCACAAAATTAATTCAAAATGTATCATAGACCTAAATGTCAAATGCAAAAATGTAAAACTTTTAGAAGATAACACAGGAGAAAATGTATATGACCTCACCGGAGTCATGATCACCAAAAAACCCACAAAATTTATAAGCTAGACTTCATTAAAATTAAAAACCCACTTTGTGAAATACACTGTCAAGAGAATGAGAAGGTAAGCCACTGGCTGTAAGAAAATATTTGCAAAATACATATCTAATAAATCAATTAATTAATCTATTAATCAAAATATACAAAGAAGGCTTACAACTCAACAATATAAAAATAAACCCAATTAAAGTGGGCAAAATATCTGAACAGACATCTCACCAAAGCAGATATACAAATGGCAAATAATCATATGATAAACAACATATGTCAATAGAGAATTGCAAATTTAACAAAGATACCACTACACACCCATTAGATGGCCAAAATTCAAAACTCTGATGACATCAAAAGCTGACAAGGCTGTAGAGCAACAGGAAATCTCATTCACACTGGTGGGAATGCACAATGGTACAGCCACTTTGGAAGAAAGTTGGGCAGTTTCCCACAATATTAAACATACTCTTACCATAAGATTCAGCAATTGCTCCCCTTGGTATTTATTCAAATAAGTTGTAAGCTTACATCCATGCAAAAACCTACACACATATGTGCACCGCAGCTTTATTCATAATTGCCAGAACTTAGAAGCAACCAAGATGTCCTTCACAGGTGAACATACAGACAAACTGTAATAATTCTAGACACCAGAATATTATTCGGCCCTAAAAATAACTGAACTATAAATCCAGGAAAATACATAGAGGAACCTTAAATTCATATTGCTAAATGGAAGAAACCAATCTGAAAAGACTACACGTGCTTTGTAATTCCAACTATGTGACATTCTGAAAAAGGAAAACAATGAGTGCAGTAAAAGGATCAGTAGTTGCCATGGATTAAAGAGGAGGAAGCGATGACTAGGAAGAGCACAGAGGACACTTAGTGCAGTAGAACTGTTTGACAGGACACTATAATGGTGGATACATGTCATTATACATATGTTAAAAGCCATAGACGGTACAACACCAAGAGTCAACCCTAATGTAAAGTATGGACTTTGAATGATAATGACGTATTAACATAGGTTCATAGATTGTCACAAATGTACCACTCTGGATTGGGAATTTGATAGTGGGGGATAGTGGGGAAGGCTGTGTCTATGTGAAGACAGGAGATATACAGGAAATCTGCTCAATTTTTCTGTAAACTTAAAACTTCTAAAAAATAAAATTTATTGTAACAAAATAGTTATGTATTATTTGTCTTGTCAGGATAAATGGGACTCACTCCTTGCAGCCTGTGCAGTGCCCATGTACCCTGTTGTGAGATTTGGAATGTAGCTCACTGGAGAAAGGAGACATGGAAAAAGCAATAACTAATAGCAGTGATCAGGTTGTGATTGGACCTTGTACAACTATAAACGACATAGAGGGGCAAATGGTATGATTTATTGAAGTCAATAATCTGATTCATAAACTCTTAATGAAAATAAGAGTTACAGTCAATTGTTTTAGAATACAACTTATAAATAGTGTTTTCCAGTTAGTAAGTAGTATGATGCAAACTGTCATTGGTAACAGCAATAATAATAATCCTGACATCTCTCCGGAAATGACTATTGGGAATCTCAATAGTTTGTTGTCTCATTTTAAAAAGGCTTCAAATATGTTACAACATGATATATATTTTAGTGTATATTACTAAGCAAACTTTTTGAGGAAAGGAAAACATTTAATTTATTTAAACACAATTTACTTTTAAAACAACTCTCTAGTAACTATTATCATTCAACTGAATCCAACCATTAATTAAGTCAGAGAACGGAAAAAATCTATGAAGAGATATTGTCATGTCAATTCTTCCAGATTATAAATTTAAAATATTAATTCATCAATTTTTTCACAAGGAAATCAAAATTCTTGACAAATCTTTGACCTATGCTAGGCCCAGTGTGAAGTCTTGTGTGGTCTGAATTTGTGTGGCCATTCATCAATAGGATGATTCATCCGTGGTTTTAGCTTCCAACACACCAGAAGATTTTAACTTGGGCATTGCTGGGAATTATTCAGAAAATTGGCTTCTCTACTGTGTGGAGGGAAGGAAACTGAGAATAAAACCATTATTTTGTTGTGCAGCTATAAGTTTTTACATAAACTGATGGATTTAACCTTTTCATTGAAAACAATGACTAGTCCTTTATATCTAGTGTGTCTCAGTTAGGGTTCATTTTATGTAGGAAGCCTACGAAACAGGGGAGTCTTTCAGAAATCCAGAAAGTCTTGGAAGTAGTAGTGAGGAACATTGACATGAGTTGGTGTAACAAACTTCTCACCCTAAACATCCTGATGCTGTTTCCCCCCACATATTTTAATTATATATTAATAAATCAGTCAAGGGTTTTTAAAAAATTTTTTCTTCCCGCTGAATAAATGGTTGCATTATAAGTTTGAAAACAGCTAATCAAATTAATAAACATATAAACAGTGGCTTTTTTTCTGTCTCCGCATCCAGGATGTATTTGTTTGCTTGATTTTTAATATAATTGAATAAAATTCACCCACTCATAGTTAGCTTTAAGCTTACAGATCATGGACAAAAGATAGAAAATTTAGATCTTCTATTAGTGCTTCGGGTTTAAACAATTTACATGCCTTTTTTTAATGATCAGTAAGCAATCCATTTATAGTTTGTTTTAACCTGTTTGACAAAAGAGAAGGACACAATAGAGTGTCTCACTTTCCTTCTGGCTAGCAAGTCCTCTTAAAATACAAGTAGCCATACAGACAGACAGGCAAACATATGACTACACAAACCCCTATATGTAGAAACTAACGTTGCAATTTCCAGTAAGCAGAGACCCATTTTCTCCATTGCATCTGTAAGGTGTTAGGAATGTGTGTCAGTCTGACCTCTTTCTCTAGCCCCTACATAGTTGAACTTGGAACAAACTCCCATCTGTGTTGTGGCTGCAGGTAATCCTGATGGTTCAGCGTATGAAGAACCTTTTCTAAAGGGGCTGCAGGCCTCTTTTTAGACAGAATATTAGAGTATCAGAAGAATCCCAGGGTATCTCACACTTCACTCCTGTGCCCCACCAAGGCCCAGCTCCTGTAATAGATGTAGGGCTCGAGGCTCTTGTGGATGGCCAGGGGAAGTTCCTCAAGGCTGGGGAAGGCAGAGACCTCAGGGATCTGATGCACTAGGGCATCGTTGATCACGTGTGCCTTAGTAGGCGGGTGCACAAAGCAGTGAATGAAGAAATGCTCAGAAAATAGCAATTTGCCCCTGTAACGTATGAATTTTAAAAAACAACTGATGCATCAGCTTATCCAAACTGCTTTTACAAATGGGGTGGAGAAATGCATCCATCGACATCCTGGTGTGTGGGAGTGGTGTGTGTGTGTGTGTGTGTGTGTGTGTGTGTGTGTGTGTGTGTGTGTGCATGGATGTGTGTGAATTTGGGAGTGATTAATATATAATATTATTGAGACTATGTTGTCCTCCTGGATTAACTGGTCACCCATGAGGAGATATTGAATAACTAGTTGATTGACATGATTGCCTGCAGGTTAGAATCAAAGTTAGCTCTAGAACTGTAGATTGGAGTTCAATTCACATCAAAGTAGTGAATAAAGTCATGGGAATGGATTAGCTCACCGAAAGAGGAAATGCGGAGTCTACCTTAGAGGAAAGTACCAAGGGAGGCCAGAGAGCTTCCTGTAAGAGGTGACACCTGAACTGAGCCTGCAGGCAGAGGTGTCAAAAAGGACACTGCCAGAAAAAATTTCAAATGTGTGAATATTTACTTAGTGTTAAAAAAATAAAAACCCCGCTATTTGGGAAGCACATAGACTATACGGGGCTGTATTGAAACAGATGGGCATAAAGGTAGATTGAAGGCATATGAGATATATAACTGCAGCTCTTTTAAATAGTTATCTCATGCTACGATCCATCAATAGAGAAAATAAAGAAGATAAGGTGAAGAGAGAGCACGAGAGGAAAAAAGAAGGATAGTAACATGGGAAAAGCTGGATAGTAATAGAAGAAGAGATACACTAGCGGGAAAGAGGAACTAGACCATGAGAAAGATGAGGCTGAAATAAAGGAGAGGCTTCAGGAATCGAAGATTATTAGTGCGAGAGGCCCCAATTCCATGCTCTTCTGAACCTGAACGTCACAATATCATCATCTGGCATCCTCAGCCAGGTACAGAGCTTATTAGTATGCGTTAGTAGGTGTGGCTGCTGGACTGCTCTACTCCTTAACTCAAGACTCTGCTCTGGCTGACATAAGCATATAAGCACAGCTGCCCCGGGACAGTGGTGCTTATCTGTACTGAAGCAGAAGTGACCATGTCAGAAAAAAAACGAGTCTGAAGGTCATGTCTGGCTTCCCAGCCACAGGTTCCTCATCCAATACTAAACAGACAAAAGAGTTAGAAATGCGACCTAAATAGTAGCCTCTTTTCCTCATGGGAAAGAAATCTCAGCTAACCTCCCAGAAAAGAAAGAAAAAATGAAATAAAAATACGCATCCCTACTCTAACTACTGAAGAATAAATATTGCCTATAGTTTAATCTATGGCACCCAAAGAGAAGAATCCACTAACAAATCATATACATATATTTTCCTTTGTCACCAGTAGCGTCTCTATTTCTGGCCTCCTAAAGAGCTGCAAATTGTACATTTTCATTCCCATGCACCACGCGGAGCCATGGGAAACACTGCAGGCAGAGGAGATTGTGGGGTCTGCACCCTGGCATAGAGGGCCTTATGGCCCTGGTAATTCCGTCTTTCTGGAGTTGGTGTAACTGGAGCCGCAGTTTTTATCCATGAACTTGTGTAATCCAGAGATTTTATTCACCTGATTCATTCGTGTTCTTGTATTTTCTAAACTTACTCTCTTTTACAGGTTATAAGACCCACACAAGCAAGGTTTTGCTGAACTGAATATACTGAATTATTACAACAACTATTATAATTAAAGAAATGCCGATATGAACAAGGT
The DNA here is from genome assembly GCF_000001405.40 of Homo sapiens. NCBI lineage: Eukaryota > Metazoa > Chordata > Mammalia > Primates > Hominidae > Homo > Homo sapiens. The sequence continues at coordinate 41,082,436 of NC_000007.14, read as the reverse complement.
ATCATTAATTTTTCTCTTTGTATGTCATAGATTAATTAAAACTATCAGCAGCACATTATTTTTGACTATACGGCATGTAAAACAAGAGATAGTCTACGTGCTGCACAAAAACATTTCTTTGGCTCAAGTCTTTTATCCTCATGATTTAAGCTAACAGATCTCTGTTGCACAATGTGGAAAATTGAAGTAAACCTTGAACTGGAATGTTCAGGTAAGTCCATAATTAATAACTCAAAAATAAGATACTGGTTTAAGTTATTTAAATAAGAATAATGAATTCTTACTTATCTTGAAAGTGATTAATAGTTCACTATAGTTTTAAAACTGTAAAATACCACATGATTCTCAAAGTAAAAATTATTCTTATTCAACAAATACCAAACTTTTTTTTTTTTTTTTTTTTAAGACAAAGTCTCACTGTCTCCCAGGCTGGAGTGCAGTGACACGATCTCAGCTCACTGCAACCTCTGCCTCCCGGGTTCAAGCGATTCTTATGCCTCAGCCTCACAAGTAGCTAGGATTACAGGTGCCCACCACCACGCCTGGCTAATTTTTGTATTTTTAGTAGAGACAGGGTTTCACCATGTTGACCAGGCTGGTCTCAAACTCCTGACCTCAGGTGATCCACCCACCTCACCTTCCCCAAGTGCTGGTATTACAAGCATGAGCCAACGCACCCAGCCCAAACATATCTTTATCAAGATTTATTAGTGTAAGCACTAAGGCACAGAAACTAAAGAATCTAGTCCTAATTCCACCAAAACTAGATCTCTGGACAATAGAAAAGCAGGTGAGCTCCCCACGCCTCTGAAAAGTCAGTGTTCCTGGAAGGAATGCTGTCTGCATTTGGAGTGAGATAAGGCCTCTAAGCGTCCTAGGCTATGCTGCAAGATGGTTTGTGTCCCTGGCCCTCTGAGGTGCACAGTTAGTGCCAGAGTGGCAGCCCTCCTTCATGGTTATTCCAACTACATAACAGTTCCCACACAGGTCCAAACTGCCTGGGGCCAGGACCCCTGTGGTTGAAAAACAACGTAGATCATCCTTAAAGTCCCTTCCTATACTGACATCAAATAATTGTGTGTGTGTTTCTTTTTTTAGCATTGCTTGGCACACACATTGTAAATCATTATCTTAAAGTCTACACTTGGAATAAAACAGAAAAAAAATAACAAATTTAGTCTGGTTTACTTTCACACAATTAACCTTACATTTCACACCAATTACAAATGCTTATTTACAATTCCAGCATTCCTCCCATCCTTCAACTACATGACAGTTTCATATTTCTCCTGACAAGTTATTTCTTTAGCAACACCTTTCATTTGAAACCCAAAGGCAGTATCTTCTCTAACTTCTAAGCCAAATTTCACATATCAAGGAATTAATTGTAATGCCACCTCTTTGTGTTAAGGCATTTTCCATGGAAGGCAGAATCCTTGGGATAAAATACAAAGTTTAGAGGCCTTTAGAATCGTGAATTTCTCTATTGGTTTATTTTATTTTATTTTATTTTATTTTATTTTATTTTATTTTATTTTATTTTATTTTATTTTTTGAACTAGGTGGGAATGGGTGGGGGAAGGAGTGAATTTCCTGAGTACTGTATTTTCTAAGGACCAGGCCATGAGCCAGTCTCTCTGCATATACTATTTTATTGATCGGAAGTTTTTATGGTGCTAACCCAGTATTTTGAATCTAGAAGCTACAGCAAGGCTGGAGTTGGGCAAATCCACACAACTAAGAAGCCTATACCCTGGATTTTATGTGTGTGCACATGTGCATCCTTATTATTTGGGATTATTATGCTGCAAACCCACTGTTCTCTTCATGTATAGTAGTCTCTCTAGTTACTAGGGGGAAGAAATTACGTTCACAAATAATTCAATATTTCAGAAAGTTTATTTGGGTGCATCTGGCATTATTCAGGATTCATAACCTTGTAAGAAATTATTATTACTGAACTTAACTGTATTAACCTTCTTACTGCTTACTCCCATTTCCAACTATCTGTGTGGTGCATATATTCCCTGAAGGTCAGATTCCTGTGTGGTCCATATATTCCCTGAAGGTCATATTTTGGACATTAACATGGCAGCTCTCCCACATAGACCCTTCCAAAAATCAAACAGAGCAACAAATAAATCTTATGCTTTATTGCACTAACTTCTCAGAGTGGACTTTTCCATTTATTTTTCTCATCATCTTCCCACAAATCCTTGAGAGATAAAAACAAACAAACAAACAAACAAAAATCAGTCCTTAACCTGTCAACCACTTAACCTGTGACTGAATTATAATTGGGGTGCCACTTATGCAAAATAACCTTGCCACCATGCTCCAAATACACAAAATATTTTTAGAAAAAAAAATGCCGCTAGTTTTTTAATTTCTAAAAGCACAAAAACTCTCAACTATTGAATTCACCAGAAGTCCTCAGATTGCCCAGACATTAATCATGGGCTTGGGCATGAGGCTAGCTAGTTATCATAGTTGTTAACCAAAGGTGTGTTTTTCCTACATACTTTCCCCAAAACACAACTTCACATGACTTGATTTTCAAAATCACAATTGGCCTTCTCAAACCCAGAGCTCTCATTTCCCAGTGGGTAGCTTTTAGTAGTGGAAATAATAATGCTGCTAATAGTTGATTCAATCCAATAACCCCAGTGATTTTTCCCATACATCACCTCAATTACTTAATTGTCTGCTTATTAATGACAATGGTGGTTCTCAAAGTGTGGCCTGGGGATCCTGATGAGTCCCTGAAACTCTTTTACAGGGCCTTTGCAGTCAAAGCTATTGTCATAAAAAAAATAGTAAGACATTATTTGTCTTTTTTGCTCTCATTCTCTTAAGAGTGTAGAGAGAATCTTCCCAGAGGCTGTAACAACACAGTAGATTGAAAACAGAAGCATATGTAAGAATCCAGCTATCTTCCCTGAAGGCACATGTTAAAGAGATTGGAAGAAACATAAAACAATGCCACTATTAATTTTATTATTATTTTAGAAAATACAGTTATATTCACTAAAATATATTCTTTATCTTAAGATGTGATGAGTTTTAACAAATATTATTTTTAAATACTTCTAAACTCTAATGTAAAATATAGTAAATATAGACAGATATAATTCCTATGAACAAAAGTTCTTTGGTTTTAGTTATGAACAATTTTTAAGAGTGCAAAGTAATCCTGAGACCAAAAAGTTTGAGAACCACTGATCTACACCCATGTCAATAATCTCTTGTAAAGGAAGAAGCCAAAAATCTACTATGAGTCTTATAAACTTTGATTTTTAAAACAAATCTAATTCATGAAGCAGCCAGAATAAATATACTATATGGATATGCTGCTCTTATTTTTTTTTCTGAAACACTTCTTGAGTCCACGTAACCTGCCTTTGCATTTTCTTTCCTACCCCAACCCTGTAAATAAGTACTTTTCCTCTCTGATGCTTCACTGTTGGAAGGTAGTATGGTCATTTCTTTGTATTAGCACACACACGTGCACACACACTCCCTTATAAACGTTATTGGGTATTCCCTACTTGCAACTTTCCCAACCACTGAACTCTGTGAGTCAAGCCTCAATGTTAGGACTTGATTTGTACCCATTCTTTGTATCATCTGCAAAAATTAAGGCATGATTCAGGGAAACCATTACTCAAGAATGCATGAGGGAATAAAGCTTCGAAGCTCCACTAAGTTCTTATTTTTCCCTTTGCACCAAGTACTTTATCAGTTCACACTGACATTGGATTTTCAGAAGGGCTGATTTTATTTCTCTGGGGCCCAACAATAATGGCCGGATTCCTCTCTTACTCTCTCTTTCAGAACCTGGAAAAGAACAATGTAGCTTTCTGGAGGTTTCAGGTGGCAGCCAGTACCTTGCCAGCATGCTTGACACCTGAGTCCTCTAGTGAAGAACACAGTTAACTCCTTTGGAGGCAGCAAGCTAACCAGTGCCTGGAGACGTATGGTGACTTCTTCCCTGCCAGAGAAACCAAGGCCCTCTGCCAGGAACTTGGCCAACCAGTACCAGCTCTCAGGCCTCCCTTCCCAGGGGATGATAAGTGAGCATCCCCAGCTTTGTTGTTTGTCCTGAGTCTAGCGGCAGTCCGAGTTCCTGGGTATCATGGTGTCGGGCACACAGAAAAGGAGAGAACCTGATCGATCGATAGGAGAGACATGATAAAGAGGACAGCATCCTTCTCTGATCTCTTTGCTGATAGGAAATGCAACACAGTGGCACCCAGGTTCTGCTCCAGCAAGTCAGTTCCATACACCAGCTCAGGAAAGGGAGTGCAGAGGCAAAGGGCACACTGCTCTCAGGTTCAGCGAAGTCCAGTTTCATCGCTCTGTGCCATGAAGAGGTGTTTATGCCAGCTGGAGTCATTTTTCCCTGGAGTTCCTGAGGATGCTTGAGATCCCTTCCTTTTTTTTTTCTCTCTCTCTCTCTTTTTTTAAGTTTGTTTAATAATAAAAAAAAAGTAAAAACCTGTATATGGTTTTTTAAGAAAATCAAGCCCAGAAAGTTAGCTATTAAATAACTGTAAGTGCCCCATATTCCAGAACCCAACTTTTATTCTTCAACTGCAGGTAACTACAACCAATAATTTTTTTGTATCCAGAAATAATCAAGTGTGTGTGGTGTTCAGCATGCATACCTATAGCATAGCAATGGTTAACAGTGCAGGATGTGGAGTTAGACTGCCTGGTTTTGAATCCTCATACACCACTTACTAGGACTCTGGGCAAATTACTCTGACTTTCTGGGTCACAGGGCCTGTTGATAATACCTATCTTTTAGAGTTGTTAAGAGTCAATGCATGTAAAGTGTTTAAAATAGTACCTGGCACATAGTAACAATTGAGTAAATGCTGAGTATTATTATTTTATTATTCATATAATTGTTTATGTATAACTGCATTTTAAAACTTATACAAACACAAATTAAGCATGCTGTTTTTAACTTATACTTTTTTCCATCAAATTAAACTGCTATGAGATTTTTCTCATGTAAACACAGATCTGCCTCATTCTTTTTTAAATAGCTTTATATATTTAAAATTATTGTATATACGTATGTTTTAAAAATTCAGCTAGATTCCTATTGGCTGACATTTGGACATTTCCTGTCTTTTTTTTTTTTATAGAAAATGCTTGGAAAATTTTTCTTAATGTATCTTAATAATAAATTTCTGGCAGTGGGATTGCATGGTCAAATAATATGTTTTTTGAATTACTTTTTTATTTTTAGCATTTAAAATTTTAATCTATTTGGAATTATTTTTGATACACTGTAAGGCGAAGATCCCAGCCTTCTTTTTGTGTAGATTAATGGCCAATTAAGCCAATATTATTTATTAAATAAAGGATTTTTCCTCACTGAATTGAAAGCCTATTTTTTATATATTAAATTCTGAATCTGTTTTAAATCTTTATTCTGTTTCAATTATATACATTGTTAATATTGTACACCATTTCCATCAAATCTCAAATTCACCAAATGGTAAACACATTTCAATTTCTATAGGAGTTTTATAGAAATGTGTATTATGGAAATGCAGCATCAATATACAACTCTCATTTCCCCATACTCTCCTCTCAGCTCTGAATATCATTAATGATTTTAAATTATTTTTGCAAATCTACTAGATGGAAAGTCATTTCTTATTTTTTCATTTGAATATTTTAATCTAAAGTAGATTTGAAGAGGTTTTTGCATATTCTTTTGCTATTTGTTTCACTGTTTCTATCAGGTTGTATTTTTTCATATATATGTTTTAAATGTTCTTTCTATTTCAAGTCAACAATGAGTGCTTTAATATTTTTTAAGATTTTGTCTTTTAATTTTATTTTTCATATTTTTACTATATGTTAATTTTAACTTTATTGTTCAGTCGTTTCCTTGATAGGGTCGTGATTTGGATATCTGCTTATAAAGATTTTTTGCACTCCTGTACACACATGTACACACATATTGACACAAACATTTCCTTGTCTTCTAGGTCTTTTGTAAATTTGTTTTTAGGTGTACATATTTTTAAAGAACTGAAATTTATTTTGGTATAAGACCTCACAGGTATTCACAAATATTTCATTTATGTTTCAAATGTCTAACCAGTTGTCAACATTATTTATTGACTATTTTATCTTTTCAATACTGATTTACAATACCAGAATTATTAAGTACTAAAATGCACATTTTTACATAATCTACTCGAGTACAAAAATGTATGGTTATGATAACTTCATGATATGGTCAATGTCCGATTTGACTGACACTATCTTGTTGCTCTTATTCTGCATAATTTTGAGCATTGGATTTTTCCAGATGAAGTTTAATATTACTTTCTTAATTTTCGTAGCAGAAAAAATACAAGCTAAGCTGTGAGCAATTTAGATAAATAAAATTGTATATTTGGGGTGTTAAGATTATTAAAATGAGTAGTCCTGCCTTTTTCTAAACTCTTGCGTCCTCTTTATGGATTTTGCATCTTCTATTCCCTCTGCCTGGAATGCTTTTCCCCCTGGTAGCCACCTGGCTTGCATCCTCACTTCCTTTGGTCAGAACTTTAAATATCACCTGTCACTGAGGTCTTCCCTTACCAGCCCCCGGCCATGCTGTTTAAAAAAACAAAACAAAACAAAACAAAACAAAAAACACCTTTATCCAACTCTTCAGTCCTATCAATCTGTCTTCTTGCTTTACATCTCCCCATAGCACTGAACACCATAACATATGATGTATTTTTTAGTTTGTAGACTGTCTGTCTCCCCTCACTAGGTCCCCCTCCATGAGGCCAGGGACTTTTGTCTATTTTGTTCACTACTCCCTGAGACCTAGAATGGTGTTTTTTATGCAATAGGCCCTCAATAAATATTTTCTGAGTGACTGAATGAATAAATGAAGGAATCTTCAAGATCAAGCATTCCGATCCAAGATATAATCTGGTTTAGCATTTTAGTTTTCTTTCACGTCCTTTATATTAATATATAAGTAGTTTACATTTAAAAGTGTGTCATTCCTATTTTTCTATTGCAGAGGAAACCTGTTTTCCTGGTCTATTTTTTAACTGGATATTGTTTATACAAAGAAAGGGTATCGATTTTTTTATTTTAATTTTGTAACTAGCTTCTGATTAAAGATCATTCTTTCTAATAACTTTTTAGTTAGTTTTCTTCAGTTTTCTAGGTTTTCAAAATTAGGTTACGCAAATAATGATAATTTTTTGCATATGCATTTCAATTATTATACCTTATTTAGAAGTGTTCCTTAATTACATTGCCTGGTATTTGCAGAACAATGTTAACTATAGTAGTTATAAAAGGCATCTTTCGCTTAATCTTTAGTACAAATATTTCTGTGTGTTTCATCATTGTAATAACTTTTTATTTCCTGTTTTGCACATATACAAATATACGCATATATACACACATGCACACAAAATGCCACAGAAGTATCTATTGAATTCTATGTCAGTTTTTAAAAAAAAACAAATTAGCAATGGTTGTTGAATTTTATTAAATTATGTTTTGATATATTTGAAATGAATATGTTTTCAATTTTTTAACCTATTTATATGATGAATTACATGATTTGTTAATAACAAATCATCTTTGGGTTTCTGAGGAAAACCTATTAGATTATTTTGTATTTTCTTTCAAGATGCTGCTGAATTTTGACATTGTTTTTAAGATCTTTAAATTCATATTTATAAATAAAATTGATCCATAGAGTGTATTTTCTTTGCCATTTGGTGGGTTTTCAAATCAGATGTATCAATTATCTTTATATGAGATAATCATGTACTTCTAAAATTATTTTAATCTTTTTTTTTCTGCATTCTTTCATTGACATAAAGACTTTTTCATGGCTGCCAATTTCTGATGTTGTCAATTTGGTTCTTGATATTTCTAATTTAGTTATTCTTTACTTCTTCTTCTTTTTAATTTAGTTTTTATTTTTTTGTAGAGACAGGGTTTTGCTGTGTTGCCCAGGCTGGTCTCCAACTCCTGTCCTCAAGCAATCCTCCTGCCTTGACCTATCAAAGTGCTAGGATTATAAGCATGAGCCACTGTGCCCAGCCTAATTTAGTTATTCCATAATTATTTTATTTTGATCCAGAATTTATTTCCTTAGCTTTGAAATTCATTATTTTTTGTTTTAAAGTTTTGTTCTTGATGCCTTTCTTTAAAAAAAAATCTGTTTAAGTTATAGAAAGAAAAACGCCCACTGCGGGGATTTCCTGGCTTATATTGCCTTATGAAATGTAAGCATGATCTGTCTTAGGCATGCTCTTCTCTTCTCCATCATTATCACAGTGGAATTTTTGCAAGTTACCATGAGTTGGTGTGCTGGAGCTGGTTCATGAGAGTCAAATGTTTGCACCTCTTTCTAATTTCCTAATTGGCTATGGTGGGGTTATTTACACCATGGAAATTAGCAAATGCTACAAATGCTCTTTTTGTTTTCCCTCCAAGAGCTTTTTATTAAATACTTACCTGACCTGCGCATTACTTCTTACCATAACATAGATATAGATATTATGCAACTAGTTACCATAATATTTTTTAACAAAATCTAAAGAGTCTATTAAATCTTTGTTCTAATGAATTCTCCTGGACATTTGTGTCACCTTTTCTTGTCTTCCTCCTTAGAACTTCAGTATGAAGTCAGAATAATGTGTGTTTTCTTGTAATTTTCTAATTTTCTTTAAGAGCTTGGAGAGAGTGAGAGCAGGGAGCACTTTTGTACCTCAATACGCAGTTGTGCTTGGAGGGCCTGATCTTGGCTTTGCCTTCAACAACTTGGTTAAGGGGGTATGTGCTGGAGTTTACTTCTCCTGGGCACCTCTTCCTCTGGTTTGGGTTACCTTCAAAGACAGAAGTTCCTTCCTCCCATGCTCATTCAGGAAGGATCCTCAGAACCTCAACATTAGCTCCCAATTCTCCCTTCCCCTGCTTCACCCTCAGCTCTCAAGCATCTGTCCTAGTCCTCTCCTAGCAAGTGTAGGGCAAAGATCAGTAAATCCCATGGTTGAGGGCCCCAACTTCTCATTTAGAAGAAACCGGTGCAGCTCTTTGTTTAACTGGGCTGCTCTGTGTGCCTTTTCTACCAGGGCCTCAGAATACACTCCCGGATTTTTGGGTTATTTTCTCCTGTCTTCCATTCAGCTAAGTGCCTGTGTTTATTGGTGGAGTTTACCTATTTATTGGTGGAGAAACTAAGGTGACTCCAATTTTCCAGGTGGAAGTCTTGCCCAGTTTTTCATTTGTTTGACCTCAGGTGAGGCTTTGCAGTATTGAAGAGGGGCTTCCAATTTTCAGAGATTTTCTTTTCCTCCCATCTCCTGCCCAAGAACCTATACATACTTCCTCTGTCTAAGTGTCCCTCAGTTAGGGGGTATTAATGGAGTTTTGGTCTAGATTTTTCCACTTTTTTCCCAAGATTGATTCTGAAGGTCAGGTTGAAGAGTCACACCAATTCTCAAAATTAATTCTCTGTCTTTCCCTCCCCTCATTCATTACTTTTTAGTTTATGACCTTAAAGTTGCGCCTTTTTTTCTGCAAGATGTTTGTGTGTGCATCTTTGCTGATGTCTACTTACTTTGAGTTTGTTTGATTTTAGGAAATAGATACTATGCAATCCTTTTTCTCTCTACCACATTTCCTGAAATCTCCTACAGCCCCCCCCCCCGCCCCGCCACCTTTTCAGATGATACTGGTCAAAGAAAAATGAAGATATGATATTTATAATATTACTGGGTGTGTAATATAGAATTGGGTGACTGTTTTTCCTACCATTCTTCATTTACTCCAAATAGGGCTGATTTAAGTCGAAGAAGTAAAGGGACTTCAGGTTAAATGCATTCTGACTACTTTAAGTTCACAAAAGCCTTTCAAGGGACTGTGAAGCTCAGTTTGAATTGGAATTATTCTACGGGGAAAACAATAGTTCATTGACTGTATATTATTTTAGGGATTGCATTTTAGACATTAGGAAAAGCTACCAATTTGTACCTACTACTCTACCTTGAAGTACACATATTTAGGTCAAACATATTTATCTGTTAAGAGTACAATTATGTATTTACAAGATATGTTTAAACATTTGCAATGAATTCTTCCCATTCCAGTTCTCTTTAGCAAGGTTTTGAGTTCTGTGAGGAGCTGAAAACCTAGAGATGTTAGTTCCTGGCTCTATCAAAGCAGACAAGACCTACAAACATGGCCCTAAATAATCTTGGGTACCTAGTGAAATTGAGAAGATCAAACACATTCTGTGACAACAGCATCTTGTATCTTTCCTTGAGCTCTGTACCTCATATTGGTAGAAGCATTTGAAATTAGTCCATCAATGCTGAGAAGTTTAATCAACATGTATTGGGGCCTCCTTTGGGTCAATCTCTTTATACATCTTGTCTCATTTTATAATGATGGCAACTTTGAAAGGAGATATCCTGATCCCCATTTGAGAAGTATGGACACAGAGGCTTAGAGAAGTAGTAGAACTTACTGCAGATCACAGTGTAACTGTCCAGTGGGTTTTTTCTCAATCACTGCTCAGATAGAGCCAATTTTTCAATATAGAAAAATTGCAATTGAGAAGAGTTTAAGAGCTGGCTACACAGGTAACTGGAGTTTTATTATTACTCAAATCAGCCTCCCTGAAAATTCAGAGGCTAGGGTTTTTCAAGGATAGTTTGGCTGACAGGGGACTAAAGAATGAGTGCTGCCAATAGGCTGGAGGATGCAGTCATAGGGGTGTGGAAAATGGTCCTTGGGTGCAGAGTCTGTTTCTAGGTGGGGGCCACAGAGGAGTAGCTGGTCCCTGTGTGGCCATCCAGTCATCAGAAATGCAAAGGCCTGAAAGGGCATCTCAAAAGGCCAATATTAGGTTATTTACTGGAGTATTGGGGAAGTTACAAATCTTGTCACTGCTGGAATAATGGCTGGTAATCATCTAACTATGCCTATCATCTTAGCAGAATTCAGGCCCCCCCATCCTCCTAACCTGATGGCCTTTCATTAGTTTTACAAAAGTGATTTAGTTTGGGGAAGGGAAGGGCCATTATCATTTAAACTATAAATTAAATTTCTCCCAAAGTTAGCTTGGCCTACCCTTAAGACTTGGAATGACCTTGGAATGACCAAGGGCAGTTTGGAGATTAAAGGCAAGATGGAGTTGGTTAGGTCAGATCTCTTTCACTGTCATAATTTTCTCACTGTTATAATTTTTGCAAAGGCAGTTTCAACAGAGCTAATAAGGCATACAGACAGACTTTTAATCCACATCTCTCTAAATTCTTTTTATTATTCTATAATGCTTCTCAGAGGAGTCAAGAACCCTCCATCCTTGTTTACTGCAATTACTCTCAATAATGAATTACTTACTGCTTGTCTATCTGGCCACAGTGATTCAGACTTAAGGCTACTGTGTTTGATTGGATTTGTTCATTAGGTTCTGTCTGAAGGATATGAGAGACTAAAAACAGCTCAACATTAGTTAACTTTACTGACACAGAACTTGGGCAATTGACTTCATCCGTCTGTTTTAAGAAACTTGCTGAATCTTTACAAAGACAGCCAAACTGGCCAGGATAGAAACTTTGTATTTTCTGTCAATGTTTGAACCATACATACTTGTTCTGCTATGTGTATAATGTCATGAAAGTCCACACATGAATCACATATGGCTATTTGGGTCATAGTACACTTTTAAGAAGAAGGTGTAAAAATTGAAAGAAACAAAAAACCCTTTAGTCTATTGTTTTACTACATATTACTGTTCTTCATTTGATAGAGTTGATTTTGTTCATGAAATTTATTGCTTTAAACAAAATGAGTCATTCAAAATGTGATCAAAATAAGGATGTTTTGTAGTATCAGTGCAAAAAAAATAACAAATACATGTATGCATGCTGTGCACCTGGAACAAAGGCAGGATGTATAAATGCAGCCTTCACTGGTCTTCAGAATCACTTTTACATGTACAAATGAACAGGAAAGTAGCCCTTTTGTTGTTTGAAAATAATCGACTTCCTGTAATCCCAACACTTTGGGAGGCCAAGGCAGGCGGATCACCTAAGGTCAGGAGTTCGAGCCAGCCTGGCCAACATGGTGAAACCCCATTTCTGCTAAAAATACAAAAATTAGCCAGGCATGGCTGCAGGCACCTGTAATCCCAGCTGCATGGGAGGCTGAGGCAGGAGAATCGCTTGAACCCGGGAGGCAAATGTTGCAGTGAGCTGATGTGGCGCCACTGCACTCCAGCCTGGGTAACAAAGAGCGAAAAACTCTGTCTAAAAATAACAATAATAATGATAATAATAATTGACTTCTATCTTGCCTCTTCTTTCTAAAAAATTAAGGCTCAGTGTGTGACAAGGAGAAACAGTGAAATATCAGTTCTCTGAGAATGGGTTGTCACTAAAAGTTGGCTTCGAATCACCAGATTCAAGAAGCATGGAAGAAAAGCCAGATGTCAAGTCTTTAATATACTTAATGGAGATTCCCACTGCTCCCTCCAGTTAGAGAGCCAGATTTAAAGCCTGTGGGAGAGCCAGGGGGTCAAGGCACAGGGAGGTCTGGCCCAGAGAGTCCAGAGGATGATGACAGGATGGAGGAAATATCTGCACAGAGCAGATACACCCTAAAACAGTCATCAGACATTTTGCGTCTCTATTTGGGACGACCTCTTCTTATTAAAACACTCAGCCTCTCTGGGGAAGTTCATAGACTCAGGAGAGGTATTGCTTTGTTCTAAACCAAAGTCTGAACTATTACTTGAGGGTCATTGAGAATACATCACAAGGGCGTCATCTGTTCCAATGTTTTCATAATTTTTCCCCTATACAAGGTTGGCCAGGATAAAATCTAGACAGAAAGGTAATGATTACATAAAGGGAACAGTGAGCTATTACCTTGCTCATTTGTTGATGCGAATGATATCAGATAGTTTTGGCCACAAAACATGCCATTAGATCTAAATTTTCTAAATTTATTTTCTCCACAATATGTTTATTAAAAATTCACTTCTCCAAATTCACGTATGTAGATCCACAAAGATTTTGAGAGTCAAGATTAGAGTTAATATTTTGAAAAACAGTAAAACAATGACAACTTTATAATGTCTAAAAACTGGAACTTACTTGGCACAGGTTTATTTTGGTGAGGACATTTCTTTGTGATGAATACTAATAATAAAGGAATAAAATGTAATGTATTTTGTAATGGATTTAAAAATGTCACTAAGTGCAAGCATTTTCATCTCATTTCCTTAGGTAAGTGGGAGAAATCTATTTACCTTCAGGTCTCTTAAAATTATAGTCACTTGCCTCTGGACAGTTGCAATCCGATGGACAAAGAATTAACAAGAAAGAGCATTTTTGGTGCCCAAGAAAAGTTTTTATCAATAGTTTTACTTGATTCCAAAGACACCATTGCAACCTGAAATTATGACAAATGTGCACGTGGTCAAATTTTGAGAACATTGAATTCTGAAGTCCCACTGGCCTCAATAAAGAAGGCATTAATCTAAGGAAAATTAAACTGTTTCCAGTGAAAATATAATCAATCTCTTTGTTTGGTCATCTATAGAGCAAATTACCGATATCAATTTCTAAATTCAACTCATTTGTAGACAGACCTGAACTTCACTGGAATATTCTGGTGGAGGCAAAAGAACAGAGGGAAAATTATTGCAATCTTGTAAGGGAAAAAAGACAAACTAGGCCAATTATTGTAATTATAAGAAAATATACAAGAATAATTTTCTGTCGAGCCTAGGCAGTCCAATAGATTATGTGTAAAAGTTGTGGCAATTTAAAAAGTAACCATAATCATATTAATAATGGTTTGAGATCAAACCATTGGATGAAATACACCTTGTATGTATAAAGCAGAGAGAGGATAAAATTTTATTAGATATTTAAGGCACCTTTATTTGAAGTTATAACTATTACAATTCAGGATGGCAAATGCAAAAAATAAGTCAAGATTATGGGATAAAGTTCAGTATCGTATAATTATTTGGGAAGTTACAATAATTTCATTTATCTGTAAATGAAGGAACTCCAATGACTGGATAGCTTTTGTTTTATTTATCCTTTTTTTTTTTTTTTAAAGTACTAAGCTACATTCACTGTGACTTTGGCTTGTGGGAGAAAGAGTCCATGTCATTCTTGTTGTGCCTGTAAATGCTTTTTGGAGGGCTTCCTGGCTTCTTTCATTCCTGTACATTTACCATTAATTGTGTTTAAGGTTTGGATGAGGCAGGGACCCAGAAGAGACATTAAGCTGCATCACTCAATAAAACATTGCCTTTTCAGCCTGAGGCATGACCCTCTGGACTTAGGTGGGGTCGCTGTTGGGATATCAAGGTCTGCCTGCCCCAAAATAGCAGTTGCCATGAAAAAGCCAGGGTGGGACCTTCAAGTACTGTACAGCATGGGCAAACCTGAAGCTCTTTTGAGTGGGAGAAAATAGCTCAAACTTTAAAACTGGCCTGAGGAGCAGCAAGCAGGTCCCCAGTGCATTCTTCACAGTGCTTTCCACCTTTAATTTAGATATTTCAAGGGAAATTTAATCCATATGTTTTGGATTCATTTGGGCTTAACTCATAAATATGCTTCATCAAGGACTGCCAAGCTCTGTGTTCCTGTTCACTAGAATCAAGTAGTTTCACGGGACAGCAGTACAGACAGAGGAAATTTGATATCCAAGGGTCCATCACCCAAACAAGAAAAAGAAACCATCAGGTTCAAACCACTGTGTGTAAATAATCCTAGAACAGTAATTTGCCCTGCAACACTGTCATGGTAAAATAAGCCACTTATGCCTGTAGGGAATACATACCGATACACAAGCAGTAGATACATGTCCTTTCCCAGAGACATATCTCAACACATGGACTTTATCATTGTCAGTTCCAGAAAGGTTAACAACTCAAAGAAGAAAACAGAAGTTTCTACCTTTTTAGCATCTTTTAAAATCCATACATACTCTTCTCCCTCTGTCTCTCACTTTGTCTTCCTGGCTCAGTGTGTCTCTCGTATAAACATCCCCTTCACTGGGACTCTACCAGGCCACAGGCTGAGAATCCCTGTACCTTCTGGATACCACTACTAGGTCAGATAACTTTGACCAAGTTTACTTTCTTAAATTTGTGTTGCTCAACTGATACTTTTCCAATATAAAATGATATTGTATTACTGAATATGTTTTTGTCCAAACCACATTTTTGAGATTATTTTATGATTTCCTAGGGGACCACCCCTTACAGGTAAAGAATCCCTTCTGTGTTCACTTCTTGGAATAATGCAAGGGCAGGGTTATCAATGAGAATGGTATTTGGCTCCTACCCCTTATTGACTGATTGATTGATTTCCTAAATGTTATAGATTCAAGATGACCAACTTCAATGTCCTTTTAATCAAACACTGTCATTCAGGGCAATAGGTGATTTTAATACTCTGTATCATAACATCTGTGTTTAGGAATTTTCATAAGTAAAGAACAGGAAATCCATGGCCCATTTCCATATCAGTTCAAATTTCTTGTGCCAATGACACCGAATACCTCAAAGCATCTGAGGGCATCTAGTAGCCAAATACATTTCAGGTATTAGAGAAGCCTTGGCATGGTTGTTATCTTGATATTCTCATATTATAGAAAGTGAGATGGGAAAGAGTAGCGCAGGGTGTTATGTCAGATGGGATCCAAGGATCTACACACACTGAACTCACAATTTTCAGTGAGGATAGACAGAGGAATGATGGTGGACAAAAGCCCAACAGTTGCAGAGTTAAGATGGCTTGGGCTAACATTGTCCTTAGGCCATATTCCCTTAGCATTCCTTACCCCAGAGAGTGCAATAACAATTATGATGTCTATTGGTTTGAACGTGTGATTAAAAAAATAAATAATAATTAGATTGGACGACTGGGTAATAATATAAGCTCTAACTATCTTTTAAAGTGCTCAACATCGTAGGCCAAATGTCCAAAGATTTTTGACTCATGGAAAAGAATGACATTGCATTTTCCCATCAACAGGAGAGAAATATACATACTCTGGTTGCAAGACACAGCAAGATAAGCAAGTTCACAACAGTGTGGCATCAACTCAGGTTGTTCTTTTCTGCAGGTGGAGCTTGGTATCAGGTGATGCTCATTTTCCACCACTGTGCCTTTTACAGTAGGAGACACCAGTAGTGAACCTTCGCAGGGCCCAACATGGTAACTGTGTTTTGCCTACAACCCTAAATTCATCCTGGTGGGTGTGGTGATTTGATGAGGTATAATAAGGCTTCAGGAAAAAGAAAGCAGAGACAAAAGATGAAAGAGAGAGGAGAAACCAAGTAAGTAAAGAATGTTTATACTAGTTTCCTAGCTGGTGAGAGCTACCAAATCCCTCTCCTGGTTTCAGTGCAAGACAAACAAGGAAGGAATCGTGCCGCTCAGCATTGGTTTGAAAGCACCGGATTGAGGCAGTCTCAGCCTGAGCTGGCAAACCCTGCTGGGAACCTTGGCAAATTTACCTGGGTTACTCCAACAACCCTTTCCTCCCGCCTTCCCCACCCACAGCCTGAAGGCATTAAACTGCTTCTGAGCAGCTGGCCTGGACTCTCCCTAAAGCCACACAAAGCAGCATTCTCCTTACTGCCATTACACTGGTGAACCCTTCATGGGTCAACATAGCTGTCAATTACAATCCCATTTCTTTCAAAGGGCAGTTTTAACTTTTAATATGCTCCTAGGTGTGTCAGACATTATCTATCTCTCTATCTATCTCTCTATCTATCATCTATCTATCATCTATCTATCTATCTATTATCTATCTATCAAAAAAGGCTATTAGGTTTATAAATCTTGATTTCTAATTTTTGCAACACTTCTATGAGGTAGGAAGTTGCAACATATTTACATCTAATTGACGTTTTCATGTCTTACAGGTGGTCAAAAGTGGTTTCCATTCAGCCTTGGGTAGGTCTCCCTTTTTATCCTCTGAAATACCCTAAACAGGTAATGATTGAGTGAGGTAGAGACCTTTTGAGGTGAATGTCCTTGGAGAGAGGCTCTTACTAATGTAAAAGCGCTTAGCATTTTGAGCTGTGAGACATTTCTTTCACTTCTAGTTCCCTTTGGGGTATTACCAAAGGGAGAGATGCAACTTACCATCTCAACAAGAAAGTCAGAATCATGAATCAGGACCCACAATGCAAATGATTTCATAAAGCTTGGGAAACAGTGTAACTTCTTTCTTTTCCTAGGCCCATTTTGCCTGTATTGAGATCAGTAATTGGATCCTCACCCTGAGGAAAACATAGGTTCTTCTCCATGGAAGCAACACACAGTGAGGAAGACAGAGAGACCATGCCGTACTACACAGCCTGTGTTGTGAACAACAGAACACCAAGGATCTAATGATCCAGTCACAGTGGAAGTCTTCTAGGAAGAGAAATGCCAAGCCAGCCCTGAGCCAGGGAAGCAACTCAGGCTAAAAACAGAAAGAGCTGATAGGTTTTAGGACCCTTCATTTCATAGTAATGGTGGAGAATTACTACCACAGTGAAAGGGGGTGAAAGCCCAAGATTGGAGAGTGTGGAGAAGCAATGTGGTAGTAAGAAAACCAATTACTTCAGCTCTTCAATCCTGGGAGGTTTTGAGCTATTAAGGGTGTGTGGTGGATGCCTAATTTGTCTGTCTACCTGGAACCCATCCTTGCTCTTTTGGTAAAACCGCCTGGATTTTTCCGTGGAAAAGCCTTCCCCCATCCTCAGTGTAGTCTGCTCTCAGGCTCAGTGTGGACAAGTATCCTAGTTGTCAGTCATTGTCAGTCAATCAGCTTACCTGGCTTCTGGCCACAGTGATTGGTACAAGACTGAGCAGATGATCAATTCTTTGTCAAAGACTTACGTCAGAGCTATCGGCAAAAAATAAAAAAGAGGGGGAAAAGGTTGATTCCCTCTGGACTTGCATCCATGAGGATGAAAAAATGTGAAGTGTCAGGAACTACAGGGCAAAACTGAGTCCTGACGGCATCCTTTGGGTTCCTGGATCTGCCCTGTGGTTGGGCTTTTCAGTTAAGTAATCACTGACCTTTCCTTGTCTGTTTAAGCTCATTGCACTTTGGTTTTCTGTCACTTGCACCTAGAAATCCTGACTAGTACAGAAGAGCATCAAGTAAAAACAAAGTGACTTATACAAAATGATAAAATTTTTAAATGAGCAGACAGATTAATTTAACTAGAGTGAGAGTCCGTATAAGAGAGTAATGAGAAAACCATATGATCATCCCAATAGATGTTGAAAATGCATTGGATAGACTCCAACACCATATGTGATTTTTTTAAAAGAAACAAAAGACTTAAGTAGAAATAGATAGCTATGTCCTTATCATGATCAGAAACATCTATTCTAAATGTCACCCTTGGTAATAAAACACTAGAGGCCTTCTAATTAAAAATAGCCAAAAAACTAGATAGGTAGGTAGATAGATCAACAATTTATAGATTTGATAGTTGCACAAATTCCTGACAGCTATTTTTCTTATGTTGTTCTTGGAACTTTAACAAGTGGTTCTGAAGTTTATGGAAGAAAATGCTGAACAGCTAAGGCATACTCTAAAAGATATTAAAATATATTTTAGTGCAATAATAATACAAGTAGTATATCACAGGCATAAAAATTGATCAACGCATCAGTGGAGTTGTTCAATAAGTGGTTTACTAAATTGATGGTTTGGCAGGAAATGAAGTTAGTTTTTATTTATTAAATATTTAATATTAACTGATATTGTGATACAAACTTTCTAAAAAGCAGTAGAAAAAGCAAAAAGAAGAGAAAATAGAGGAAGTTATTACACAAGAAATTATTAGTAGGTTACTTCAGCTATACATTAGGTTTCTTAGGAAAACAGAAAAATAAACAACAAACTGCAAGAAAGAATTACAACAAATGTCAGGAGATGAATATTCTTAATATGCAAAACTTTTTTTTCCAATTCGATATGAAAAATACTTATTTACTAACAAAGTCCTATGAAAGGACATGGTTTGGCAATTCTCAGGGCAAGGAAAAAATTGCAATGGTTAATACAGGAAACAGGCACTGTTGCAATCTGTTAATGGGAAAAAAAATTGTTTAAACGTTTCTAGAAGGCAATTAGGTCATAAGCATCAAGAACCTTAAACATTTCATACTTTTCCACCCAGTGATTCTGTTTTAGGATGTCTCTTGAGGATACAATCGGAGATAAACAGCCAATAAGGGCAAGATTGTTCAGAGCAGACTTACGTAAAATGGCAAAACTTGATCCAACTGAATAAATAAATTATAATACATCCATTTAATTTACAAAATCATAGAGGTATTTTCTAACACATTTTAAAATTTATAAATTTTAGAGCATGAAAAAGAATATTATTTATAAAATATAGGTAATGTAATTATAGGTTATTTTCATTTTAGTTTATTTTAGTTTGTCTTTTTAAAGAAACATCAGAAAGAAAACTGAAAGGCAAATTCGTAGTTAGTCATTTTAGATGGTCTCCTATTAATACAACTGAAAACTGCCATGATTTTTAATTTTCTTAATCAAAGTATACACTGAATATATATAAGTATGTGATTTTTAAAAAATTGCATGCATTTTCCTTTCAATAAATGCAATTTATTAAGCATATGGATAGTTGTAGTTTTAATGTTTTATATTTTATTTAAAGTTAACCCTCACATTTTATACAAAGTATTTTTCAGAGGCACGTTTTCAAATAGGACCACCAAGCTCAGTTGTGCATGTACTGTTTATGTGGATCAATCTTGTCACCTTAACTACATGAAGGGGTGGGGGAAAATATTCTTTTTCTGTGGGTTTCTTGGTAACCATGCTTAGAAAACATCTAAGGGGGCCGGGCCTGGTGGCTTATACCTCTAATCCCAGCTCTTTGGGAGGCTGAGGTGGGCGGGTCACCTGAGGTCACGAGTTCAAGACTATCCAGGCCAACATGGTGAAACCCCATCTCTATGAAAAATACAAAAATTAGCCCGGTGCAGCCGGGCGCGGTGGCTCACGCCTGTAATCCCAGCACTTTGGGAGGCCGAGGCGGGCAGATCACGAGGTCAGGAGATCGAGGCCATCCTGGCTAACACAGTGAAACCCCGTCTCTACTAAAAATACAAAAAAATTAGCCGGGCATGGTGGCGGGCACCTGTAGTCCCAGCTATTTGGGAGGCTGAGGCAGGAGAGTGGCGTGAACCTGGGAGGCAGAGCTTGAAGTAAGCCGAGATCGAGCCGCTGCACTCCAGCCTGGGCAACAGAGTGAGGCTCCGTCTCAAAAAAAAAAAAAAAAAAAAAAAATTAGCCTGGTGTAGTGGTGCAGGCCTTTAATCTCAGCTACTCGGGAGGCTGAGGCAGGAGAATCACTTGAACCTGAGAGGTGGAGGTTGTAGGAGCCAAAACTTCAGCCCAGACAACAGAGCGAGACTGTCTCAAAAAAAAAAAAAAAAGACAGAAAGAAGAGAGAAAGGAAAGAAAGAAAGAAAGAGAGAGAGAGAGAGAGAAAGAAAGAAAGAAAGAAAGAAAGAAAGAAAGAAAGAAAGAAAGAAAGAAGAGAAAGAAAGAAAGAAAGAAGGGAAAGAAAGAGAGAAAGAAAGAGAAAGAAGGAAGGAAAGAAAGAAAGAAAGAAGGGAAAGAAAGAGAAAGAAAGCAAGGAAGGAAGGAAGGAAGAAAGAAAGAGAGAGAGAAAGAAAGAAAGAAAGAAAACAGAAAATATCTAAGGGAAAAAATTAAAAATATTTAACGTTAAAATCAGGAGCCATTCTTGTACTTTCAAGCCTCTCACAATACCTGGTACCATGAGAAGAACCCTGTTGGGGTGTCAGTTAGTATGTGCGGATGCAAAGACAAGCAAATACTTCAGCCTTTCTACCCTTTGGTTTCATCATCTGTGAATGGGGATTATGAAAACTATCCACATGAAGCCCCCAAAAGGGTGCATGGCACCCAGTCACACTGTGGACATTTGCTCCACAGACTCCCCTCAGCATCCCTGGCACCGCAGAGGGACACACAGGCCACGGATGCAGGGGGAGTGTGGTGCCAGCTCTGTGGCTACGCCCACTTCCCAGGTGGTCTCCTCTCTTTACCCTGGCTGTGTTTTACTTCAGGAGAATCTGACCTGGACCCGCCCAGGGCAGAAGCAAGCGTCCAAGCTGCTCTGATGGCTGACCATGTGATTAGAAATGGATTCCTCTGTGAGCTGTACGAATCATTTATTGATAGCAAGAGTAGGTAAGGAATTTCCCATGCTTGACACACAGCTACAGCCTGGCACTCAAATGCAAGCCCAGTGCACGTGAAGGCAATCCACACCCCTGTTGCCATTGTCAGTCATGCCTCAAAATGCCCTGAAGTTTAGAATAATGTACGTGTTAGATGTGCTGAGTCCAGCTGCTAGCACACGGCTGACCCTAGCCTGCGGGCATACTGCCCAAGCCATTTCCTGCATGTGGCATGGAATTGGAAGTGAGGGAACATGGGTGGACAGAGGAAGGCTTTATCATGTTTTCTAATTGATGAGATATTTTTCAATAAAAGTTTTTGCTAACAATATCGCCTTGTGTTCCAGGGACAAAGCACTTATATTACACTAATCTTTAGGCAGGTGCCATTGTCTGTGTGATTTATTTACCTATAAGTCCTTTTTGAAAACCTCGAACTGAGGTACCATCTTCAATACTTCCTCTGTGAAAATGCAAATACTCAAGGCATTGTTGAAAGATATACTATGCCCCATCTATTGTTCTTACCTTCCCAAGGATGATTTCTGAGAGCAGGCTTGACTGGGAAGAAGGGTGCCACAAACACACTAGTCTCTGGAGGTGATGGGATGGTGAGGATGAAGAACATCATTGAGGAGGGAGGTGAGGAAGGGCATTGAGAACCTTGCTCTCATCCTGAGGGCTGGCCCAGGCTGCCCAGTCGGGGCTTGGGCATAGGTGCTGCTCCCTCTCCCCCTGTACTCCCGCTCCGATGGCTCCATTCCTTTCATCTCTGTCCCTTTACATGTATTTGTATGTGTTCGGAACTCCTTTGAATTTTCCTCCTCATGGTTGAAGACACATTTTCTCAGTTCCTTGATGATGGCCGAGGCTTGCGCATTTTGGTATCTCTCTGGGCTAGAGTAAAGGGAAGCAGAATAGAAATTCTCCTGACAATTTAGTCATGTCTGTGTCAGAGGAAAAATGGGGAATAGTTGTGAGAGTTTCAACACATCGCTGATGATACATGGGGTGTTAGAGGAATCCCACACTTACTATTTTCTCTGAAGTGTATTGAGTCTTTTCCAAGTGTACCTGTGTAAGCAATCACCTGATGTCCTAACCTTCTCCTGCCACACCTGAAGCTGGGAACCGGGAGTGAGGTTCCAGTGAGAATGCTGACCTTCAACCAAGGGTGAATAATGCCAGTGAGTTGTCTCAGAAAAGCCATTGCCATAGGTGCTTTTCTCAGATACCCGAATTGAACTTTCTCATGTCCCATCAGCACCTTGATACCAGCACAATCAGGGGCTTTTAAATATACCTGGTGGACAGATAACTTATTCCCTTTTTCAAACTAGGATACTCTCGGCTACCCACTGTAAACTAAATACTCCTCTTCTTGGAAATTCAGAATGGGTCTGTGTGATATCAAACACCTATGCTGGGAAAAACAGGAGCAAACAAAGCCATAAGGGACTGCCTTTGAAATGGAGCCTGGGAACCACTCAGCCACACAGCAGTATTTGTTTGCTTTCCTTGTTTCCTCAGAGCTGTGCTCACCTGGAGGCAACAACCTGCACTTTGTCATTTGCTGAGATGAGGAGGGACAAAGGAAGGGAGGCACTTTATCTGGCTTGTCAGCATTCCCAATGGGAGAGGGTTTAAAGAGTTCATATCTTAAGTAACCCTCAACCTGCTGTTTCTTTCACTTGGGGATATGCCAAGGGCTGTGGCTGACTCAGCTTGGGCCCAATTCTGCAGTCATTACCTAAGCCCAAAGTTCCTGATTCCTTGGTTCCTCCAGTGGGGAGTTTTGCCACATAGAGAGGGTAGGGACGGCACCTTGGCTGGGACTAGCACTGCATTAGTTATGTTTGAGGCTGTTATTTTCCTCTGAACTCTAATTGTTGGTATCAAAAGGATTAAGGGGAAAAAGCAGCTCTCTTTTCCAGGAGCAGCCCAGTTGGCAACATAGTAATCCCTCCTTGCTCCAGCAGGAGAGTAGGGGAGGGGGCAAGAGCCAAATCATTAGACTCTTTTGGGTCACAAGGAATAGACATAGGCTGTCCACCTTATTTGAGGGCTGCTGCTTGAAAGGAGACAAAATGAAGGGATCATTCTTTACTTGGACTTAAATGCTATCTACGGCAAAACCCAGACCTTGCTGATCGAAACGCCTCATTTTCCCCAGGTCAAGAGCCTGTGATTTTCTCTTCCCCAGGGCCCTGCCATATTGGTGCTGTGCCTCCTCCCTGTCTCTGTGATCAAGTAATCTAGTGACTGCGTATTTTGGGTTCAAACTCCACAAGGAAGGGTTTCCTGGTTAAGTTAATCCCTATCAGTGCCCTGTTGATGAGAGCTTTCCCCCAATCTGCCCATTGG
This sequence comes from Homo sapiens, assembly GCF_000001405.40. Classification (NCBI taxonomy): domain Eukaryota; kingdom Metazoa; phylum Chordata; class Mammalia; order Primates; family Hominidae; genus Homo; species Homo sapiens. Next base: position 41,058,782 of record NC_000007.14, on the reverse strand, counting down.
CTGACCTCTATCCAGAGGACTGTCTTTGGCCCCGATCCCCACCCTTGGTCCACAGGTGAGACCAGCTCACGGGATCCCATGGTGTGACCCATTTTGATTTGTGCCCGAGGGACTGCCGTGGCTTATGGCCTCAGATGGGGACAGTGGATGTGGCAGCACTCAGAGTATCATGTTTTGCCCAGTTCTGGAGAGGCAGGGATGGCAGTGGGATCTGCTAAATTCTCTAAATAATTTGAGGTAAAAGTTTAGCTTTTCCTCCTCTATCTTAGCATTACTCAAAAGCACCATGAGGACAATGTTTCTAATTCCTGTAAAGGACCCTGAGCAGCTCTGGCACATGGAGGACTCACCAAAGAGCTAAGCTCTAGCACACCTGGGTGCCAGCACCTCAAGAGTGAATTTGGGTCCTGTTAAGTGTGAGAGGTGGTGACAGAGGTGACACTGACAGATTGAGCAAGAGAGGAAGGGTCTTGGTGGTTGAAGCTTAAAGAGAACTGACTGTGAGATCACTTGGAAACCCCCTGATGACCCTAAAACCTAAATGTGGGACCTTTGGGAAAGGGCTGGAGCCCTAAACTGACAGGCACAAGAGAAACCACTAAAGCACGTGCTATGATAAGGATAAGAACAAGAAAAAATCATCAGGAAAGGAATAGAAAAAGAAAAGTAAATTAAGGGAGAACTTCAGCTTTGTAATGTGGAGAAATCAGCAGCCAATTCTGAGATTCCTTTCACTCAGGATTTTAGAAAGATATCCAAAATAAAGCCCAACCCAAGAACAATAATTGTTATTCCCAGAGCAGTGAGAGAGTATATATATATAGACATACATATACATACATACATATATACCACACCAGGAGTCAACAAAAGTAACTGTATTAGTCTGTTCTCATGCTGCTATGAAGAAATACCCGATACTGGGTAATTTATAAAGGAAAGAGGTTTAATTGACTCACAGTTCCACAGGGCTGGGGAGGCCTCAGGAAACTTACAATCATGGCAGAAGGGAAAGCAAACAGGTCCTTCTTCACATGGCAGCAGGAAAGACAAGTGCAGGGTAAGTAGTTGGGGGAAGCCCCCTATAAAACCATCAGATCTCATGAGAACTCACTCACTATCATCAGAAAATAAGTATGGGGGTAACTGCCCCCATGATTCAATTACCTCCCACTGGCTTCCTCCCCCAACATGTGGGGATTATGGGAACTACAATCCAAGATGAGATTTGTGTGGGGACATAGCTAAACCACATTAGTGACATTTTAAGGGAAATGCCATCAAATGATGGTTTGAGATGAAAATGATGAGCTTTGGAGCTGAAATGGGCAGAAAAATTCAGGTTGTAAGCTTTATCTTGTGGAGCAAACCAAGTTGCCAGCCCAGCTGAAACAATAATCTATTATATGAGCTTCTGACCACACTAGATATCAACATCTTGGTTATAATAGTTCATTCAACCCACCAGGTGAATACGTCTACCTGTAAACATACCTTGTAAGTGTTCCTTAACAGGAGACCTTAGGAAGGTAAAAGAAGAGGATTTGTTAAAAATGGATGGAGAATGATATTTTAAGATACAAGTCAATACAAATTAATACATACCATAAATCAGCAATTTTTTTAAAAGTGGCTTTAATATAAATTTGCAGTTCTTCCACGTTTAGGAGTTGTTGGGAACTCATAGACTGGGAGTAAGCTAGTGTTGTGATATCCGTCAAGTTAAGCTCATATTCCTCCAGCTCTACTGGTGTTCTGAACACCAGTAGATCTACCCCATGACCTCATTTTCTTATAGCAGGGCTTTCCCTCATCTCTCCTGCTGATAAAGTGTCTCAAAGTTAATTTTAAGATCGGTCTTTATCAGGAATTGCTAATGAGGCTGTGCTTCCCGCCAGTCCCATCTGGAGATACTGATTGCCTGTTCTGCCTGGGTCCCTGGGCATTCTCTCCCATTTCCTCCCGAGTTCTTCCTCTTTTTGTTGGGTTCCAGGTTACCTCTGATATTCCTGATTTGTGTTCTCTGCCTGCTGTGGTTATGGAAAGACCTAATTCTGCCTCTTGGGTTAGGTCAGAATATCCCTCAATATTAAGCAGAAATATAAATTCCATGCCCTGCTCCATGCAATGCTGGTAGGAGTCCCCTCGATAACTGCAACTTAGGAGCGACTCCTGGTTAGCCATATTATGCCTCCTGTGACAAAGGCTTTGGTTACTAGAGCTGCAAAGAGGCTCCAAGCGCTTCTGCATACCCCCAACACCAATATATTTTGTAGTTTCTGAAAAGTACCAAGCCTCCTATCACAAGAACTGCTGTGACCTACACCACCCCTCCAAGCACGATCATCCCACCACTATTATTTTATACTTGTATATTGCTTTGTAGCTATCAAGGTGTTCCCATAATCTTTGCCATGTCTGATATGCACTAACTCCTATGACCTAGTCACAGTACCTGTTGTTATTTTGACTTTTTAAAAATGAGGATTCCAAAACTTAGGCTATGTGCCTCAAGGTCAAGGCTTGGCCCTTGGCCCAAGGTTACATGGCTAGTAAGTGGCAGAGCCAGGTTAAGCCAGATGCTCAAGGCATTCACTATGCTCAGGGCCCCTCTTCAGCTTAACCTCTCCCCCATCATTTGTCCAACTCCACAGGGAGCTGCCCTCTGAGAGCTTCGAAAGATGAAGTCTGGAAAGGATCTGACAAACTCATGAGTCTCAACATGTCACCCCTCTCAAGGACATTGCATTTTGATGAGCTTTGTTCAGTTATGTAACATGAAGGAACGCTCTCCTAAATATAAAATTGCAGACATTGGTGAGAAGTTAGTTGAGGAGGTATTGGTGGAAAATGGGAACTTTCTGACACCTCTCAAATCACATCCTGTCCAGGATCCTCATCAGATGGACTCCCTATTCCTCCTGAGGCCGACCCACTTTGGAGGTGTTGATTTATGCGTACGCTAGGAGAGTAAATCCAGGCAGAGGGGCTGCATTGCCGTTCATTGGTAGCAGGGTCTGTGTTGTGTTTCGATCTCACGCTTACTTATCAAACATGCACGGGCTTTTCTCATGCATTTTTTTAGTCCAGTTTTACTTTATTCCCTGTCACATCTGGTGGTACCAGGTCTCTAACCATAAAAAGAGGCAGCCCAGCAATCCAAACCTTGAACCCGCAGCAACTGTGGCAAACAGCAAGGAAGGGTTAACCGGTTTTGCACGAAGCAAGCCTGGCTCACCCCTGCGAATCTCTTTTTCACATTTGCTGCTTATTCATAACTCAAGCCCATCTGCTGCGCAAGTAATGATCAGCGGCTCCTGTTTCAGATGTCAACCGCCCCAGCTGTTTCTCTCTCTCTGTAAACACGAAGCGGGGAGCAATTACCACAAAATTAATATCCAGGCTTGATTATTTCTATGCCATGAAATGAAGACTGATGAGCTCTCTTCCACGCCCACCACCACCTCAGCCTCACACAATGCACACCTATGCAGCACAGCCCAGGCTAAAACCTCCCAAGAAGTCCCAGGTCGGTGAAGCTTGGAGGCTATGCTATGACCCAGGCCACCTGGAAATGCCAAAGTGAGCCTCATGTGTGTGGGAAAGCTGACAAAAAACTTAATTCCTGCTAGGCTTTGAGAGTGAAGTCCACACTGAAATTGAGCAATGAGGCTTGGAGACACTCCATTTAAGGTCAGGCTGACTCTTAGATAGGTTTTGATAGAGAGTCCTCATAACTCCTTCCATCAGCATTCTTTGATTTAAGGTAAATGTCAGACACAAGTCATTGTGGACAGCATGTCTCCCTCTCTGTTTTTTTCTCTACCATCCTGAAGCGGCAGGAATTGGAATGATCGGCCTCATCTCAAAAACTTCCTTCCATTATTGAACAAGCCTGTATGAAACATCAGCACATCTTCCTTCAGTCACAAGCATGCACTGAAGCCCCTGGTATGAGGCGCTAGCAAATGCAAGGCTCCACACAGAACATTTCCTGCCCTCCCCAGACTTCATGCTGGGGTAAGCATTTAAAAAAAAAAAGAGGATGAGGAAAACTCAGTCTGCCTGGCTTCAGCTCTTGGCTCTGCTACTTGCCATGTGCATGGTCTTGAGGAAGTTCCATGACCTGTCTGTGCCTCAGCTTCCTCAAGGATAAAATGAGGCTATACGGTTGTGGAGAGGACTGAAAGAGCTAATCGGTATGAAGTGTTGACTGCAGGCCCTGAACACATAAGTGAAATACAGGCGCTGTTGGTGTGCTGCCCCACTACCTTGAAGAATTTCCATGTAATAATATCTGGACAAACCATTGGGCGGCTTCACAGAGGAAACACACGTCAGCCAAGTCTCGATCAATGAACAGGAGCTCAATAGTCTGAGAAGATATGGAAGGCAAAGGAACAGCCATGACAAAGTGATGAAGGAATACAATGACAAAGGAATACACATTCGACATTAATTAAGTCATCCAGGGAAACAGAAGTGTAGGGTGCATGGTGGCAGGAAGATGATAGAGCAAGAAGGGAAGTTAAGTTTGGAACAGATTGAAAAAGACCCCAGTGATAAACTAAGAAGTTAAGATGTGTTCTTATAAAGAATGGGAAGCCTTGGTAAGTCTGTCAGTAAGGACATAACCCAAACAAATCCATACCAAAATAATTACTAAGAGCAGGCTGTTTGGAGGCTCAGTTGAAGTAGCCTCCTGACAAGGAAGTCAGCAGGACACCCCCCTCCTGGAGGAAAAAGGTTTTAACCGGCATGGGATTTTATTCAGCTTATTCTAACTTACTAAAGAGTGTTGCATTTTTTTTCATTGACTCATTGTAATTGTACATATTTAAGGGGTACAATTTGATGTTTTGATACACCCATATGTTTATAATGATCCAATCAGTATATTTAGCTTATTCATCACCTCACGCATTTATCATTTCTTTGTGGTGAGAACTTCTGTCTTATGAACCAGCTTCTTCGGTGTGTGTGCATGGGCATGGGAGTGTGTACATGGGTGCATGCATGTGTGTGCCTGTACAAGGATGGGCATACGTGTGTGCTCATATGTGTGTATATGAGTTGTAGGGAGCGAGAGTGGATCCAGTAAGAAGGGTCAGATTTGCATGATAAAATATCAGCGACTTCTAACCCTGTCCCTAAAAACCTTTTATTCATCCCACTATTCTGAAATTTCGTTAATGGAGGTCCGATTTATTCTTTTTTTTATTTTCTTTTTTTGAGATGGAGTCTCACTCTGTCACCCAGGCTGGAGTGCAATGGTGCAATCTCGGCTCACTGCAACCTCTGCCTCCTGAGTTGAAGTGATTCTCCTGGCTCAACCTCCCGAGTAGTTAGGATTACAGGCATGTGCCATCCCACCCAGCTAATTTTTGTATATTTAGTAGAGACGGGGTTTCACCATGTTGGCCAGGCTGGTCTCAAACTCCTGACCTCAAGTGATCTGCCTGCCTTGGCCTCCCAAAGTGTTGGGATTACAGGCGTGAGCCACCACACCTGGCCCTCAAATTACTCTTCATGTTCAGCTTAACTATACCTATGGTGGTAGAGAACGTTTGCAGGTGAACCCCCTTGCCACCAACTAGATAGTTCTGTTGCCTTGTGTGAGTTATATAACCCAGCTTCTTAACTTATAAGTGGGGATAATTGAGAGGATGTAAGGAGTGCTGTAAGGATAAAGTAAGACAGCAAACCACTTAGCAAAAGGCCTCATATCTACTACGCGTGAAATAAACATGAGCTGTCGCTATTGCAGAAGAATGTGGAAGCACACTGACATGCTGATGTGGCTCACCATCAGGTGTGAAGTCAGATATGGCTCCTTCCCGAGCCCAGGCCAGAAACCCTGTGAGGGCGTGATTAAACCTTGTAATCCAAGCTCTGCCATTCATTATGTGGCCTGCACCTCTCTGCGCCTGAGCCTTCTGTTGTGCCAGATGGAGATGATGACCATGCACCTACTGCAAGGAGTTTTGTGCAGATGAGATGAGTTGATATATGTAAAGTGGTGGGAACTGTGCCTAGCTTACAAGTGGTGCTATTTAAAGTTGGCTACTGATCCTATGAGGAAAGAGGAAAGGTAGAGACAAGGGGCTGAGGGAAACAGATTTCCACGGAGAAGTTCAAGGCCAATGAATAGGAGGATGGGGATGCTGAAGACCAACTTTTCTGACGACCAGGTTCTGAGCACACAATAGGACCACAGCTGTCCCTGGAACTGGCATGCTGTGTCTACAGGCTCACTACACTGTCCTCCTAGGGTCCTTCCCAAGCTAGAACAAAAAACAATGCCAAAAGTACAGTGCCAGACTTCTAGGTGGTCCCAACATGATGACTTGGAGGGGATGGCATTCTTTTGGACATATGAACTCTACTACTTGTATTAAATATTACGTTCCTGCATAGTCACCATTCTTTAAAGAGTAATAACAAGCTGGGAAAATGAGGAGAGACACACAAAGCTAGTTCCCCTGCCTATGAGTAACTGCTTGCCTGGAAACAAGTGCTTGTCTCTTGTTGAGAAATTCCAATGTACATCTAATGTTTCGAAAAAAAGAGTGAAAAGAATCAATCATTTGCATTATCAAAGGATTCTTGGCTTCAAGGGGAATAAAAAGAAAGAAAAGAAATGTAAAAGAGAAAAAAAGAATTCCCCACATGGTTTCTTTAAATGGTATCCTTTCTTGGTGAATTTCAATCCTGATTCAATTTGCAAATATTGGATTTATACTGCTGTGTATAAACCATATGTTCTGGAGGAGAGTTAAAAATGTGTAAAGTGAGGCACCCCTGTAGGAATGATATTTAGGGGGAATTAAAGCAAACTGGGAAAAAGGAGCTCCGTTTTTTTTTGTTTTTTTTTTTTTTTAAGAAATGGAGTAATTTAACTTAGAGTGTGTGAGCTTAAACATCAGCTGAAAAACAGCTGCTCCTCAGAGGAGGACGAGCCAAGAGTGAGGTTGGGAGGAAGTTGAGATGAGAGCTGTTTAGTTCTTCAATGCTCCTGTGTGTGGATAAAAGGGTGAGAAGGAGGAGATCTTCTTTGGCACAAGCAGCAATTCGAAGCGGTTCTAGAAGTTTCTGCCTGACTGAATCCATTCTTCCCCCTTTGCCGGCTGGAGTGGAGGAGCAGGGCCAAACACACAGAGCAGCACTGTCGCAGGGCAGCGGGTCAGGCACCTGTGAAGCCGCAGCCACATTACGTTCTTCAGGAGCTGCTTTTTGACTTAGCCGAGCACAATTTTCCATCCCATATGTGCAAAGCATTTCATCCATTAGCGTCTTTTTGGCTTCTTTGGACTTCTTTTTTTCCATTAAAAAAAAAAGCCCAAAAATAAAAACCTCCCAAACTCCAACTCATCACACACAAATATTTTGCTTCTGAAATCCACTCCATTTTCTCGTCAAAGACTGGCATATTTTAACCTGCAAAGGCTCAACTGCCCTCATCTGCTTTTGATTAATGCAAGTTGCCTCTTTCCTGGGTCTGAACCCGATCACATTAAACAAGGTATTTTGCTAAGTGTTGCGAGGCATAACAAGAGATCATGAGCAGCTGTCTTAAAGGAGCTTACGTTTTAATTTAATGTAATTTAATTTTAATTTAATTTCCATGTAACTGCCTGTCTGATTTCCTCAATTTCTACTATAGCGTAACCTCCCCTCCCAGAAAAAAATAACACATGCTTCTAAAAAACTTGCAAACCGACACTGTAAATCCTGTGTGGTTGAGGTAGGGCATATGTGGGTTAATGTGTGCCTATATGCACACTCACCCACCCACACTCACAAAGATACGCCGGTATCCAGATTCTATGTTGTGGCCATGCTTTGTCTTGAATTATCTAACATTTTTTAGGATCTTGACCAAAACATCTTTTGACCTAAAGACCACATGTAGCCCTGATATGACTACACATCAGGACCACGGTGAGGATGGTTTTAAAAGAGAGAAGGACAGAGGATAAGAATTGCCACAAAAGACACTACTGCCATCGTGCAAGAGTGAGATGATAATGGCCTGAACAAGACCATTATTGTGGGAAAAGAGTCGAGTCAAGACATATTCAAAAGTCAGTTTGCAAGACTTGCTGGCTTCCTGGATTTGGGGAAATAGGAAGTTTGTGGCCTCGGTTCACTCCCTGGTATCCAACCAGGTGACTAGGAAGATGGCACTAATGTCCACTAAGATACAAAATTCACTGCAAGGAGCAGGCATGGGGCAGAAAAAGAATGAATTAAGATTGGGACAAATTAAGTGTGATTTGATTCTGCGAATTCTAAGGATCTATATCCAGGCAGCAGTTGTAGAAGAGTCTGGAGCAGACAGGAGAGGTCACTGCTGAACAGGACAGTGAATCATCAGAGAGGCAGGCAAAGCCATGTACACCAAGGACAGATGGGGCTGTAGGTGTGAGTGGGAAACTGTGTCAGTTTAGGTGTCGAGGAAGGTTAGGATTGGGACTTGTCCACTGGATTGAGCCAAAGGTGGCCTTTCCCAGAAAGTCACAGTGATGTGGTTGGGAAGGAAGACAGCAGCAGAGGCTTTGGGTGTGGGTGGAGGGCTGTCAGGCAGACGTGGCAGTGGGTGCAGTCACACAGATCACCACAGTAATCCTGGTATTTGTTCTGCAATGACACAGGTTACAAAGGGGATCAGAAAAGCATTGGAGGTGGTGTCATGGCAAATCCACATGCATTCCTAGGAAATGCACAGGGTACAGAGCATCACTCTAGCCTCTGGTTTCATTCTCCTCCCAGACACAATGCACAGGACCTGATGTGTGTGCCCCCAAAACATGAAAGGACTCGGATTCCATGCAAAGGAAGGATTAATACACATTAATACATTAATTTCTTTCAACATGCAAAGGAAGGATTAATACACATTAAGGAATGTATCATCATGGTGGTCCTAACAAAATCGATGCATTTATAAATTGCCCTCACCAACTTCCCTGGCCACTGGGTAGCAGGCTGGTAGTTGACTGACACCAGCCTCCTCAGGTGACAGACAATGCCACCGAATGGCTGAACATCTCTTCTTTAGTATTTAGTAGGCATTAGAAGTTCAATTGGAAGTGATGGCCAGAGGTGGCCAGAACTCCAGGCCTCAACTGTGTGCAAAGGATTTATCAGGGATATTGGTTCAACTCTCAGTTTCTCTACCAAGCTCAGTCCCAAAAGTGTGTCCAATTCTTGAATCCTTAAAAACATAGATGAAACAGTTCTAACATATGGCAGAATTCTAGAGCAACGCTGTCTTGGAAGACATCTCTCCGAACAGGCTCCCCTTCAGATTGAAGGGATATGTGGTGGGTAAGTTCTTTCTTTAGCAGTTGTGGTGCCTCTGCCTTGATACCCTCCTTGGGGCCCGCAGCAGACACTCAGAAAATACATCATGGAAGGCATGTGTTTGGGAATACCTGGCTAGGGTTAGATGCTATTCATGGATATTGACCAACACCTCAGACCTCTGTAAGCCCAAATGCCCTCTCCATACCCTGATCAGGGTGATGGCCTCTGGCTGGTTCCCCTCACGTCTGAAACCACATATAGGAGAGTTCCCTCATCCATGATTATGTGTGCCCACTCACTTATTAATTTCTGCCCTCAGTGAGGAATATAAAAAAGCTTATAAACAATATAGGTGACTTAAGTGTGTGTTTCTGTTAATAATGCTGTCTCTTGATCTTGACTTGCTGCACTTGGAAATCTTTGCCCACCTTGCCTGAATGACCTCCGGCCCCTTCTAGGTAGAGGCAGCTCGTCCCAGTGGTGGAGGGTGTGGCCTCTGGCACTGCACTGCCTGGGTTTGCTTCCTAGCTATGCCACCAACTATCTTTCTGCTGGCAGCAAGTTGCTTAGCATCTCTGTGCCTCAGCTTCCCAATATCTAAAATAGGAAAAAAAATAGCACTTCTCTTCTCTGGCTATTTTGAGAATTAAATGAGTTAACACCTGTTATGTTGGCATTTGGGGCTGGATAATTATTGGCTGTAGGGGCTGTCCTGTACACTGTAGGGTGTTAAGCAACATCCCTGCCCTCAGCCCCATAAATACCAGTATTACTCTTCTCCTGCCCCTAGTAGTGGTAACTAAAAACGTCTCCAGACATTACCAAATGTCCCCTGGAGTGCAAAACTGCCCCTGGTTCGAAACTATTGCCCTAGAGTCTCAGAAAAGCTCAAGGAATTCTGGCTCCAACACCTACTATCAGTGTGGCTATGTGTTAGTTTCTTCATTAACAAAAATACCAAGCACATCATATTTTTTAAATCTTAGTTGAAATAATTCTAGTACCTTGCTTAGAACAATGCCTGACCCATAGGAAGTTTCAATAAACACCAGCTATTTTAATTACTGTTTCACCTTTTTTTTTTTTAGCCGATGAGGAAACAGAGAAGTTAAACAACTTGCCACATTCTCAGCCGAGGGTGTGGCTGAGCCAGGGTTCAAACCCAGACCATCAGCCATCGCAGCCATATGCTCTCAACCGGGCTTTCCTAAGAGGAGCACTCAGGGAGCACCCATGACTATAAATTCCTCAGGGCCAAGCTGCTTGGGGTCCTAGTGGGATGAGGAGGTTCTGAGCTCCGTGACTCTTCCCTGACGGCAGCTCAGAGCCTTCTACATCAGGGCAGCAGGGGCCAGAGCAGCTCAGCCCAGCGGCCGCAGCAGTTCACTGACATTTGACATTGTTTGTCGGCAGTCACAAGTGGTCACTATCAAGGATTACTATTTGTGTATCTGTGAGTCACAATATGCCAGATTCATCAGAGCCAGATGTCACAGTGAAACCAGATGAGGCCCTCAGACAAATCCCACGCGCTTCGTGTGTCAGGCCTATATCCATTCATAAAACAGCTCCCTCCCAAAATATAAGTCTTGAGAAAAAAGAAAAATCTGAAGTTGGTTGTGCAATTCTGAGACTAGTTGCAATTGATTTCCAAGCCTTTCCCGCAATGCCTCTCATACTTTTAATTCTGGATTATTCTTCTACGGCTCAAAGCAGAGAAGGAGACATAGTGTCCATCATTTTACCCCAGAAGAGACAATAGAAATGGAAAGACTTCAGTAGGTGAGCTCAGAATAATAACATTATTTTTGCTATTGTAAATACAAAAGCTACTGAAATATCTTGTGGTCAGAATAAGACAGACGTGCCACTAAACCCCTCCCCACTTCTTTCTTTTCTTTCTTAAACTTTGGACTGAGCCACTTTCTCAGAAGCACAGCTGAAAAACCCTTAAAAACACATGCACGCATACACACTAGTCTCAGGAGTGCGAGGTGTCTGGAGTAAGGATTAGAGAGGTTCAAGTCGGTTCCCCTTGTTAAAATTACAGCTGCACCAAAGATGGTACAGTATATCAACCCAGGGCTCAGGAAACTTGTCCAGTTCTCAAGAATGAGAAAATGCAGCTGTGCTGGATCAGACAGATTGTGGAGGGTGAAGCTTCCCTCTCCCCTTCACCACGCTGTCCAGAAAGAAAGGTCAGAGAGATGCCCAGCTGTGCCAGGCAGCATCCAGGAGGACTGGGGTCAAAGCATGTGCATTTGTCATTCTGCAACTGTTCAAAAGACAGGTACACATTTTAAACAATAACAACAAGCATGGAAAATAAGCCCTGTATTTAGCATTTTTTCATTTTTCAATTTCACATTTTCTTTTCCTCCAGGGGTTGAAATTTAATCTGTCTTTTAGCAAAATGGAGCTGGCTCTCTCTCTTCTTCTGGCTTTTTCTCCCCAGTATACTCCCAGTGCCTATCCCAGAGATATGCTCAGCTGATTATGAAGCCTGTGCATTGTCGCCGAAGCCTGTTGTCACTATGGAAATGTGTTTGAGGGCAGGTGGTTTTTTCATCTACCCTCACTTGCAAACACACACACACCTTTGCAGCCATGGTGACCCTGCTAATCTTCAAGTTCAGCACTTGTCAGGTGCTGACACAGAAGGAATCCCAATACAAAATGCACCCATCGTGGGGCGTTCATGCATGTGAGTGTGTGTGTTTGGCTCCCCTGTAAGGTTTCCAATTTCCCATGGGACCCACTATTGCAGTAATTGGAGTGATGCAACCTCATTCAGTAGCTGTTCTAAGAAACTTTGGCCCAGGGCTACACTTGTCCCTCTTCCTGAGATGTCCTCCTTGACATTTCTCCCCTCCCCAAGAGGCACTTTTGGTAAGTGAGGCAACACAAACATCATTCACCAGCTGCACACCGGCCCCTGAGTTTGACGACCTACGTTATTGGCTAGCAGAGTCATTTTTTAGTTTAACTCACATCCGGTTAGGCACAAAGATATTTTTAAGGCTACTTGGTGGGGGGCGAGAACACATCAGGGGTCACTCCAAATTCATTCCAAATCAGAGCCTCTCAGGCCAACCCCACAGAGAGCCAGAAGGAGGAAATGACTCACTCCCTGGGCCCATTGCTCTCTCGTAATATGTTAAAACTCCTTCTCCCGTGCAGAAGTCCAGGGACCATCACTGAGGTTCAGCTGCTACTTGAAGTCAAGTCCTGCCCCAAAGGCACCCATTGCCCTCCTCCTCTTAGAGGAAGCCCATGTTCTGTGGATATGTGTATGTAATGGGCCATCCTTATATGGAATAAAAAGTTGACAGAAACAGGTTTCCCAGCTTCCCACTTTCCTGTGATGATCTCTGAATGTCGGTTGGTGAAATGAGATGATTAATAAATCCCTAATAAATAGGAATCACTCATTTCCCTTACCTCACCATTCTTCAGATCCATTATTTTCAAGTGAACTGGTAGATACAGTTAGAACTGTATAACGATGCATTGTCCTTCATTGGGCCAAAATTTATAATATTTATGTACTCACTCATTTATCCATCAGGCCATCCATCTATTCAAAAATGCCTAAGTGCCCAGTCTCCAGCACAGCGAGACCAGGAGACAGATGCCATTCTAGAGCTGATGGCTGCCTGGGGTTGGAGAAAGGCCAGGGAGTAAACAAAGGCAATCCTGTGGCACCAGATCTGAGGCTTGGAAAGCATGTGAGTGGCATCAGGCAGGTGGTCAGTGCCACCTGCAGGCAGCAGGAAGGCTTCTGAGGCTGGAGGAGCAGGTATTTCCAGGCATGGAACTGGCAAAGTCACAACAGGCAATGAAAGATCTTTGAGCCATTTCACCTCTTGCCCTTACTCATGGGACTTTTTCTTCCTTGATTTCCCTAACCCAGCATGAAGGAAACTCTGGCACACAGCAGAAAGCTAGCAAAAGCCCACTGAGAGAGGTATGAGTACATTAATAGTGATGAGTAGTTAAAAGAAAGATAAATACAATAATTTTTTTAAAAAGTGAAGGCAACTGCATGGGAGGATCGGTGAACACAGGGTTGTGAATGGCTGCTTGTGGCTCACTCATCCATGGCAGACACCACTGCGCACCACGGAAGGCTTTCCAGTTGAGTTAAATGGCAAAGGACTCACAGCCCACCCTATTGGAGTATAAACTGGCACACAAAACGGAACCTACTTGCCATTTGCATTTGTAGACTATTCTTATGAGGATCTTGACCATGAAGAGTAAAATAAATAAAATCCTATAAAATATTAGAGAGGAGAATATTTTCTCTATTAGAGTCTTTGAATGTACCTGGAAAAAATATAAAATAGAATGTCTACATAGCAGTCATATCGCATATGGTAACAGCACTAAAAGAAACGGATATTTCTAGAATGCGTATAATTTTTTTCACTGTTGTATTTGTTCCTACATTCAACAAGTAATTTGGATTACCTGTGATGTGCAATGTGCTCTCTCGGAGGGTATTGTGAGGGTTATTGAATTGTGAAGATAAAGGGTCATGGGTATTGCAGAGAGAAGGATGAACTTTCCAAAGTCAGCATTTAAGAAAGATCTAAAGGACGTAGAACTGGACTTGAAAAAAAAGTGGGTTGTAACTTATACATGTGGGAATTGGTATGACATTTTAGAAAGAAAAAAATAGCCTGAAAACGCAGAAAAATAAAAATTAGGAGGAGAGGGAATTACAGGGAAAAATTTAATGTGTCCAGAATATGTATGCTCTATGCTGAGTGCAGCCTGGGCATTAGTTAACTAAATCCTCTCTTAATCATGTTCTGTCAGTCAGTATAAGGGTCCAGCAGACAGTGTACTCATATTCTTATATGTTGAGACCTTAAGAAAAATAAGTGACATTTTTAGGAAGCAGAGATCATGAGAGTCATAGCTAATAGGACCTCATTCATTGTGTCTATTTGGTCCTGGGAGAAAAGCTCAAACCACTGGCTCAGTGCCAGGCTGTCCTTCCACCTCTTGGTAGGAAGCGTATACAGCCAGGCTTCTTGTTCCCAAGAAACAAAATATAATGGATCTGTTGGAAAAAAATTATTTAATTGCTTTGATCTTCATTTTTCTCAGATGCAAATTGTCGAGAAATATCAGCCTCAAAGGATTGTTGTAATTAGTAGACAAAATATATGAGTCTAGCCAGATAGAGAGTAAGTGCTCAGTATACATGAATTATGGATTGTGGATAGTAAAAGCATGTTTCTGATATTGGTGGTGCATCAGAATCACTCAGAGGGCTTCTTAAAACACGGATTTCTGGGTCCACCTCCAGAGATTCTGATTCTGTAGGTGTGGAGAGGACCTGAACATTGCAGCCACAGGTGATGCTGCTGGTTCATGGGCCACTCTGTGGAGACCCTGCACTGGGCTATACTGCTTTTCTCTGCTGCATCACTTGACACACCCACTCAGGGGCCTCTAAACAACTCTGGACTCAGAGATAGAGCTGATAAACTCATCCAGGAAAATGTTTTAGATAACCCAATTTGCTACCTATTAATTAAAATAAATGAGAACAAAATAAAATGGTAGAATTTATTTCAGGCACTTTAGGTCCTGAAGTGAAAAAAATATATAGAGAAAGAAAGAGTTAGGAATGCTTTTGAAACCATACCTTTCCTATTAGTGCAGTGATATTGGAAATTTGAGAATTTCCTGGCTAATAAAATGTAGTCATCTTTCTACATAGCAAAAAGGCTACTGACTTCATTTGGCCCGTGAATATTATAGAATTCAAGTTGCTTTTTTTATCTATTCTTCCCCTTCTCTTTTCCACCCTCCCAACTCCATTATCCAGGACAGGGCTACACTGGGCACTCAAGGACAGCTTTGGCTGACACTTCTACAATAGACAAAGCATTGTTTAATTTGACACCCAACTGAGCATAGATGAAGCAGCCCTGGGAATAGGTCAGACACATTCTCTAAACTTTAAGGTTTCTTCTCAAATGTCTTAACGTTAAGGTTGAAAGACAGAAAACCCTAACCCACATCTCCCTCTCAAATATCCTGAGGTTGCTGAGTAGAGCTTTAGAACAGAAACTTAGCTCTTCTGGGAAACCACCAGTTTTCCAACAAAAGACACAGCACAATGAAAACTTCTGAGATTAATTGGAAAGTAGCAGATGTGGAAAGAAACAGCAGTATGCTGGCCATACATGTAAATAATCCTGCCTCCCTTAGTCCCCATCTCTAGTGGAAAATCAGCATAAAACTACTTTCTGAGAAAACTCTATGTGGAAGAATAGATGCCTCCCTCTCAGTACAGGTTAGCAGCCGCATCAGTTAGGAGGGTCCCACGCAAGCAACCAGGAACAGCTTCAAAACATTGCTGACCAGTGGAATCTGAGGTGAACTTCATACCGTCACCTTAAACAAAGAGGGAGAGACCATAACGCACGTGGCTGCTTCTTTACAAGAGATTTTCCCCATAAACCTCATTGCCTTTGCTATCCAACTGGCTCCCACCAATGTGTGCTCATGAACGTGTAAGCAAAGGAAACAACATTTATTGAGTGCCTTCCTATGTACTAGATCTTGTGCTAGGTACTTTACAAATAATATCTCATTTAATCTTCACAGCAACCCTGTGAGGAAATGCACATGTTGCATTAACAGATGAGGAGATGTGGGCTTAACCAAGGTGCAGCCACTTGCTTAATGTTAGTGATATGACCAGGATTACAACCTGGGCCTATTTGAAGCAACATCCAACCATTGCTGTCACCAAAAGATCTGTCTGGCTTTTTCTAATTTTAAAATTACAGTAAACTACACATAACAAAATTTACCATCATAATCATTTTTAAGTATATAGTTCAGTAGTTACGTATATTCACATTGTTGAGCAACCAATCTCCAGAGACTTTTCATCTTAAAAAACTGAAACTCTATACCTATTGAACAATAACTCTCCATTTTCCCTTCCCCTCTGCTCCTGGCAATCATCATCTTACTTTCTGTCTCTGTGAATTTGACTACTCTAGATACCTCATGTAGGTGGAATTACAGAAAATTTGTCTTTTTCTGACTGGTTGATTTCACTTAGCATAATGTCCTTAAGGTTGATGCATATTGTAGCAAATGTCAGAATTTCCCTCCTTTTTAAGGCTGAATAATATTTAAATTGTAAGTATACGGCACATTTTTTTTATCTGTTCACCTATTGGACCTACACTAGAGTTGTTCCCGCATTATAAGTATCATGAACAATGCTGCAATGAACATGAGTGTGTAAATATCTCTCTGAGACTCTACTCTCAATTCTTCTGGATATATACCCAGAAGCGGAATTTCTGGATCACATGAACATTTTATTTTTAATTTTTTGAGGAACTATCATAGTGTCTCATTTTACATTCTCACCATTTTACATTCTCACCAACAGTGCCTGCAAAAAATTCCAATTTCTCTACATCCTTACCGACATTTATTTTCTGTTTTTTTTTGTTTTGTTTTGTTTTGTTTTTTAAAGTAACCACCTTAGTGGATGTGAGGAGTGTGGTTTTGATTTGCATTTCCCTTAGGATTAGTGATGTTGGGCATCTTTCCACATGCTTATTAGCCATTTGTATATCTTCTTTAAGGAAACATCTATTCAAGTCATTTGCCCATTTTAAAATCAGGTTATTTGTTTTCTTATTGTTTAGTTGTAGTTCTTTGAACATTTTGAATATTAATCTTTATCAGATACATAACTTGCAAATATTTTCTCCCATTCCATAGGTTGTCTTTTCACTTTGTTGATTGTGTCCTTTGATGCATAGAAATTTTAAAAATTTTGATGTGGTCCAATTTATTTTTTCTTTTGTTTTCTGGGCTTTTGATGCATGTCAAAAAATCGCCATATTCAATCTCATGAAGCTTTTTCTCTATTTTTTTTTTTTTTGGTAAGAGTTTTGTAGTTTTAGCTCTTATGTTTAGGTCTTTGATCTATTTTGAGTTACTTTTGTATATTCTGTAAGGTAAGGTTTCAACTTTACTCTTTTCCATATGGGTAACCAGTTTTTTGAATACCACTTGTTGAAAAGACTGACCTGGCTGGGCATGGTGGCTCGCGCCTGTAATCTCAGCATTTTGGGAAGCCAAGTCAGGAGGATTATTTTAGCCCAGGAGTTTGAGACCAGCCTAGGCAACGTAGCAAGACCCTGTCTTCACAAAAAATTAAAAATTAGCAGGCCGAGTGTGGTGGCTCACACCTGTAGTCCCAGCACTTTGGGAGGTTGAGGCAGGTGGATCACGAGGTCAGGAGTTTGAGACCAGCCTGGCCAACATGGTGAAACCCCATCTCTACTAAAAATACAAAAATTAGCCAGGTGTGGTGGCACACACCTGTAGTTCCAGTTACTCGGGAGGCTGAGGCAGTAGAATTTCTTGAACCTGGGAGGCAGAGTTTGCAGTGAGCCGAGACTGTGCCACTGCACTTCAGACTGGGCGACAGAGTGAGACTTCATCTCAAAAGAAGAAATTAGCCAGGCATGGTGGTATATTCCTGTAGTCTCAGCTACTCAGGAGGCTGAGGTAGGAGGATCACGTGAGCCTAGGAGGTCAAGGCTGCAGTGAGCCATGATCATGCCACTGCACTCCAGCCTGGGCAACAGAACAAGACACTATTTGAAAAAAAAAAAAAAGAGAGAGAGAGAGAAGAGGAGAGGAGAGAAGACAAGACAAGATAAGTCCAAACCAGACTGTCCTTTCCCCATTGAATAGTTCTGGTACCCTTGTCATAAATCATTTGACCACATATGCAAGGGTTTATATTTGGGCTATCTGTTCTATTCCATTGATCTGTGTGTCTATCTTTATGACACTCTGTTTTGATTATTACAACTTTGTAATAAAGTTTGACATTGGAAAGTGAGGGATCTTTAATTTTGTTCTTTTTTCAACATTGCTTTAGCTATCAAAAGATCTATTCTGAAAAGGAAAAAAATAAAGGAGAAGCTTTTCAAGTCCAAGAATGAAATAGAGTTCTCAAACATACAAAAACTGTTTGGCTTGCCTATGAATACAGTAAAGGTGCCAGAACACGCTTCCAGTTTAAGAGGATCACTCTTAATAAGAATCTGAGACTGTTGTTCCCTCCTTCATCAGGTAGGTCTGCTGATTTTAGAATTAACCCTGGACTGTCACCAGTCTTCCCCCTACTCTCCTAGCCACTGAGGGTCCCAGCTGAGTCTCTTGGTTAAATGAGTTGCTCTACATGGGAAGTTGTGTTGTATTAACACCCTCAGAATCAGCAATCCAAGAACAGCAGAGCAAAGGAGATCAGTAGTAAACAGAATGAGATTTATGGGAGCCCCGCGGGGGTTGTGACCATTCAGGAGAGGGAGCTCCCTTTCCAGTTTTCAGTTTAGTGGCAGAAGGTCAGAACCTGGCAGAACAAATACACCAAATTCCGTAGGAAATACCTCTTTCAATCCAAGGCACTGTGGCTGGATATGTGAGTGGTTATGGAAACCTTTTCTTCTCTCTTGCAGAAACACACAATCAACAAGAAATATGAGAAGAAACAATATTGTTAGCACATTGGAAGATAATGGCAGGAGGTCCATGGGAGCCTGGGACCAGTCATCATGCCAAAGCTGAGGAAACATGAGCAAGAAGGCAAGAAGACAAGCCTTGGGAACGAAGGAAGCCACGTGGTGCTGCAGCCAGAGGCTGCAGGGATTTTCTCAGGGCCTCGTTGCTCACCCCAAGGCTTGTCCCAAGGCTCAGCAGGCTTGCTAAAATAGCCTTAGGCAACAGTGGGGCCTGGGGATGGGGAAAGGCCTCTTCCTCTTCATTACCCCTCTCCATCGCTCTTCCCACTCCCTGGAGCTCTTGCCTTCTCAAGTATTCCCTGGTCATCACCCCTGTGGTCTCTCCTTCCAAGAAATCTTTAAGCCCTTCCAAGAATCCAAGCCCCTGATTCATTCCACTCCAACCCCAAACACATTCTAGATATGCATGCACACATATACACACTCTTACACACACACACACACACACAGCCCACACTGGACTCTTTTTTTCCACCTTGATACTGGTCTCACAAGGGTCAGCTCCCTGGTGTGGTGTCTGGGGTCCCTCACACAGGGAATGCTGAGAGATTGGCTTTCAACGGCAAACATATGTTAGAGTGTTTGATGCCTTCACGTTGACAGAACAGAGAGTTATAGGGACTTTGAATTACGAAAGGGACTCTGGACTAGCCTGGGCAACATAGTGAGACCCTGTCTCTACAAAATAAACTTTTTAAAATTAGCATGGTGGCATGTGCCAGTGATCCCAGCTACTCAAGGGGCTGAGGTGGGAGGATCCTTGAGCCTGGGAGTTTGAGGCTGTGGTGAGCTGTGATTGCACCAGTGCTCTCCAGCCTGGGAACAGAGCGAGACCCTGTCTCAAAAAACGGAAAACAAATAAAGAGAAGGGGTTTCTGCTAGAGAAAGAGCTGCCCACAGAGAAGTTAGTGAAATGACAAAGGGAATTAAAATAAAATAATAAAGCATATATAAGAGAAATAAAAGAATAATTACTATTTCCAGAGCACTTTCTCTTTGCCCCACTCCCCTTTCCCCACGTTGCATGCCCCATGTCAGTTAACCCTGACAGCCCCATTTCGAGGTCAATATCACTATCTTCAGCTTGCTGATGATGAAACTGAAGTGAAGAGAGATGGAGCCCAATGTGCTCTCTTTTATGGAAACTATGAGGCATGGTATGGGAGGCAGAGATTTGGCCTTCATTGATTAATGTGTTCTCCTTCTGTGAATAGAGCCAGCTTATGGGGAGTTCAAACTGGGTTTCTAAAGCTGTCCCACAGCAGGGTGATCCTCCACTGTTGATGAGGAGGCAACTCACCTTCCTTTCCTGTCTGAAACTAGCACCGGTCACAGAAGAGTTGGCAGAGGGGTACTGGGGGTACTGGGTATATTAAGAGTAAGTGAAATATGACTACTTGTCTGTTCAGGGCAGCAGCCACGTCCCACGTAAAAACAGGCCTGCGGAACATTCCCTGAATGGACAGAGATGGGAGCCTCCCTTGGGCTTTCAGCCAAGGTGCCATTTTCGAGGGTTTTCTCAAGGCCTCTGTTTGCTGCCTGCAGAATAGCAGAAGGAAGAATCAGAGGAAAGTCAATACACAGCAGGCATCAGCTGCAAGTGCCTAGGTCAGAAGCCTCCAGCAAGTGCCCCACACAGCCCTGTAGCAACCTTCTACTTACACCAGGCCCAACAGAGGAGGGCAAAAAGGAGGTCAGACGGATGCCTCACTTTCCACCTGTCCCAGCTCCGGGCAGGCAGGTGCCCTGAGCTGCCCACTTCTCCAAGCCCTCTCACAATCCTTCCTTTGTCCCCCTCCATTTCAAGACTTTCTTGGAAAGAAAAATATAAGAAAGATCAGAAGCACTCTTCCCCCGCTTGCAGGGTGTGTATGTATTATTAGATAATTTTTTTCCTTTCCTGTGTTCTGAGTGACCCAACAACATTCCCTCATAGCAACTGCACTTTTATATGGATTAAGAACCAAATGTCGAAAACACAACAGAAAAAGGAATCTTATTGCAGTTTCCAACATCGGACCTGCCAAGAACTAGGAGCTTCAGGGAAGCTAAATCAATTACTTAAGAAGTTTCCATATTTTCAGCTTTTCTCAAGAAAAGCTGGAGGGATACTCAAACCTACCTTTCCAAAAAAAAAAAAAAAGTGCACACATGGCGGTGAACTGATAACTGAGGCATTTCCACGGTCTGCATGTTGGAAGGAGGGTCTATCTAGACATTTGCCAAGGACACTAAAGCTGATTCCAGAAGGCCTCTGGAATTGCAACTGAAATGACCCTTTCAATTAGTGAACTTTTCCAGGTTAGTTAAGAAATTTTCACTGTTCTGTCAGTAAATTCAATAATTTGAAACTCAGTGTTCTGAAATAAAAAAAAAAAAAGGCTGAGCACATGGACTTTACTGTCTTCTTTCTAGAATCTTCTTGAGAATTATGTAATATATCTTTTTTTTTTTTAAAGTATCATTCAGCTTAACACAACTCACCTAATGTGTGTTAAGTGCCTGGTGTGAGGATTCAGATTCAGTAAGGACACAGGAGTTCACAATTTAGAGGGAAAGACAGGCATGCAAGTGAGACCCACAGACATATGTAATCCATACTTCAAAGGCGAGAGTGTCTATGTGGGGGGAAATGATTCGGCTTCAGAGGGGCAGAAAAAACTAAAAAATAATGGAGACAAATGCCCTTGGTTGGCAAGGTAAAAAAGGCAATCCCAAAGGAAGGGCTTTCTTTGTGCTACAAATTTCACACACGTAATCATATTTCATCCACACATGCACAGGTGAGTTTCAGTGTTACAGGATTTGTCTATCCATTTTATAAGTGAGGTAATTATGATTGAGATAATGAGAGTCGAAGTCACTTGTCCCAGGTTACTAAAAAAGTAAACCACAGTTTGGACTCAAGCAGCTAACTTACCATCTGAGTTAGAGTCTGTGAATTAGACTCAAAGTTTGTGCCTGATTGCAGCAGACTGGCTTTGGTCAAGAGGGAAGGTAAGGAGTTCTGTTCTTAAAATGCCAAGCTTAAGGTACATGTAACAGAAGATTAGCTGGGAATAAAGGTCTGGGATTAGAAGGGAGTTTGGAGAGAGATATGAGAGCACTGAACAGATTGGTGGCAGCTGAGGTGTGTTTGAGCCTGAGGAAGTTTGTCCTGGGCGGGGATTTGGTAAGAAAAGCAGCAGTGGCAGCTATTAGGTTGGTGCAAAACTAACTGCTGTTTTTGCCAATAAAAGTAATGGCAATTACTTTTGCACCATCCCAGTAGAGTCCTGGGTTATGGCAGGAATCAAGGGATGAACAGAGAAAAGAGGGAGAGGGGCTGAGACAGTCAAGGGAGTGGAGGAAATACAGAAATCGGAAGAGAGGAGAATCTTAAGGAACGAACAGTGTCAAGACATGACATAAATGCTGCCAAGAGCTCATACAGAATGAAAGTAGTCATTAAACTCACCAACCAGTTGGTGTCAGACCAGATTTAGAACCCAGGTTGTTTGTCTTGTAATATCATGCTCTTTAATATTATGCTTTTCTGATGTAGAAACATTTCTAACATAAATTGTTACAAAAAGTCTGACAGCTATGAAAATTTTCTCGAAAGGTGCCTTAATTGAAACACTTTCCTGGTGAGGCCAGACACAGGAGCTGTTTGTCCATTCACTCATTCAGTCATTCGCCCATGCACTCGCTCATCCACTCATTATTGCACCCATTGATTCACTCATGCATTCCACAAATTTGTTTGAGCCTCTATAATAAGCCTGGCACCAGTCAAGTAAGCAAGACTTCCCACAGTGAGGGGACCTGAGTCCTCCCTGAAGGATCTTGCAGCCTCAGAGGAAACTGTCACTTGAACAAAGACGCTCATCTGTCTGTTGAACAGGATGTGAGACAAAACCACAGGGGGTTCCAAAGGCATGGGGCTGCTCCCCCTGAGGAGTCAGAGAAGCTTCAAAGACAAGGGAGCCTGATCCTGGTCCTATGAGCTGCATCATGTGAGGCAGATGGGAGAAAATGCAAGGCTGGGGGTTCCTGTGAGGTGAGGTGTCGGCAGTGCAGGCTGTGTGGAGACACGAGGAAGCTGCGTGGCCAGAGTGAGCTCCCACAGGTCAACAAGCTGCCCTCCTCCTGATATTTGATATATCAGCACACCACCTGCATTATTTGATGTTTTTACTTAAATCAACCATTTTAAGATAGTTTAGCTTCAAACTTTAAAATCCACAAAATTGCAGTTTTGATGCAGTATTTATTTTTCCTAAGACATTAAAATTTCAAAAAAGATATTTAACTGTGTATCTTGTAAACAACCTGTCCTAGGCATAACAAAATGTGAACACCTCAGGCCAGAGGGTAAAGGTGAGAGTATAGAGGGATGGGTCTTACATTTGGGAGGCCCAGCAACCCTTTGAGAGCATGATGGAAACAACGCAGCCCCTCTTTGCACCATGTGTGTAAATGCACTCCCAAGTGATATTTTGCATGTTATTTCAGGATGGAAGGGCCCAGGGGTTCCTGGATGAGAGGTGAAGTCACCCTGCTGTAGGAGTAAGAGGGCCCTATTGTAAGTGGTTGTGTTACAGCACAAAAGAGCAAAAGTGCACCCACCTGCTATTCATCTTATTTGGATTCCTGGAGACCACCTGGTTGCATTCAATAGCCAAGAAAAAGTTTCAAGAACCTTCTTTTCTCAGCGATACGAATACTGTAGCTATAAGAGGCCCAGGCAATGCCATGGGCCTTGGCCTGTGTGCACTGGGTACTTTGCCCCTCTACTGACTACAGGAATAGACTGAGTTAGCAGGCAGCTGGTGGCAAAGAAGAACACCGCTGGGGACAAAGGCCAGATCAGTGCCCCAGTGCCCAAGTGCTTCTCAGACCATTGGCCAGCCTGTGGGGCAGAGAAATAGGGAGTCCAGCCAGCCCATGCTGAGACGGTCTGGAAGGGGCAGCTGGAGCAGAACCACGCTATTCAAATTCTCAACTCCATTTCTGAGGCTGGGGGCCTTATTAAGTGATACCCCCATCACCCCTAGAAAGAGGCCTAGACAAGAAGTAAGGTTTGCCTTCTGTTGGCAAATACCTCCACTCAGAGGCCACTCCATCTTCCTCAAAAGACCAGAAAGAAGGGCAGACTGAAGGAAGGAAGAAAGAAAAGAAGCTAAGAAGGATGAATGGACACGCAGAAGAAGAATGTGGCTGCTGCTTTAAATGTACCAGTTTAAGCTCCAAACACAGTAGCTAAGAGCTCATGTTAAATGGTGAATAAATGAAAAGGTCAACATGTCTAGGGACCCAATTACCCTCAGCCTGGTGCACAAGAAGTCCCAATTAGTCTCATCAGCTCGCTTCTGTGGGTCTAGATGTGAGCAGCTCTGACCCCTCCAGCCCCAGCAAGATTGTGTTCATGGGTCCAAATGCTCCATGGTCAGCCTTGTTTTCTTAAGGCTCAGACTCGGCTCTAAACACTTGATTGTTTGACCCAAGGAGAAAAAGTCTGGCCCAGAGGTAATGAACTGTTAGTTCTCAATCTGTTTTACTTTCATGGAAAATGAGAATTCTCTCGACCACACAGATATTACATGAATCAAGATGTACTGTGCCCCCTTCTCCCTTGCACACACTCATGAGCACACACACATACGCACGCACTGCTGAATTCAAATGATCCAGGTTGGACCATGCCAGCATATCATAATTTAAATGCTCTCAACACCATGACAAGTATAATTAAGTTGCTCACATGTATTGCATTGTATTGGTTTCATGACCTATTATACTCAGGATGCCATGGTTATCCTAAGCAAAACAGTTTGATACTAATACCCTGTCACCATAATGTACACGGACAACATTGATAGGTTCATACCTCTGTGGAGACAGAAACTTTGCATTTTGACAATCTCATCCTTCTTTTTTAGCATTATTTCCCCTCCCTTGTGTCAATTATCTTTTCCATATCCCTCACCTACTTGGCCCCCCAAGACCCAATTCCAGTTTCATTTTCTTCAAGACCTTGCTGTCAGATGGGGACCAGCTCAGCACACGGGGCCAGCTCAGCACATGGGGCCACCTCAGACCCATCATAGGTCAATAGTTCTTCAAGTCTGACTCAGGAACCCCCTGAGTCAAAACATTTGGGTGCTTGTTAATTCAAGTTCCTGGGCTCTGCTAACTGAATCACAATTTCCAGGAGTGGGAAAGAGAAAGAAGCATTTTAAATAAGTTTCCTGGAAATTCCTGCATGTGCACATTTGCATGCATACCTCCCATCCCCTCCCTCCAGACTGTAAAACCTCTAAGATAAGTTATTTGACCTCCTAGAGCCATAACAGAAGTTTGTAAACCATAAAGACTTGGAAATTTCAAGACACCATTCTAAGAGTTGGTCTCAGCTGGGGATGAGTTAACATGTTTGGGTCCCAGAGTTCCTACTGTATGCAATCGTCTCAGATGTAGTTTTTGACAGCTACCTCTGCAAAAGCCAACAGATAATCAGGGAAATTTAAATGGCCATACAGCATCATACAAAGGACAAAAAAGAGAACTAGGGTGGTAAGAGAGCAGGTAGTGGAAGTGAGTCCAGAAAGGAAAGCAAGACAGAAGAGATGAAGGGAAAAGAAGTTTGCAGTTGTTGATCTGACTTACTGCAACTTCTGAAGATTGAGTATTCAGATGTCCCCTCAATGAGAGAGCTAATGGTTCCTGAACCACCTACAATTTGATTGTTGAATGACCAAATGTTTGGGCCTGGCTAGTTTCCTTTGTCCTCTACACATTAGGCCATACAAAACAGGGGCTTAAATTGGGGTGTTTTTTGGCCCCACGCAGTGGCTCATGCCTGTAATCCCAGGACTTTGGAAGGCCAAGGTGGGTGGATCACAAGGTCAGGAGATCGAGACCATCCTGGCCAACATGGTGAAACCCTGTGTCTACTAAAAATACAAAAATTAGCTGGGCATGATGGCATGTGCCTATAGTCCCAGCTACTCAGGAGGCTGAGGCAGGAGAATCGCTTGAACCCGGGAGGCAGAGGTTGCAGTGAGCCAAGGTCTCACCACTGCACTTCAGCCTAGCGACAGAGTGAGACTCCGTCTCAAAACAAACAAATAAACAAACAAAAACTGGGGTTTTTTGTTTTTACCCCACTGAAAAGCACTCACTTCAGGAGCCTAGAGATAAAGCTCTGTGTCACTCAGAGGTGGCATTCTGCATAGAACACAAATTAGTCTCCTGTGGCTTAGCCAGTTTATTTTTCTCTGATGACACATCTGAAGGTAGGCTCCACCATATTTTTAAGGTTCAAGGCTCTTTCCGTCTTTCTGGTCTGACTTTCTTAGAATGTAGTTGTGTACTTACAGTGAGTCTACTCTTGCCTTTCCTTTACATTCCAGGCAAAAAAAGAGGAAGACAGGCAACAGGAAGGAAAGGATACCTTCGTATCAGGAAAATGAAACTTTCTCTGAATCGCCAGCAATCTTCTGCTTCTCACTGGTGAGAATTGTCTGAGATGGTGAACTCCACTGAAAAAGAAAAAAAAAAAAACATGAGAAATGTAGCTTTTATTTTTAAAATGTAGGACATTGTCCCCTTGAACAAAACTGGGATTCTATTAGCAAGGAAAAAGATGCACATGGGTACTAGGTAGGTAACCAGCAGTGTGTACCCCAAGTCTGGAGATGTGCACTTGGCCTATCTGGGGAAGATAATTCTTTTGTTGTGTGTATTTGCTTGTTGGTTTAGTTCTACAGCCCTTACAGCTGTGGTGTGAAAGGCAATAATATGAATTTCCTGTCTTGTTCATATAATCCCCCAGCTTTTAGCATGTGCTTCAAGCATCTTCAGTCTAATTTTAGGTTCATTCATTCATTCATTCATTCATTCATTGAGACCCTACTAGATACTGGGCACAGGGCTCCACTCCATGAGCATGATGGAGTGAAGCTGGCTCCTATACTCATGAGCTTGCATTCTAGTAGAGAGAGGAGGATGCATGATCAGGTAAGTACAAGGTGGAGAGAAGAGTGCCACAACAAGGGAAGTAAATGATGCAATGGGGCACACAATATGCCAGGCATGCAGCCCATTAGGGGTTAGGGAGGGTGCTCAGAGAAGAGTAAGAGAGGAAGGTAATAGAGATGAGTGGGTGGGTCATTCTAGGAGAAATGGTAAGTATGATCTAAAGAATTTGGAAGAAGAATGTTGGCCTTCTGGAAATTTTGAAAGTTCAGAATATCTGAAATATAGCCTTTGAAACAAGGAAAAGCCAACAGGAGGTAGGCAACGGTCAGATCGTGATGCCCTTGTCCAGAAAGCACAGGGAGCCAATGACGGGCTTGAAGTGGAAGTCACAGATGGCCACAGACAGTCATGCTGTAACCTTGACCTGTCTGGAAAAGACTATTTTTACCACTGTGGATCAATCAGTTGAGACAATTCCATTCCAAATGATTTTGTTCTTACTTGGCAAAGCAACTGGGTAGAAAACAGATAATTTTCTTTCTCAGTCCTTTTTAGCAGTACTATGCAGACACAGCTTCCAAAATTCATAAATCAGAGAGCCCAGACCATATTGCTAGCATCCTCACCAACCTGTGACATTTCAGGCCATCATTTCAGGTTTCAGTGAACTGCCCTGCCGAGACTTGGCATAAGCTATTAGCATAGAAGACAGAGAATTCTTGATTTAAATAATCCTATGGGCCAGCCTGGGTAACATAGTGAGGCCCCATCTCTACACAAAATTTAAAAATTAGGCCAGCGTGGTGGCTTGCATTTGTGGTCCTAGCTACTTGGGAAGCTGAAGTGGGAAGATCACTTGAGCCCGGGAGACGGAAGTTGCTGTGTGCTGAGATCGTGTCACTGCACACCAACCTGGGCAGCAGAGTGAGACTCTTATCTCAAAATAAACAAATAATCAATCCTGTGGCACTTGGTTCCTACTACATTATCTACGATGCACTAATATGTCCTCCAACTATGAGTAATCATTACAGCACTCCCCTCTGTATCCTCCTCCCTTGGGGGTGGTCTGACCTGTTTCCTCCCTTTCTCCTCACTCACCACCCTGGGCTACTCCCACAACTCAGAGGCAACGATCTCACTTCTAGCCAATGAAGACTCACCTTGGAATTAACTTTTTATCATAACTGTAAAGACCAAACAGAAATGTCAGCATACATTCAGAATTTATAATGTATGATTAATCCAGGATGGAAATTGGGGTGGTGTGGGAAATCCTTAGATACTAAATAAAAATGTGTGAAAAATTCAAGCAGCAGATAACTTGGAAATCTAATCTTAAAATTTCTCAGCAGGAAAATGTAAAGGGAGGGACGAGAGGAGGAAGTAAAGAGTGCAAGGAAACATGTAAAATGAATGTTTATTTGCTTATTATTTTATAACCATCCTCTTTATGTGTATTTTCCAGACTGTATGTTATCACTGCCTTAATGGATGAGTCAAAAATCAGAAGGGTTAAATGAACTCCTAAAGGATGAAAGCCAGACTTTCCATTTCACCCACCATTTTTCAGAAAGTAAGGCTTCCAAATGAAACTCCATTTTGCCTACTCTCAGAAAAACCAAAAAAGCAGAAGATGGTGAATCACTGAAGATCTTAATAATGAAAAAAAAAAGCCTCTGGAAAACTTATGTCCACATAAAAACCTGCACATGGCAGTTTTATTCATAACTGACAAAAAGTGGTAGCCAAGATGTTTTAAATAGGCAAACAGCAAAACTGTGGCACGTGTATACAATGGTGTATTAATCAACAATAAAACAAGTGAGTTATCAGGCCATGAAAAGACATGGAGAAGCCTTAATGCATACTGTAAAGTAAAAGATGCTATTCTGAACAGGCTGCATTCTGTATGAGTCCAACTCTATAACATTGTGGAAAGGACAAAAGCTATAGAGATAATAAAAGGATCAGTGTTCTGCAGGAGTTGGGGAGGCGAGAGATGAGGGATGAACAGGTGAAGCCATGAGATTTTTAGGGCAGTTAAACTATTACTTATGATACTGCAATGATGGATACATGACATTATGTATTTGCCAAAACTCATAGAATATACAGCACAAAGAGTGAGCCTTAATGTAAACTATGGGCTCTGGTTAATAATAGTGTAATAATATTGGTTCATCAATTATAACAAATGTACCAAAATAATACATGTTAACAACAGGGAAAACTGGGGAGAGGACGGGGAAGGTATATGGGAACTCTCTGTACCTTTTCTTCTGAGCAATTTTTCTGAAAACCTAAAACTGCCGAAAGTAAAGTCTACTTGGAAAAAATAAAGTCTCTGGCATGGGTTTTTCCTAGAAGGAAGGCAAGGGAGTTTCAGTTGCTAGCAGTGGGCCTGGGAGACAAGGGGCTTTACAGGGTGTAGGAGGCTGTTTCATGGACATCCATCCATCCAGTCATGTGCCTGACCCCAGCCACAGAGGTGGAGGGGGTGTGACAACACTGCTGACTCAGGAGGTTCCAGAAGTTACATGCAGAATCTGGGGGTAGGCTCTCCCTTCTGACTTGGGGGTGTTCTGACTAATATGTGACTAAGAATTTTCAAGGAGACAAGATCGGATATAGCCGAGGCCCCATTGTCTTTATAAACAAGCAGCACTCACCTTGTAGAGTGTAACATTTAGAGAGTTCAGTGACTCATGCTCACGTCATGGAGTCTGCAGATGACTGAGTTTTCAGGTCATCGCACTGCATGTAGGCTGGCTTGCTGGGGAGTCCTCACGAGGGCTCCCACATCACTGAGGACATCAGGGGAGGAGGGCATGAGGAGAGGCTGACTAAGCCAGTCTTTGAGCATTCAGAACTGATCATCCTTTTATCTGTTGTCTGAAAGACATGCCAAAAATATGATTTTGGTGCCATCTTGTTCCCTAAAGCTCTTCTCTGGGGGTATATTAGAGAGAATTCCAATTAACACTGCCGAGAGCTGAACACTTAACACTTCAACAAGCCCATGAGGGAGGCACAATTGATATCCCAGTTTTGCAGATGTGAAGACTCAGGCTTACAGAGGTGAAATAGCATGCACTATAGTACCCAGCCAGAGCATACTGGCGTTGTCTGTCCCCAGAGCCAGAGAGCTGAATCATTTAGGTTCTGCCAAGAACTGCATGACAACATTTTAGTCAACAATGGACTGTACATAGAAAGGTGGTCCCATAAGATTACAATACCTTATTTTTACTGTATCACTTCTATGTTTATATACAAAAATGCTTATCATTATGTAACAATTGCCTACAGTACTCAGCACAATAACATGCTGTACAAGTTTGTAGCCTTGGAGTGATAGGTTATACCATAAAGCCTAGGTGTGTAGTGGGCTCTGCCTCCTAGGTTTGTGTAAGTGCACTCCGTGATGCTCCCACAGCGATGACTTTGCCTAACTATGCATTTCTCAGAATGGATCCCCAGTTGTTAAGCAACTCATGACTGTATGTTGCTTTCCAAATTGATCACTTGGGACGGCCAGTGATGCTGTTAGTCCTCTCAGGGATTATTTAGTGTTAGACAGAAACAATAAATTCTAGCGACTTTATTTCTTAAAGCCTTTCTTTGACCGCTCTTATTCCATGCTAGTTTTCTCAACATATCCAGGGTCTCAACTTCAGAAGAACTAAAACATTCCTTCTTTCTCTTGGCTTCTAGGTCTGCTGCTGTAATGCATGTTCCCTCTGCACTGATTTTGTGGATAGGATGTAGGGA
The DNA here is from genome assembly GCF_000001405.40 of Homo sapiens. NCBI lineage: Eukaryota > Metazoa > Chordata > Mammalia > Primates > Hominidae > Homo > Homo sapiens. Next base: position 41,028,144 of record NC_000007.14, on the reverse strand, counting down.
CCAGACGCTGGAGGCACTGCCTCAATACCTGCCTGCCTGAGTTAGGAATCATCCTTAGCACCCACCAAGGACTTCCTAAGTGCTGGACCCTGTGCTAAGCCTGTTTCCTGCATGATCATTAATCCTTAAAATCTATGAAGAAAATCCCAATATCTACCCATTTTACAGATGAGGAAAGCCAGTTTGGATGGGTTCATCAGCTTGCACAGAGGCAGAAGGTATGGCGTCTGCTGGGATGACATCTGTACTGTTTCGGATGCTTGGAGCCCCCGCATGTTGTGATAATGTGGTGATTACTCAGCTAACGTAGATCAAAGAGGAATTTAAAGTCTTTCATATCACAGACTCTTTGTGGTCTTTAGACGATCATTAAAAAATTAAATATGTCCCTGTTATGTCTATTTTCTCCTAATGTTTTCCTAATGGGAGTGTGAGACTTTTTTACATGAGACAACTGGTTTATATTCCCCAGGAGCCAAGTGGAATGCCATGAATGAGAATGTCATTGCCCTGAATACCTTCGATGCTCTCATAACCACAAACTGTAGTACATATAAAGTGGATGGACAAACTTCCTGCATATTTGTCCCTTCCATTCCTGGCATGCTTCTTACACCGCAGAACATTATGCATATCCAGGAATTGAGGAGTCTTTTGAAAGGGAAATTCCCCCTCCTACCAATACAATGTAAGCTTCAAACCTAGTCAGTGTCATTGAGGGATTTACCATTTTTCTGCTCATGGTCACCACAATGTCACCAAGGAGAAGAGCAACCACATCCCTTGACCCATCCTCAGCCCTGCCCTGGCCAAGGTCCTTTTTTCAAGGCTGATGCCCTTCACTAATGGTACCGAGAGCAATCCCTTCCTTGGGACTCTTGCCCTGAAATTTCCCAAGACGTCTTGGAAGGCGTGGATGCAGGGTGAGGATGGGAGGTTTTAGAGGACCAGCCATTAAGGCCGTAGGCTAAAACTCTGGACTTCTTTTTCCAGATTGCTTCTGCTTCTAAAAGAGAATGTATGCATTAACCATTTCTCTCTGACATCTAGAAACATCTAGAAAGATGTTTTTGTTTTTGTGTAAACTTTTTTTTTAAGTATGAAACTTTTTTTTAGATGGAGTCTTGCTCTGTCGCCCAGGCTGGAGTGCAATGGCATGATCTCGGCTCACTGCAGCCTCTGCCACCCAGGTTCAAGCAATTCTCCTGCCTCAGCCTCCTGAGTAGCTGGGATTACAGGCATGCGCCACCTCTCTTAGTTAATTTTTGTATTTTTAGTAGAGACGGGATTTCACCATGTTGGCTAGGCTGGTCTTGAATTCCTGACCTCATGATCTACCTGCCTCGGCCTCCCAAAGCTCTGGGATTATAGGCATGAGCCACCGCACACAGCCTAAGTATAAAAGTTAAGGATCAGACAACCAGCTTCTATGAAAGTCTGAATTAAGCTGGCGCCTTTGATTTGGATAAAGACCGTACAAGACTTCTCACGTAGATGGGCATGTTAATACTATCTAAAGACAATCAGATTGTGTTTACCTAAATAATCATTTCTGAGATACCATAACTTCAGTTTCATTGTCCTTTTACTTTAAGTTGTTGCATTAGTTTCACTGAATATAAATAGAATTAGTATCAAGGCATCAGTGTCAAGATGAATGCAGCCTTCTGCCCTGGACTCCCAAAATTTCACAGAGCTTGATGGCAGGACAGCATTTTTCTGCAGGAACTCCTTAGTACAGCCAGGTCCAAACTGTAAAATACAGGCAACAAACTAGATGCCTGCAGGAGTCAAGCAAGTTGTATGAATGGATGGTTCAATTCAAGTGCTGGGGACAGCGCTGACCAGGTAAAGATGAGAAAACATACCCCCTTCAGCACAGGACCATCACCATTCGGTGGTTGCCAGGAGTAGGACTGGCTACATAATATGGGAGGCCCAGTGCAAAATGAAAATGCAGGGTTATTAGTCAGGAAGACCTACGCAGGTCGCAGGCCCATGAAGCTGGCCCTGGCCAGGAGGCAACGTAAGACCAAGGTGATGGTGGCAGCAGGTGCAGCTCCAGAGCACACATAGACCTGCGTTTGCACACCCCGTGAGACTGTTCAACTCAGAGAAATCCCGATGTGAATGTTGTAAAAAGTGTGCTGGCCTCCAAGGCCTCTCCTGGAGTCCACCCCTCGACCCATTTTGACTGCTCTGGGACTTACAAATGTTAACATGTGCAGAGTTCCTGAGATCAGCTGCACGGGTCTTTAATAACTTGGCAAGGGGCTTTCCAGAAAGCTATGGGTGCATAGCTGAACTCAGGTTAAAAATCTAATACACCTTCTTTTCCCTTCTTTCCATTCTAAAAAGAAATGGATGTCTTCCTTCCAACTACAGAATTTAACATTTTTTCACCTTTATTCATAACTCATTTTATTTAACTTTTCAATTATTTTATTTAACACAACTCATTCTTATTTTATTTTAAAATATTCTTACAGTGGCTGGGCACGGTGGCTCACATCTGTAATCCCAGCAGTTTGGGATGCCGAGGCAGGCTGATCACAAGGTCAGGAGTTCGAGACCAGCCTGGCCAATATGGTGAAATCCTATCTCTACTATTTTTAGTAGTGGTGGTGGGTGCCTGTAGTTCCAGCTACTCGGGAGGCTGAGGCAGGAGAATCGCTTGAACCCAGAAGGCGGTGGTTGCAGTGAGCTGAGATCACGCCACTGCACTTCAGCCTGGGTGACAGAGCGAAACTACGTCTCAAAAAAAAAAAAATCATACATTGATTCTCTTTCAAACATGGAAAATAATTATATTTCAGACATACTGAAAATAATATACAGACATCCAGATATATCCAACCCTAGATTTAATAAATGTTGGCATATTGCCATATTTCTTTGACATCTGTTTAAGAAAGAAATTATTGCACATATATTGGAAATGTCCCCATATAATCCCTTCCTTTTTATCACAGAATTAACCAAAATCTTGAGGGTTTTATAACTTTCCTATCAATGGTTTTATACTTTGATGCATAAGTAACTAGATAGCATTATGTCTTTCTTTTCAATTTACCAAAATTATATAATGCATTTGTAACTTGCTCTTTATCCCTTCAACACTTACAGAGTATGTATGTTGATACATGTAGATTTAGGATATTCATTTTAACTGCTATTTAGTAAGCTCCTATGCATATAGGACAACTTATACACGCCCATGTCTTAGGCTTCTTTCTGATTGTTTGCTATTTTTTAACGAACAATGTGCAGTGACGATTAGAGTATATGGTTCTCGTGCATATATTTCTCAAGAATATGTACCCAGGTTGTAGGGTCTGAATAGCCTCAGTTGGGAGCAGTTTGACAATATCCACTCAGGGGGCTGTACCCATTTACACTCCCACAATCAATATTTGAGAGTTCCTCAACTACACTTCCTCTCTCTTACTTGTTATAACGAGGCATCCTTTTTTTTTTTTTTTTGCCAAATTGTTGGGTGTGAAGAGACATTTCATTGCTGATTTAATCTTCATTTCCCTGTCACTAATGAGATTACGTGTCTTTTCATATGTTTATTGGCCATTAGGGTTTTCTCTTCTGCTATGCACTTATTTATATCCTTTGCCATTTTTTAAAAAATTGGGTATGCTTTTATGAGAAAGCGCTTTATAAGTTCTAGATATGGATTCTTTGTTGGTTAAGAGTGTAACAAGTTTCTTCTCCTAGTCTGTGGCTTGCTTTTTCACTAAGTTTGGATTGCCTTTTGTTATACAAAGGATTTTAATTTTAACGTAGTTAGATTAATCATTCTTTGTTTTCACAGTCTGTGGTTTGTGTGTCTCGGTTAGTGAATCCTTCTCCATCCAAGCTTATACAGATATTCTCCAAGATACAATTCTAAGTATTTTTAGGTTTTGCCTTCCACATTTATGCCTTTAATCCTTTGGAACGTAATTTTCTGTATAGTGTAAGGTAGGATTCTAACTTTATGTTTTTCTGAATGGAAGTTTCCACAAAATCATTGAATAGTGTATTTCGTCTTCTCTTCCTTGCAATGCCACTAAGGGCATCTATCAAGTTCACATACATGCATGTTGTCTTGCATTGTTCTGTTTATCCATTTCTGCACTATTATGCCATTTTCATTACCAGAGCTTGATCATGATTACGGATGCCTAATACGGGAAGTTCACCTTTGTATTTGTTAGGATGCTTTGGGCTGCAATTCACACTGACATAAAAATGGGCTTTTATAAAATGCCATATAATAAGAATAATGAAGGAAATGGCTATTGCTTTTTCAACAATCACTTCCTAATGAAAATCTTTTCAAAGACAAAAAGAGAAGTACAGGAGGCGTGAAGGACATCTTATTTTGATCAGAAAAAAAAAATCCCTTCCCAGAATCCCTGCTGGGGATTGCTCCTTTGCTCCTTACACAGCATTGCCCAGCAGTGGGTGACATGGGCAGCCATTCATCACTGCCTGGAAAAAGAAATGGGATTGTAGGAACTGTTTTATTATTGTCAATTTGTCCATCGCTCCTTACAATTCTATTTTCACTGCATCTATTTTAGGGCTCAGATGTTGGATGTACAAAGATTCAGGATTGTTATCTTGCTGACAAATTGTTCCTTGTATTCTTATGTAAGAATATATTTTTATTTTTTCTTTATTTCTATATTTTTATTAATTTGTATTGTCCTGAAGGTTATTTTGTCTAACATTAATATTAATGTATGTTTTTTCTTTTGATGAATGCTTTCCTGTATCTCTTTTCTCATTCCTTACTTTCAAAGTATATTTCTTTATGTTTACATATTTCTCTGTACACATCAGTAAGGTTAGGCTATGCTCTGCTGTGGTAATAAACGGCTCCAACATATCAACAATTGAGCAAAACAAAGAACTGCAGGTCCCTCAAAGCTCCATGGGGGGTTCTGTTCCACTTCATCCTTACCCTGGGGTCCCAAGAAGTCATTGTTTGCACCATTGCTAGTGGTTGTAGCAGAAAGAGAAAACCTGACATGCTGTGAACTGTTAGCATTTCCATCCCAAACTGGCACACACCACTTCAGCTCACATCATATAACAAGTTGTACGTCACACTTCACTCCTGGGGTAGGCAAGTGACATCCAAATCATGAGTCCAGGATGAAGATAAGGAAAATTTAGTGATCAGCATGAAAAACTGCCATGACAGATGTTTGGATTGTTAAAATAATATTCAATCTGAGAAGCTATATTAATTGATAAGTTTATATTTATATTTATGACAAATACTGATATTAACTAATTTGTGTCTTCTCTTTATCCTGCTCTTATTTTTTTTATACTTTCTTTCCTTCACCTATTGGGAAAGTATATTCTATTCCTATTTTTACATGCTTATCTTAAAATTATAATGCATATTTAGCACAGTAAATCAATATTTATACTCTTGCCCTAAACATTTTAAAGAATTCAAAATATATTAGTTCTATGGAGTGTTTCTTATCTTCCATTGTGCTCTTTTCTAGCATTCTAGTTCCACCTGGATTTTAATTCTCTTCTCAAATACTTGGTTTTAATATTTTTAAGTCAATGCTTTTGAAGAAATGTATCCAACATTTTAATAATCCTCTACTCACCATCAATCTTTGCATTCTATTCCTCATTCCAGGGTTAATTCTCATCTAATTTAATTACACTCTTAAGATGTTTCTTCAGTAAGCATCTTTAAAGAAGAAACTCCCATTCATTGTTTATCTGAAAATGTTTTTCTTTTGCTTTCTCTCCTGAGTAGAAGTTTAGCTACCCCAGAATCCTAGACTGACAGTTGTTTTCAATATAAAGTTAGTAAGTACTTTGAAGATAATATTCTATTGTCTTCAGGTCTCTATTTTGGTGATGACAAGATTATTATTTTATTTTTTATTTAGAATACCCCTTTTTGTTCTAGCTGCTCTTAAGACCTTCTGCCTGTCTTTGGCAGTCCATTGTTCACATACAAGGTATCTAGGTGAGTATTTTGTTTAATCCATTCTGCCTAGGATTCATTGAGCTTTCTACATCTCAGAACTGATTACTTTAATCAATTCCAAAAAATTCTCTGCCATTATCTTTTTGAATATTGGCTCTTTCTTTTCACTCTATTATTTTCTTTCTGGAATTTTAATTTGATATATTTTAGGCTGCCTAAGACTATTCTTCATATTTCTTTACTTCTCTTTCATATTTCAATTTATGTATCACTCCATGCTGCATTCTAGGTTATTTCCCAGATTTTATATCTGTGTTTATTGAGTCTCTCTCCTACTATGTTTAATGCATCATTGAGTTTATCCTTTAAGTTTTAAATTGCTTTCTCTGTGGAAAGACACTCTATGTATTTTGGGGCCTACCTTTTGGTTAATTAGATTGTTCTTTACACACAGTGTCATGCCTTTCATCATGTTCTCTGTTCTTTTAATATCTAATAATTTTAGATATTCTTATTTTATACTTTCTTTCAGATTATTCCATGACCTCTAGTTCTTGGGGGTGGGGGGCATTAATACTCCCATCGTTGACTCTCCATTATGATGAATAATTACTTGTTATTTCCCATGTTTTTTCTTGCTAGCTCATCTTGACATTTTTCAGACTGAAAGTTTTTCTGAATGATGATTTCTTGCATAGAAAGTAAGTCATTATCTGATTCTAGCATCATGTGAACTGAACTATTACAGATTCACCTCCTACTACAAACATACAAAACAGTTGGATAAAGTATAACAACAGGGCACTTTAAAAAACATATATAAGGAAAAATAATAAGGAAAATGTCTGTTTTCTCTGTGAGTCTTTTTAGCTCTGAATTCCTAGTGGTTTTGTTTTTTCAAAGTACCAAGGATTTCATCTGAGACCAGATTCCATGTGGATTTCTGAGTTGAGATTCTGTGCTAGCTAGTCCATAACTTTGCTTGTCACTCCTCTGCCTGTGGCAGGCCAGAGTTTCAGTTTCTCAAGAGATTATTTGTGCCTTTTTCTACTCTTCCCTACACTTGGGATAGTGCAAGCTTGTTGTACTTTGCCATGTTGGTCAAGGCAGCTTTTCTGTGAGGGTCTCTTCACGGAGTGGGTAATTCAATGCCAGCCTCAGTTCAAGCACTGTGCCTCACGGAGGCCACAGGCCACATCTCCTGTCCATCTGTGAGCATTCATACTTTGGCCCCTAAATTGCAGGACATCTATCTAAATGTGAATTATCCCACAACCATATCAGGCTGCTGCTACATTCGCTCTGCTCTGTCCAGGGGTTCATTCTTCATTTCTGGCAACTGGGGATTCCTTTGATTCATTTTTCCCCTGAGATATGTTTTATAAACTGTTACGGTCTTATGACTTATCCAGAATTTGTATATTTGTGAGAAGAGATGGGTCTACAATAGTCCAGCCCTCCACGTTGCTAGAACTGCTCAGTTCTTTACTTCCTATAGAAGACATCACTACCCAGGGTGTGGGAGAGCACCAATATATAATTACTTTTATGGCAGTTTATTAAAACATTGAATTTCCTTAAATAAGAAAATCTGAAAATACATATATGAATGAGTTAGAATGGCATCTATACCTTCAAGTGAGAAAAATATTCTCTATTACATCAGTCATCACTATTTATCTTTTGTGTCTTAGACTGTGGCCCTGTTATTTTAAATCTGTGGTTTTAATAATGAAACTTTTCAAAATTAACATATGGAACTGCATTTTTGCTAAACTATTTACTTCTCATTTCTTGTTTCCAGGTTTAGTTTAATATGATCCCTCACTTTAGCTACCATACTTTGTAGAAAATGCGTTCTCTTGCAGAGCCAAGGAAATGTAAAACAAAAATGACACACACACATGTCCCAAAAGTATCCATCTGTTCATTCACCCTTCTGGAATTTAGGAATTTTTTCATATACTAGTATGGAGACTTTTCCCCTTTAAGGCTCATATATTTGATATTTTGTGGGACCTGGTAAAACCATAACATAGCATGAGATAAGTTCCAGAAAGTAAGATAGCATTTGTTATTTACAATGCATTCAATCCCCTTGACAATTGAGTGTTATTTTCACTTTAGGAAAAATGATAAAATGAGTGAGAAGGAAAATTAAGTGCTGGGAGTTGGCAAAATAGGACCTTTATGTTGGTGAATATTGAACACAGGAAAAATGACAAGTGACAGCCAGCTAGGAATTACATTTCATGGGGAGGTACCTCATATCCAAATATAGACAGAGGGGATTACTGCTTATTAAAATCCTGTTTTGAAATATTTCTTAAGACTTTTTTAAAAATTTGTTTTTCCTGTCATGAAAGCCCAAGAAAATTCTTGAAGTTCTGTTTCTTCCACCTTCCAAGACCAGAGATTTTACAGATAACACCCCCATCAGGCAGAAGCTGTATTTGCCGAGTCAACCCGAATTACAGCCTTAGCTGGGGTTGTGAGGTCAGAAAGCAACTGCATCTTTCTCAGAAGAACATAGAGTTGGAAAATTTGATTCAATAAATTTGTTTTCCCAACCCAAGTATGGTAATTTATCCAAAGTATACAAATAATGGTGAATTTTCAGACCAATCTTGTAATAATAAAGACCATAAAAACAACATGACGGCAGCTGCTAATATATGAACAGGTTGGATTTCCAAAATGCATGTGTGTTTATGAATGTGATCACCACCTCAAGAACTGGCAAATAATGTTGTCCTTTAAGAGTTACATTATAAATCAATCCACAAGGATCAGGGTCAGGAGAGCCAAGTCACTTAAAGGAAGGAGAACTGAAGGTCTTAACATATTTATGACAAGTACTTATGTGGATGACATGTAAATCGGTGTGCATCTGGCAATTCATAGCTAACATTTTAATTATTAATATACACCTGGATCCAACAACTTCACAGTTGTCCTAAAGAAATACTTAACAATGTATTAGTGGCTGGGTATGTTGGCTGTAATCCCAGCACTTTGGGAGGCCGAGGCAGGTGGATCACCTGAGGTCAGGAGTTCAAGACCAGCCTGGCTAACATGGTGAAACCTCGCCTCTACTAAAAATACAAAAATTAGCTGGGCATGGTGGCAGGCGCCTGTAATCCCAGCTACTCGGGAGGCTGAGGCAGGAGAATCGCTTGAACCCGGGAGGCAGAGGTTGCAGTGAGCCAAGATCGCACCATTGAACTCTAGCCTGGACAACAGAGTGAGACTCCGTCTCAAAAAAAAAAAAAAAGAATATATTAGTCATCATATAAATGTTGTTTATAGGGGAAAATAAAAAGTAACCCAAGTTCAATTATATTGGATAAAGAATTATTAATCATTGTTAACAATTATTTGCAATTGTCAACAATTGAAAAATAATATTGCAGAATAGTTAATGCAGTACCGAGCAATCAATTAGTCAGCATCTGCATTTCTATCCTCCATAGTTTCTTCAGACACTTTTAGGTAGGGAGAGAATAGACACCTTGATTGAAACTTACGGAGTCCCATGCTTTGTTTTGTTTTTTTTAAATCATTCTTAGGCAATTAAATACTATCAATCTCTGAAAGACAAACACAGTCGCAACTCAGTAAAATATCCAGTGCTGTGTAATTGTCAAAATAAAGGACTTGGTTTTAGGATAAATCTCTTTATCTGACTTGAATCTTCTGCAGGTGAAGTTCAAAAGAGCTGGTGGCTATCCGTTTCTCATTCCCTGCCATGCTTCCTCACCTTTCCCTCCATTTTGCTAAGTCTGACTTCCAGTGAGGAAAGAGAGAAGTGAGAAGCAGGAAAGCCACTTGACCAGTCTGCAGTGAGAGGCACCATGATCTCAGGCTGGCTGGAGATTAAAGCTCACCTTCTCTGGTAGCCCCTTTGGTGGCCTTTCTGGAGCCTCCTCCCCTGCACTGGACTCATTTGATTGCATTTCCTATGACTTGGTCATGCATTCTCTCCAATTAACCATTCCCCTTGCAGCGGTCCATAGGCAGAGACTGTGTCTGTCTGTCCCCAGGCCCCTCCAGAAAGTCCTCTTGAGCTGGACCAAAGATGATCTGGTCAGCCATCCTTGACCAGGGGCCACAGCTGTTCCTTAGGGCTGCCTTCCTTTGACCTGAGGGCAGGCAGAGTACACTGGCCCATCTAGCCCATTGTGGCTTTTAAGTTTTCCCAAGCAGAAGTCATGCATCAGTCTCCTGCAACTCCCCAGCTGACAACACAATTCCATCAAATTAATGCAATTCTGGGTGGCTCTCAGGCTTCTCTCTTCTGACTTGATGTGAAATGGAAAGCATCCTACTCCCATCTCTTTCTGGTTAGGATGGGGATTCTTACAGGCCTCTCACTGTTCTCTCCAGTGAAATCTTTCTTTTTTTTTTTTTTTGAGACGGACTCTCACTCTGTTACCCAGGCTGGAGCACAGTGGTGCCATCTCGGCTCACTGCAAGCTCTGTCTCCAGGGTTCACGCCATTCTCCTGCCTCAGCCTCCCGAGTAGCTGGGACTATAGGCACCCGCCACCACGCCCGGCTAAGTTTTTTGTATTTTCAGTAGAGACGGGGTTTCATTGTGTTAGCCAGGATGGTCTCGATCTCCTGACCTCGTGATCTGCCTGCCTCAGCCTCCCAAAGTGCTGGGATTACAGGCGTGAGCCACCGCACCCGGCCTCCAGTGAAATCTTTCTAAAACCTTTCCTAATCTCCAGTCTTGTTTCTTTGATATCCTTGATGTGAAGAAGGGGACTGACAAGTGTGAAACTGATTTTTAAATATCTCACTAGAAGGGTCTGCCATGTGGCCTTGTTTTCAACCCCCTTTGTCTTTCCCATGTATCGCATCTTTATGGCTCAGTAGAAACTTCATGCTCATATGGAGACGTGAATGGGCTTTTCCAATAACCCAGGCCCCTTTGATAATGAGAATGTCAAAGTTTTAGGGGAGACTTTGTATATAGAAAGGGAATTCCTGAAGTTTGTAGACAAGGTCTTTAGACGTCTGTATTGCTTTGCAAGAAAAAAAAAGGTTGAAGAACATGATTTCTGCTTATGAGAGGAAGAAAGCAAAAAGAGAATGGTAAGAGCAGAGCAAGCGCATGGCTGAGTAACGTGGCTCAAAGACCAAAGGATTCTAAGGAAAAGGATGTCAAACATTCAAGCGTAATGATCTTCACATCCTGAAATGCTGAGTTAAGTCAGCTGTGAATCCAAAAACTCCTTGTATGGTTGATTTGTAGTTACTATTGAATCAAGGAAAGAACCTGATTTCCACTTTTGGGTCTATGGCCAAAGCAAAATTAAGGAACAGCTGTAGGCTGAGGAGTGGAGAACAGAATTCACAAGACGCAGGAAGCCAGAGTCACAGGTGAGCATTAGAATGGGAGATCCTGGGAAGTTGCCAAAATCTGGAGGAGAACAATGAAATGAGGGACCAAGGCATCTTATCTAGACAATGAGGAGCAGAGAGACCCAGTTGACATCTGGCTTATACATGTAAGTATACATATTAAAATACCTGGATGATGTTAACCACAGTTATTGCTGGGTGCTGGGATTGCAAAAGATCATTATTTTCTTCTTCATGTTTTCTTTCTTTTTACTAATATATGTTGCTTAGATTTTCCACCACGTTGTTGTAATTAGTGGAGGGCGGGGTAGCAAATTTGAGTTTAAAGAAAAATAAGAGAAAAAAGTATGAATTAAAATCAAGAGAGTCAGGGAAACAGGAATCTATGGGTTCTGGCTTGGCAAGTCCCTCCTGGATGTAATGTGCTATCTTATGGGCTGCTCCATTTTTCAATACAAAATAATACATTTCTATTTTATTTATGCATGCATTGTTTTATTCATGCATCTGTCTCTAAGATTAGCCAGTAAACATCCACCTTGAATGCACTTACCAAACGTAAAAATAAAAATAAATAATACATTTCCAAAGTGTATTCCCGTGAAGAGCTAAGAAAGCTAAAGAGCAAAACTTAAATTGTAAGTGACTTTAATGTGAAAAATGCCCCCTTACAAAGCCTTTGGATAGCAAACCACCTTTCCCAAGGTACACCTTTCTGATGGTTAGAACATGGGAACATTTTGTCCTATGAAAAGATACAAGTCCTTCTAGGCTGCTGGGCCTCCCTGAAACATCAGTCCTTCAAAATCATTTGTGGTTCACTGTTCTCGCTGAATGCAGTAACCATGCAGATAGGGTCTTTCCTGAGCTTGTCCTTCCCAGCACACCCCTCACTCCTACTTCCACACACACATACATGCAACACTCAATTCAGGCATTTTGTGTGGTGAACGCTTGGCACTGAAGGAAGGAAGTAAGAAAAATATTTGGGGGATATATGTTAATGGTCTATTGAGTTAAAACAGACAAATCTAGAAATAAAATCACTCAGATGTGCTTGCCCACACTGTAGGAAGAGTCCACACTGGGTCTGCTCATTGTCTGAAGGGCTCTACCAGAACCTCCTATAGAAAGTTTCATTACCTCAATGCAGTTGACTACAAATAGCCTGATGCCCGTTACCATTTGAAGGGTAGAAAACTGAAACATTGATTCATTTCTACCTCATTCTACAAGCCAAGGTAATATGAAGAATCATCTGGGAAGCCCTTAAAAATACAGAATGTAGGGCTATACTTTCAAAGATTAGAATTTAGGGCTCTACTTTCAAAGATTCTGGTGTACAGAGTCTGGAGTAGGGCCTGGGAATCCTACATTTTAAAAATATGACGGCAGGTAATGATCCGCCAAATTTGAAAACCTCTGCTCATGACCACTTAAAGCAACAGCCTGTTCTAATTTATTTCACCCAATTAATTGCTTAAAGTTAACATGTGTACAAATAACACACATATATATATTATCATCATCATCACCACCGTCAACTAACCAATGAAAAGTAAATACCAAGTGTCCCCATTCACTCTACTGTGAATTACTCCATCTATTTCCTAAAATGAAGCCTCTTCTTCGATCTCTGCTTCTGCTCCACCATTCCTCTTTTCAGTTCTGACTCTTCCTATGACCACTGGACCATGGAGAGGGAAAGTTACCTCTTTGTCAGTGATTCACACCAATTATCTCCTGCCTATAATTATATCTCATCTCTAATTCAAAAGTTCTGCCTGCAATCATACTTTTCTTTATGTTTTAAAAAGATCATAATTCTCAGGTAATTTATTGGAACATGAATGGTTTTCCAGGGTATGCCAGCCATGTGTCATCCATATGCTGCATGCTTTTATTTGATCATTCTCAATTTCCCCAGCCTATTCATCTAGATACTGTAAATGCTATGTCAGGCCCCTCATGAATTATGTTTGCCATATTCCTCAATCTATTGGTAAAATAAATCTAATAACAACAAACAAAAAGGGAGAAATTTGGGAAGTGGAGTAAATTTTTTCTTAGGGATCTTATGTTGCTTCATTGTGCTCCCAAGTTTTCTTTTCCTTGTTTAAAAACCATCCCCTTAGTAATTGAGACTGACGACTTGGCTCATTGTTGAATTTGACACCTCTTCTGAGAAAGAGCATTGGTGATCCGCAGCTCCAGGCTGACCCTCACATCCCCAAGTCCTCAGCTGGGACTCAACACGAGGGACTGCGAGTCTTTTACCCTTCTTAGATCTTGCTCAATATTTCTCATGTTCTTTCCAGTAAGAAAATTGTGCTATTTGATTATAATAGGCCCCTTCTCACTTTTTAAATCCAGTGTGAAATTGGAGAAGGAGGAGGTGGTGAATAAATTAATAAAAATATCTAACTTTGAGGTTTCTTTTTTTAAGTAACTAATACCTGTCATGATCAGACTTTTATGAAGTAGTCACTGAAAGTTTCATGGGAATGATTGTCATACTGAATCAGTCCATTCACCACAGACACACACAGCCACACATACACGCATATATACAACATTCTCATGTAAAACATTTTGAAATAGATTCACATGAAGTTGCAAAGATAGTGCAGAGGTCTCACATACCCTCACCCACTCCACCTCAGTGGTTTCATCATCTGTAACTATAGCGCAATATCAAAAGAAGAAAATGAGCATTGGTACTTTGTGTGACACACTATTTTAAGAATCTTATTATCTGTTTCTCCAGCCAAAGCCTCCTTCTCAGAAGCCATAATAGACTCACTGTCACCAAATTAAGTCAAAATTATCCCTATGTGTGAACCCAGGTTTGTGGGTTCAGTCCAATTGTTTTGGTTTATCTTTGAATTGGGTTATGGTTCCCCAAATTGAAAATTGACATCATCGAACTAATTTCATATAATATCTACTCCAGTTATCTGCATGTTGGACCTGAAATATTGTCATGAGAGATTAGGGAGAGAAATATATTAGTGAAAAAAATCAAAAGTCAATGTTTCTTTTCTTTAAAAAAAAAAAAGAAAGAAAGAAAGAAAAGCAACTAAAATGTGTCCTGATCAAAACTTTATGAGGTAACCTCTTGGAATGTGTCACAATATTTGCCCTCCTAAATCAGCCCATTCACTACAGCCACATGCACACACCCACAAAATGCATATACAGGCATAGATAATACACACTTAGATGCACGCACACAGACACCTGCGCACTTATGCACATTCAAACGAACCCACGGACACCACTTTTTTGTTACTATATTTTCGTCTATGTCCTCAGCCAATGCTCCTCCTCAGGAGTCAGAACTGACTCACTGGCTGTCAATGACTCCAACATCAAGACACAACTGTCCCCTTCTTTGGACCTGGGCTGGTGAGTTCAGCCAAATTGTTTTTTGTTCGTCTGTGAATGGGGTTATGGATCCCAAGAGAAGGAACTGAAATCATCAAACTAATTTTACATGATGTACTAAGAAGAACGCGGTACCAAATGAAAGAGCTCAGTGATTAGTTTACCAAGCCATCCAGATCTATGTAAATGACCTGTGATAAATGACTGGTCAGCCAAAGGAACAGAAATCATGTATTATTTCCGCAGTTTGAAGTGAAATGCCATTTGTATTTATCATTGTTCTGAACCAGCACAGCAGAGTGTGTGGGACAAAACTTTCTGCAAACACATAAGTGGACTTCTTATTTAAAAAATTGTATATGCATATATAATTAATGAAATACATATATATATATATATATATATATATTTAAATCAGAGTTTCCTCACTTGGATTATTAAAGGTGACTTGCAGATGGTGCTGTGCTGGCAACCATGTAATTCACTTACACAGAAATTTACTAGAGTTCTGAATGTGGAAATATTTAAACAAGGTCAAAATATTTTGCTTTTCATTTAGAATTTTCATCATAGATTCTGAGATTCAAAAAATACACTCATAGCATTATCACCATAATTTTCTGATTTTTGCATTCTTCTGCTTCATTTTAATTTTTTTTTTTAGTTTCTCTGGATAAAACATTAGTGTAATTAAATGTGTGGGTGGCAGTCTCTTCACCTAAATGTCCATGAATCTTAGGGCAGCACTGTCTAGAGAGAATTGAAGTAATCACAATATAAATGAGGCACTTGGATCCACTAATGTTTTTTATAAGCCAAGATTACCTAATGAATTCACCATGGAGGCCTCAGATAGCTACCATTGATCATTTTTTGAGCACTTGCTATGTGCAAGTATGGTGCTGACTGCTTTAGGTAACATAGTCTCTTTGATCATGACAAGTTTCCATGCAGCTGCTATTATTGTTCCTATTTTACAGGTTAAGAAACTTCAGTTCCTAGAGACTGAGTAGCTTGACCAGGATCACAGAGCAGGCTGGGTTGAAACTCAGACCCACCAGACACTGAACCACTGCGTTTAGCCATTATAGTTCACGGCTCTTCACAGAGGTTAAATGCTGCAAAGAAAGGCAGTGAGCTTGAGCTGTGATGGAAAAGAAGCACAGGCGAGCGTGAGCTAATCAAGCCTGGAGACTATTGAGGGGTATAAGCAAAGACACAGGGGGAGGGAGAGTTCACCGGAACTAATGAGGGAGGGTCTACAGGCCCTGGGAAAAGGCTGGTTCCGGGAAATTTCCACACTTGAGAAACTGGGGAATCATTATTTTTCCAGCTGAATGGCAAATGATTCCAGTTCAAACTGTCTCCATTTGGCTTCCACAGTTATTGGTTTAGCTGGGGCTGCACTCGAGAAAGATGCAAGTGTGGAATATGAAGTGAAACAGAGAAAGAACGTAAAACACCACCGATGAAGGGAACTGGGCGTGATTGAGGGAAAAGACAGTAGCTCTAAAGCCACAGTGTAAAGAAAAAAACAAGCTGATTCGGGGTTGGAACAGCAGGAATTTTCCCACCAGTGCATTCCCAGTGGCATCTATCTGTATACAAAAATGTATACCTGTGAATCAAGAGTTTCTATGGTTGAATATATGTGGGTAGGTCTGTAGTAATTTGTATAACCTATCCAGTTCCATTGGGAGGGAGGTGGGATGATTTACACTGTTTTCTGTCCTGTGGGATTATAATTCTCTAACTTTTTCTCACCTTGAGTTTTATTTTATTTAGTTTGCTCCAAACTCTAACACAGTGCTTCTCAAACTTTAGTTACTTATGAAACACTTGGGAAATATTGTTAAATCAGATTCTTATTTAGTAAGTCTGGGGTATGGTCTGAGTTTCTGCATTTCTAACAAGCTCCCCTAGAGGTTGGGGGATACCCCAGTTGGGGTACCACACTTTGAATAGTGGGGGCTCTAAGAAATAAATCATACTAGCAGAAGAGACAAAGATTATTACTTTCTCCCAATAAAGCAGCATCTGTGTCCACCTTCTCACTTCCCTTTTGTCTTCTACTATCTTTTCTGCATGTTCTAATTTGTGGCTGAGGCTAAAGAAAGGATGTACAGTAGGTACACACGAAACCCCAGGTTTGTACAGCTCCCCTCTTCTGAGTGCCTGCTTGTTCTTCTATCCGCCTCCCTCTGCCTGATCTCATCTGGATGGCTGGACTTCCTTCCTCTCCAGAGGGAATTCCACTGAAACAGCTGCTTCCTCCTCATGCGTGTCAACCAGTGTTCTTATAGAACTGTCATAATCTAGAGCTTGGAATCGAGCATGAGAAATCAGCAGGTCCAGGCTTCTGCCCTCAGTAAGTGAATGTCCAAACCCTTCAAAGGGAAAGATATGCCTATTTTCCTCACCCAAACCACCATCATTTCTTTTTGTTTGTTTGTTTGTTTTTTAACCATTCATATTTTCAAACATCAGCTGTGGGCCTGGCTCAGTTTGAGACTCAGTCATCAAGACCATATTTGGATTAATTTCGTTCCAGGTCAAACATTCCAATTTAATACATTTATCCCATGATTTCCTAATGCTATCAAATGACACATCGTTTTATTTTTTTTCTTTGTTTTTCTCTTTCAACTAATTTATTTAATGGGTCCAAAATGGGTGATTACAGCACAAAAACATGTGGTATCCTAATTGGATTTTGAAAATGTGTAAACATGGCCCTCCGGTGGCTTGCTATTACCATCTGGACCAAATATAAACTTCTGACCATTGCCTTCAAACTCTCCTTCACCCAGCACCACCCTATGGCCACTCTCATCTGTGACTTCTCCTCTCCAAGTTCCCTCTGTTCCAGCCAGACTGTGCTTCTTGTTTTTCAGAACCAGTTTCTCAATTTCCGCTTCAAGGCCTCTGCCTGAACTGGTCTACAGAGAAGGAACAAGTTCCTACCTTCCATTCTCTATGCCTTTCAGAAGGCTTCTCAGATTTCACTCCTAGAAATGTTTCCCAAACTAATCCTATCCATTTTTTTACTCCACTATGATCCCTACTTCACCTCAATGTCTGCAATTATTTGGGCAAAGCTTGTGTTTTACTCGTGTCTATCTACGTGGCTCATTGAGTCATTAACAGTAACAGTAGCAGTGGTTCCTACGTGTTGGTATCTAAGCCAGGTTCTGGGGCTCCACTGTGAACAAGCAATCAATGTACTTAATATCACAGTTTACATTCAGGTTTGGGAAGGTGGATAATGAGCAATAAATGAACAAACAAAAATTTCAGATGGTGAAAAAGTTCTGCTGGGTGGTGTGAGGTTAGAGGGCAGGGAGCAAGCTTCCTCTTGATCTGAACTCTCCATCTCTCTGAATTCACTTTACAAAATAGTACACATCCAGCGCAAACACATGTAGGCTCACTTGGTTGAGATGCACACATCAAAGTTTGCATGTGAATACAGCACATATCTCAAGGGAAGTTTCTTTGTGAGGCCAGTCATGCCTGGGGAAATATCATCGAAGAGAGTGATCACTGATTTCATTGATGAGAAGGTACTTTTCTGCAGTCTTCAGTATAGCCCAGAGTTTCTCAAACTTAACACATCTGGGGTACTTGTTAAAAGTCAGACCACATAATGAAAACATTGTACTATAGCTTTTAAGGGACAAGAATCAGGACACTGAGATGGATGAATGGGTGGGTGGATGGAAGGAAGGATGGATAGTGGATGGAAGGACGGATGGATGGTGGATGGAAGGAAGGATGGATGGTGGATGGAAGGAAGGGTGGATGGTGGATGGAAGGAAGGATGGATGGTAGATGGAAGAAAGGATGGATGGTGGATGGAAGGAAGGATGGATGGTGGATGGAAGGAAGGATGGATGGATGGTGGATGGAAGGAAGGAAGGATGGTGGATGGATACATAGATGGACCCAGTTACCCAGTGCTCTAAGTTAGCAACCAAATTCACAAGAAGATTCATGGCTTTACCTGTCCCGTGGCACTAGGCCTATGATTTGGGAACCTAAACTCAGTTCAGTCTCCTTCCTCTAATTTTTATGAAGAAACATTTTATTCATTGAGCCCTGGGTATAAAAATCATTTTGAGAATTAATAATTAACATAGATTCATAGACTGTGAAATCGAATCTTTCATTCCATTGCCCATCATTTAACATATAAGTTGCTTTTTTTTTTTTTTTTTTAGAGAGAGACATTGTCACCCAGGCAGAAGTGCAGTGGCACTGTCATGGCTCACTATAACCTTAAACTCCTGGGCTCAAGCCATTCTCTCACCTCAGCTTTCCAAAGCTCTGGGATTAAGGCATGATCCACCATACCCGGCTAAATTGCATTCTTTAGAACTGCATTTTCCCCAAAATAAGTCACTTTTAAGCCATGTCCCTTTTTTGCTCATACCACAGGACATTTAATACTACTGGAAACAGAGATACCATCATATTCTCGCAAGACCCAACAAGAAGCCACCATGCATCGGGACCAGACACCATCCCTTCGGGTGGGACCAGATACCATCCCTTCGGGTGACCACGAGGCAGCAGGAGGGACACACTGCCAACAAGCACCACTGCATCCTGCCAGGTCCTCCCCAGTCAAGAGAAGAGGGCAGGAGAGGTGTGCATGAAACAGACCCAGGGAAGGGCGCATTTGCCCTCCAGCAGCGTCATTTATAGTGACTGGGGGGACTTGCAATACAGGGAAACTGGCATCTCACTCCCCACCGAGAGGCCTCCCAAGCTTCCAGAGCTGGCAGACTCAAGATGTCTCCATGGAAGATGTGGAGCCTTGAGGTGCGATACAGGCAGAGAGGAACACGCAAGCTGTGGCCTGCTTTCAGTCTAGGAATTTCCCAAGGCATGAGTGTTGACTTGGAGGGACTGTGGTAGCAATTCCCGGGGAAAGAGAGGGTGATCCCCAACCCACCTAGTTTTCTTCTGTGCTGAGAGGACATGAAATCAGACTGTGACCTTTCATTGGCCCCACTAAAAGAAACCCGGATGTGAGAGGAGGTGCTGGAGCCAGGAGGTTCCTCCAGGCTCCACCGAGTGGAGACCTGAGATGCCCTCCCAGGGCTGATGGCAGACAAGGCTGCGTTCAGGAGCGTGGGGTGGAAGAAAGCTTAAAAACACATACAGCACTTGCATGGAAACTCCTAGAGGAAAATGGAACCAGGAAGAATCAGAACAGTGCCCAGGGGCGCCTCCCTCCCACAGGCAAGTGGCCATTTAAGAAAGGATTTCTGTGCATCCCCCAGCCCTCCTTCAGGCTCCCCAGAAAAGCTGGGTCTACGGGAGGGGGAGGATAGCATTGCTCCACAGCCAGATTTTGCCCCCCACCCTCTTTCTAAGCAGCCAGAGTCACAGCTCTAGCTTTAAATTGGATATGCAATTAAGGGTTTAAATTAAGCCACACTAAGTTTTAATTACCAAATGTGACCAGGAAGTTATGGAATACACCCAAGATTTTGTTAAGGGAAGAGAAAACTGTGGATTCTACATAGCACAATTGAACACAACGATTTAAAAAAAATACATAAGACCATTTAATTCTTTTTTTTTTTTTTTTTTTTGGATTTCAGTTGTAATTCCTTCAAGATTCCATTGTCATAGAAGCTTTTACTTAAAGCAAATTCCATGCTTTCATGGTCAAATAATCCAAGAATGTTAATTTCCCCTTTCTTTTTCTTGTTTTTTGCATATTTGTGGGATTGCATAGTGTAGTTTCACTCATTGATTATCCCACATTAAATCTTTCACCAAAAGTTCAAAGTCAAGTAAGTATTTGATCACTTGCAAGGGAATCTATCTGGCATTGGTGACTAGGTCTCCAGAGCAGAGAAATTAGATGAAGTGCCAAAGCATTGCATCCGGTTCCCTGGGTGATATTCTAAGGCGTGCACACAGCAGGAACAATACTCTTGGCCAGAGTCAGAGAGGAAGTCATGAGCTCCCGTGCTGAGTATATTCTTGGGTCTCCCCTTGTTTACATTTTGCCACTCTTGTATATCCCTAGCTTTACTCTGGATTAAGGAGGCCTCGACTTGTTGTAAAATGCTTTTGGAAAAGCCTGTTCAGTGAGGGCCATCTCACTTGATCAAACAGGATCATGCAGACCAATCAGTAGTGTAATATTAAGTAGTCAGGGTGCCACTTGAGAAAGGAGACCCATCCTTTGTTTTTGAATGATGACTCTTCTATCAAAATCTGTGTTTTATTGTCATCAAAGTTAAAATGGAAATAAAATATATTTTTAAAATAAAATAGGATTTGTTTCCACTCAATTTAAAAAAAAAACTGAATCTCTAAGCTTAAGATTTTTCCATATTAATAAAATGAAAATTTTTTCCAGAAACCTCTCTGAGGCCCTTCTTCTTTAAATTTATGTCAGCTTCATAACCAACTAACAAAGATATATGTTGTGATAGAGCCCATCACTTCAGTGGATAATCATGTAACTTACAGAAATCATTTCACAATCTTCAGATAGTTATTCTTCAATCTGCCAAGGTATTCAATCAATAAATGCCATTCTATGTAATCATTGCAATGACTGCCAAATGATGCAATCTTAAAATGCGGAAGAAAAAAAGTCAAGAAGGAGAAGGGTGAGTATCCAAGACAGAACCAAGTATTTTACAACAGGCCTTTCAGGTAGACTGGCTGAATTCCATATAAGCTCATTCATATCTGGAAGTCTTTATCGTTGTCTTAAGCCTGGAAATCAATGACCACCATCCCCTTGAGAGCCTGAAACCTGAAACAAGCATATTTCTTTAAGCACCTTTGCAAAAGTACTTAATTTTCCATGAGAACTCACTGTCTTGACCTGGCTCCTGGAATTCAAGGGAAGGGTGGAAAGTCAAGTCCAATAAATGAATAACTTTCAGGAACTTCAAACTTCATTATTTCTGATGGCAACCCAAAGCTTTTTCCATTATAAAAAAAAGGGCAAGGTATTTTGCACTCAAGTAGCTCTTTCAAAGAGGAGAATGAGAGCATGCAGCCCTCTTTACTCTGGTGAGAGGCTCACATTCTATATCTTGTTGGCTCAGAGTGCCTTTGTTTGGAGTCCAGCCCCTGGTTGAGGGTCAGCTAATGAAAGAGGAAATGAGGTTCAAATTCTTTAATTAGTTTTGTCAGTGATTCTCTATGGTTGGCAATAAAAGCAATACTTTCTGGGAGATCAGGTTCTCTTGCTGAAACTTTGGATAGGATAAAGCGCTTGAAAGGCCAAGATCATTTTCAGCCCATTGTTACAGCCTGTCTCTGAACTGGGCTTTTTACTGAAAAGCTTTGGAGCCAAAATTTTTATGTCATCTCCACAGTCATGTCTCACAGACATCAATAAGCATGTCTCTTTCAGATATTTATCAATACATCTTAGGAGGGCTTCACAAAACAGTATATTCTGCAAGCCAACTGGGAGAAAAACAAGTTTTGTTTGGGAATGTTGTGAATGAACGTTGCAGTCTGGGATACACATTTCCTGGAATGCTCGGAGGTCAAGTTCCCCAAAATGGGAGTACTTACACAAGGTTGAGGGCTAGTCACCAAGGATGGGGAAACTGGCTTAGAAGTCAGTATTGGGGGTGAGGGAAATCAGCATAGAAGCATCTTTGGAATGACCATGCCCTTTCCTAACAGCAAGTTCTATGCCCTGATCTTCACATAGGTCCTTATAAGGCTGACCACATAGCCTGATATAAAGGCAACAAACCTAAACATAGGTAACCTCATTGATAACAGTCATGTACCCACATGGAAATTCTTCCCACAGCACAGAGTAAAAAGAGGATTCCAGTGCTACCTCAAAATGGGACATTGCAAACTTGAACAAAACCCACAAAGGAGAAGTTGCCATGTCTTTCCAGCTTTTGGAACAGCTGGAGCTTGTCTGAAAGAAACCACACCCTGGACCTCCTCAGTGAGTCATGGCCCTTCTCCTTCCTTGGGGAATACCCGCATTTCTTCCTGATGGAGAAGACTTTATATGGAGACACCTCTTTTATCCCTCATGGGTGGGGGGATGGGGCAGGAAGAAAGTTTCCAATCTAATATTAACATTCAATTTCAGAAAAGTGTTTCTTGGGCAGCCTGACTTGCTTCGATAGGTCTGTATCAAACACAGAGCATACCTTCAGCTGAGGGGGAAACACTGGCTTTCTAAAGGGTACTAAATCTCCTCACTCAAACTTTACTGTCCGGGAAAATTAAAAAAATAATTCCTTATGAAAATCATCTCTCTGATTCTAGGCACCAGATGACTCTGAAAGTCATGTTAGGCGCACATCACATGCACCCAGGAGAGAAACTCAAGCAAAGACAGCAAACAATGGCAAAGAGACAGCATAGGAAGTACGCAGTTGCTTGCCATTTTTTGGGCAAATGCTCATCAATGTTTACTTTTTCCATTGCAGATATGTATTTTGTGTGATTCTTCAGGGCCAAGTCCACCGATGTCACAATAAACATATTGTCTCTAAGTTCCATTAACTTCCTGCCATATCTTGGGAGCTTTCTTCCCAGGGGAAGGGATCAGTTACTTGTTTCAATGAGAAGAATATTGAGATGCCAGTTATTTTTTTTTTTCCACAAGGGTAATGTATTATACCCATAATTTGTAGAATATTTTACTGTACAGTAACTTTTCTATGTGATTATTTGGTTCTTAATTCAAAACACTGGGTACATGTTTTCAAACAGCAGGGAGGACAGGAGTTGCAACTTACTGATGTCCCTGATAGCTCTTGTCTTCCATAGCCTGCCCAGTGGGCATCTTGTTAGAGCCATAGCAGTTCCTCTCTGAACCTGGTGGTATTTGTGATTGTGCCCATGATGTCCCATTGCAGATGTCTGCATATGATGCTGGCCTCTTGGCTGCAACAATGTGTCTCCCAGTGCTCCAGTTCTGCAGCAGTGTTTGAAATTTTCGTGCTGGGTCTTTTAAATTATTTCTTCTGCCCACCCTGCTTAGGATTGCTCAAAAAATAGCAAATAACAACAATACGCCTGCCTTCACTTTGCCAAAAGAAATGCCTGGGACTTTTCAGAAGCCACATTCAATTTATGAATAAATGAAATGGATCTTCTCGACCAACCATGACAATAAGCACTGGCCTACATATTCAGGGCCTGAAAGAAGTTGAGGCAATGGGCCTAATGAGAAGCAGTCAGCGAATCTAATGAGAATCAGACAGAAGGCCTAATGAGACATTTAACATGCTCTGCCTCTCCCTCCTCTTTTGTTCAGTTTTCATGGGAATCTGTGTTTGGGGAGCTCAGTTGCACTGGCTACAAGCAGATACATATGTCCTTAGTGGGGCGATCCAGGAAGCAATAGAAAGATGCCTAGGGATGGGGAGGGTGGATCTTGGAAAATGTACCCCAAGGCCATGATAATGTGGTGGGATGGATTTTTATTTTAACTGTATCTATACCTTTTCCAGAATATCGTAGAGCCATACAGCTATGGATGATGATACAATAAACAGGCAAGAGATTTCAATCGCATTATATCACTGCTCCTAGGAAAAGAGAGATAAGAAAAGCATGCTTTTCTGTTTCTGACCTTTGTCATTCAGAGAGAACCTCCTGGAATGTAAGTGTTGCACAAAGAAGGATACCTGGGATTGTCTCCGGATGAGGCAGCATTGCTTGGAACACTAGGTGTTTTCATTTGTTGATCTTGGATGGGGTTGGCAGCTAGAGAGAGATAGCTATCAAATTATAGGGTGGGCTGGGCTGAAGTCTCCATTACCTGTGCTGGAGGCAGGAAAAGGAAATAGAGAGACATATGCCCATGCCACCGTTAGAAATTTTGTCTGATGCATGGATTTAACAGTTTGGGAGTATAGCTTGGTTTTGAGAAAGTAGGCAAGATTTCTGTTTTATTTAGCTTGCAAGCACAGGAAATTTGCATTGGCCCTTGTCGCCTGCCTATCTAATTAACAGAGTCTCTTTGGATATACATGCTCTTTGTTTTATTTGCTTACCCAAATATATGCTTTAAATGCAACCCTATCCCTCTCTCTATCCATCTGTTTATTTATTTATGACAATTCTTCTTTTGGTTGTCAAGGTCCAGCTTCTGCTCGCCCACCTGTATCTGAGTTAAATCTGAAGGTAAATGGAACAAGCTTGCTCTTTGGTGGCGCCACCTAGTGGTCTCCCATGGCAACACAGTTCTCAGCAATCATAAATGACTAAGGACTTAGATGTCAGAATATTACGTAGGTTGGTGGGAGAAGTACAGAAAAGAAACGCACCGACATTTATTAAGTTCCAGGTGCTAAGCTCAGAATTTCACGGATTTCATCTTTCTTAAACTTTATAAAAACTCTATGTGGTAGATAATATCATTTCCTAATTATTGCTATTCATAAATAGCAGTATTTATGAATGCCCATAGGAGGCATTTTCATTGAATGCCTCCTATGGGCAGGGCACTGTGCTAGATGCTTTATATACCATTGACTCATCTGTCCTAGTAACAGCCCATAAGGCGTGAATTATGTGGTCTTTTGAGTCTAATTGCCAGGATCTGCAACAGGCCCCAGCCCTTTCAAGCTGTCCCTATTTCATTTTCCTCACCTATAATAATAGCACATACATCATAAAGCAGTTGTAAGAAACAAATAAGACTTCTAAAGTGCTTCAGAAAGTGTCTGACACCTAATAAGCATTAAATACATGCCAGCTAGTATTATCATTCATAATAGCGGCCAAGACTTTTGCCCCAGTGCAGCTAAACATTGCTGGACAAAAACCCAACTATGCTGACTGGTCTTCTAAATTTCATATTGTTAAATCTAAAATGGACACTCAATCATGCCAGGCAGCCCTCCTTGGGTTTCCCTTTCCTCTTCATGTTTAGGCTCTCCCAAGCAACGATTTCTCACCCTTCTGTCCTATCTTCTACATCCTTGCAACTCTCACCCTCGGCTGATGGCTGTGCCTCATTGCTGAGAAAGTAAGCAATCAGCCAGGAGCTTTTTCACCTCTTCTCCACCATATTTACTGACCTGCTTGTTCTCTGTCCTCTATCTCTTGATAAAGGATAAAGTTCGCATTCTCCACCGGGCACAGTGGTTCATGCCTGTAATCCCAGCACTTTGGGAGGCCAAGGCAGGCAGATCACTTGAGGTTGGGCGTTTGAGACCAGCCTGAACAATGTGGCAAAACCCCATCTGTACTAATAATACAAAAATTAGCCAAGCATAATGGTGTGTGCCTGTAGTCCCAGCTACTCAGGAGGCTGAGGCAGGAGAATCGCTTGCATCCAAGAGGCAGAGGTTATAGTGAGCCGAGATTATACCACCGCACTCCAGCCTTGGCAACAAAGCAAGACTCTCAAAATAAACAAACAAAAAAAAGTTCGCAGTCTAATGAGAAGGTGACTGTTCCAATTTTGCACCCAGCTCTCATGCACTCTTGTCTTTTCAAAGACTTGGCTCCTGCCTTGGCTAAATCATCAGATTCTTTCTGTATACTGTATTCCTGCTGTCAGCAGACAAACATGCAACTTTAAATGATTCTTGCCTGGAGGCTACATCCCTGTTAGGTCCTAAATGTTTGTGTCCTCCGAAAATGTATACATTTAAATCCTCACCACCAATGTGATGGTATTAGAAGATGGAGTTGTTAGGAAGTAATTGTCATGAGGGTGGAGCCCTTATGCATCAGATTAGTGCCCTTATAAAGAAAAAGACCCCAGAGATCTCTCTCACCCTAGTAACAGCAGTTGAAGATACAAAAGAAACCCACAGTCTGCAGGGCCCTCACCAGAACTGGACCATGCCAGCATCCTGATGTTGGACTTTCAGACTCCAAAACTATGATAAATCAGTTTCTACTGTTTATAAGCCACCATCTATGGTAGCTTATTCTAGCAGCCTGAATTCAGACATTCCCTCCAGTTAACATCCCATTCTCAGTCCCCATTTTTCTTAGTAGACTCTTTCTTATTCTTCCCACAACTCATTCCAACAAGACTTCTATTCCCCCTATATCTCTAGTCACCAAGAACGCTTATGCCACCAAATCCATAGTGTCCTCTCTCTTCACTTTATATCTCAGCAGGATGTTATACATCTTTGTGTGACACTCCTTCTCTGAGTTTCTGTGACACCACACTCCCCACTCATCTACCCTCCTCTAATTGACCTTAAATGTTGAAGTGCCACCTCAGAGCTTCAGCCAACGCTCTTCTCCTCTATCAGCATCTTTAACTGAGTAATGTTTTCAGACTCATCATGTTAAATATCATTTTTATATAAACATTGAAAGTAGATATCCCCAGCCCTGATCCCTCCCTGAAACTCCAAATTCAGAGACCACTCCCGACTTGTCTGTCATCTCCACATGGATATATGGCTGATAACTGAAACTGCCACAGCAAGAATTTTGATGCCACTCTTAAACATGTTTCTTTTCCAGTTTTTTAATTTTTTCTTAGTAAGTAGCATGACTATATACCTAGTTGGTCAAATGCAAAGCCAAGGAGCCAAAAACCTAAGAGTTATCCCTTGATGACTTCCTTAACCTTAAAAATATGTTGTGCCTCTGTCTATGCCTCTCCATATGCACATTTTCCCACTAGCAAGGGCCCCATCTTTTCTCCGGTCCATGAAATATCTCCTCACTTATCATCCTGATTTCTTCCAACACATCTACAAGCTATTCTCCATACAGCAGCTGGAAACATTATTTGCAAATATAAATCAGATCACACCACTACCCTCCTTTAAATCCATCCAATGGCTTCCTTTCACATTGTAATTAAATCCAAATTTCTCACTCTGGCTTACAAAACACAATATAGCATCTTTAAGAAAAATGATAATGATGCTTTTTCTTCATTTTGAGAGTTCTCCAGTATCTTTCCACCAAATTCCTTACAAAAAAAAAAAACAACTAAGTTAGGCAGAGTCTAACTTAGTTGCTTACAATTGAAGAACTGTAATTACATAGCCTTGGACTAGAATTCATTTAATGTCTGGCTCTTTGTAGGAAAACATTTGGGATATGGATAAATTATGGACGTATCAACCAGATTGCAAACTCCTACCATCCAAGAC
Organism: Homo sapiens; assembly: GCF_000001405.40. NCBI lineage: Eukaryota > Metazoa > Chordata > Mammalia > Primates > Hominidae > Homo > Homo sapiens. Next base: position 41,000,317 of record NC_000007.14, on the reverse strand, counting down.
CAATTTAAGAATGTGTGTGTGCGTGTGTGTGTGTCCGTGCGTGTGTGTGTGCATGTGCATGCCTGTTTGCACATGTGTTCATGCATCTGTATGTCCATGCGTGTGTGTGTATGTGTGTAAGTATAATGAGTAATGCATGCACACACACAAACATAATGATGCTTAATAAGAACTTGTTGAGTGCTTTGAATTTGAATTACAATTGCTCATGAAATCTGCCTTCTCCCAAATCTCAAAAACAAAACAAAACAAAATAAAACACTCCCATCTTGTTCTGGAAAGGAAAAGAGCTGGCAAAGTCAAGGCCTGTTCAATGGGACTGTTGGATGGGGCCAACTTACCCATGAAGCACTGTGCTTGGGGCCCATGGTACTTTTAGGGACCCATGAAAATGTTTTAAGTTTCCTTTAAAGTCAAAAGAAAAAATTGATATAGTAACAAATATATAATAATAAATTCAGCTTGAATTTTTATTTATCTTTATGCCAAAGCAGTTGTCAAATGTAATTGTTAAATTTTTTAATGGAGGAAGGATGAAGGAAGCAGATGTTCTGGAAAGGTAAAAGTCCCACCATGATCCTGCTACTGGAGGCCTTGCTCTCTCCAGGAAAGTTTCGGGTAGCGGACTTTAGAATTTCTGGCCCCACTGGAATCTCATTGATTGGGGAGTGGGCTGTTACCCAGAAGAAATGATATAAGGAAGCAAAAGTAGCAGCATTCTACTACATTTATCCTGTTTTTGTTTAACACTTGTATAGTGTTATAAGTACATGCGAGGCACTATTTTACTTGCTTTGCAAACACGAAGTCATATAATCTACAGTCTCCTAATGAATAGGAAGTACGTCTCTAACACCCTGGCTTACTCTCTGTTGGCCTCTTTCTCAAGGTGGATGTTATTTAAGGATCAACAGAAATTCAAGCATAGAAATTGTGAATTTGTCCATCGATGTACCAGGCATGAAAGAATTGAAAGACTGATTTTTTTTTAAGTTTTAGTCCCAAGGCTGATGTTTGTCAAGTCTTTTCATCTCCTCAGTGATGGTTGGTCTTGCTTCAGGAAGACAAGAAGAATACTTTAAAATGAGAAAAAAAAAAAGCTGTGCATAATGGAAGAGCCTGTCCTTCAGGCAGGGCCCTCAATCTACAGACGTCCTCTCACCTAAATTTATGAAGATCGATCTCCAGGCTTTCCTAAGTAAGACATAAAGTTCAAAGTGTGTCACTTCGGCAGCTCACAGTACAGCAGTCTCTGTTGTGCCACACTGCATTCCACAGAGACAGGTGTATAACATGTTATATTTGCATTGGGTATATATTTACACATGTATGTGTACCACTGCTTAAATTACCTGTTACAGAATCATAAATGTGATCCCTTTGCAGTGTTTTCTTTTTCTCTTTTCAACACATTTTCTGCATAGTGAAATCCCAAGTTGAAGAATCACTGGAAGCTATTCTCAAGAGAGATCACCTAAGCTTTTGTAAAGTCCACAGTCATTAGGGGCGCAGTGAAAAGGAACTTGCTTTGGCTGGGAAGACAGAGTCAGGGGTGTCACCACCAATGAGGAGAAGCTCATTGTAGAGCAACCTTTCCTAATTCTGGATGCTCAAAATATCCCTTGGGGGCTTTCTAGAAGACACCAATACTCTAGGCTTTACCTAGGCTGATTAAATCAGAACCTTTGAGATTGTACCTGGGCATCAGCTAAAAGCTCCCTAGTTGATGTAACAATAAGCCAGCACTCAGAAAAGATACTAATTTATGACTGCTGGGCACAAGAGCTACTAAATTTTCCCAAATAAGACAAACCTTTGTAGCTACAAAGTGCCATAGGACTACAACATTTTTCATGTCATCCTTGTTCCTCTGGCTTTATTCTGGAGCAGTTTTTTAATGTAGTAGTGATTATGTACTCAGTTCAACACACCTAGCTCCTTTTTTTTTTTCAGAGTCTTACTCTGTCGCCCAAGCTGGAGTGCAGTGGTGCAATCTCGGCTCACTGCAACCTCCACCTCCCAGGTTCAAGTGATCCTCCAGCCTCAGCCTCCTGAGTAGCTGGGACCACAGGCATGTGCCACCATGCCAGGCTAATTTATTTTTGTATTTTTAGTACAAACGGGGGTTTCATCATGTTGACCCGGTTGGTCTCAACCTCCTGGCCTCAGGTGTTCTGCCCACCTCAGTCTCTCAGAGTGCTGGGATTACAGGTGTGAGCCACTGCCCACACCTACTTTCAAAATCATTCCGGAATTAAGTCCTCATTGAAAATTCTTCTTAAAACTACAGAGAGGCCACTGAGAGATCCCAGGGATGGACTCCAGGACCACTGAGAGATTTCCGAGGAGTAGCTGGTGAGCATTGAGCAGGTTGCTTATGAATACACCAGGGCAAGCACCCTTAGAGGAAACAGTCTACACCATTGTCAAGACAGGAAATGAAGCAAGTCAAGAGATCAATACCAAGAAAACTGATTTTAGGGAGAAGTGAGGCTTATCACTCCCATTCAACACAGATTTCTTGAATACCTATTGTGTTCCAAGTATGGGGTCAGGAAGGGGCAATCCCACTGTCTAGGATCTGAGAGCTTAGGAAGGAGATGTCATCAAATAATTTCAAAATTACATGGGAAATTATGAGCAGAGTAAGAAGATATGTTTGAACCAGGGTGATGCGTTTGAGAAGGTTTCTAAGAGATGCAACCTTATCCACATCTTGGGAAGTGAATATTATCCAAGTGAAGCCTGGGAATGCCTGGGGAGTGGCCAAAGGAAGGGCAAAGTCATGATCCAGCAGGTGTGTGTGTGTGCAGGGTGGTGGTAAGTGAACCATGAGCAGTCTGGTGATCAAAGCTTAGAATGTTAGGCAGGAAAGAGCAAGGTCAGATTCTTATGGCTGACCTGTGGTGCTGGTTGCCATGTGGAGAATGGAGCTGACAGCGGGGCTGCTGTAGAGAACATGTTGAGGGCGGGCAGATGGTCCCAGCAAGGTGAGGGATGGCAGGACCTGCATCAGTGCAGTGGCAGTGGGTGTGCATATGAATGGGACAGGAAGTAAAATCAGTGGGACTTCGTGGCTAATGGATGTGTAGGATGAGGGAGACAGAGAGTAGATTCTGAATAAGAAACCATCAGATGCTCAGAGAATGTTTTCTTCAGGACCTGGAGTTTGAAATGGGTGGAGCAGGCAGTTTAAAACAAAAGGTCACAAACCACATGAGGGCTTGGGATGCCAGGTTTTCATGGGGTGCCAGCTGTGTGGCTTGGGGCAGGCTCAGCCTCAGGTTGTGGAGCCGCATCAGGCATCAGCAGAAAGTGAGCCAGAAAGATCATGCCTGTCTCCTTCGCTTCAGTTTGGGGTTTTACTCATCCCATTGACAGTTGGGATTAGTACTTTCCTAATTCAATTGTTTTTGTAAATCCCCATTCATCTGATGATTGATTACAGGTGGCTATAAATTGAGAAATGACAGAGAATAGTTTGGCTTTTCCTTGCTTCTCCCCTCAGTAAACCAGAGGCCTGGAAAATCTTGGGGTTGCCTTGGGAAACATAATGCACTTTAAATTGGGAGCTGAAGGAAGGTGGAACATTTAAATTAACCTCCAGTGGAAACCTCAACCTGCTTGTTATGGTCATTCTTGGCACAAAAGGCATCTCATTTTGGCTAACATCCAGAAACACAAAAATGGTAAAATTGCAGGACAGAAAGTTGGCATGGACGGTGTGGCAATTTCCCTGGTCCCCACCAATTCCCCTGCTTTGGAATTCTGTCTAGACTTGGCTTCAAGGAACATTCCTTCAGCCTTCAGTAGGCAGAGGTGTCCAGCTCTTGCAGTGTGTACATGATTTAAAAAGAACTAAGAACAGGCTCTCAACAAACCACTGCCTTCTAAAGGTCAAATCTCACTGCTCCAACTGTGACCGGGAAATGGAAATATATTCCAGATCGCTCAGCCCACAGGTGCAGAAGCTGAGGCTGCAAATTTCACGTGCAGACTGGCGGGGTCCCTTCTCTGAGCCTCCAGATGCACAGGGAATGTTTCATGTACAGGAAGACAGAGGCTACACAGTGACAGCTGGGCTTCAGAGAAAAAAAGCATGGACATGTAGTTAACTCTACCACAAATCCCCAAAATTCAAGCCACCAACATAGGAGGGAGAAACAGAGCAGCCAGGGAGATTTGGTCCATGCATTCATTCCAAAAATGTTGAGCACTGATTATATGTCAGATATTTTTTTCCAAAGATATTTCTCCATCTGTGACAAAATTGCTCACACTGGAGAAACATGTTTCCTGCCAGTTAGACGTCACTTTGCAATTCAGGGGGCTAGAACACCAGCATGCCATTTGCCCCTCATGTATGATACCACCAGAAAAGTGATTTTATGACTTTGCTTTTATCCAACAAAGTTAGTCCCTTTTCATAAATGACCTGGAGAGAAATATACCCTGAGAAATGAATTTCACAAATGAAGCATTCTGCCTGAAGGAGATTGGAGACTGTTCAGCTTGAGGTGCAACTGCCAGCCCTTTCTGTGCCTGTAGGTGGATTGCCAGGGAGCTATTGCCATGAAGGGCTGTAAGGTTTTAAGTTCTCCACATATAGAAATGCTAGCCATTTTACGTGATGATTATAGTGATGATGATGATGATACGAAAATAGACTGAGAAAAAAATATTGAAGTAATTAAGAAGAATGAGAAAAAAAAAGCTGAAGAACCTAAAACTATTAAGTGAGGGAAGTATTCAAGGACTAAATTGGACACAATCCAGGGCATTATTCATTCTGAAATATTTCTTGAGCACCTATCATTTTCGGGCCATGCTAAGTGCAGAGGATATAATAGTAAACAAAGCAATCAATGTCATGGAACTTTCGTTATGGTGATGAAAGAGAGTAAACTATAATAATAATAATAATAATAATAATAACAGCTATTATAGGATACCAAGTGCTGAGAAGGGGAGGAGATAACGGGGATAAAATGTGTGTATGTGTCTAGGGAGTGGGTGCTAATTTGCTTAATGAGTGTTGGAGAAAGAGACACCAAGAAGATAACATTTAGACAGAATCCACTGGCTAAATGAAAGAGTCATTCTCTGGGCAAACGGTTGACTCTTTGACTTCCTTGTCATCTCTATTCCCAGGCCCTAGGGATTAACTGGTGTTCCCTTCCTTTTCAGCATCCTTCATTGCATTATCTGTCAGAATTGTATAGTATGTGAAGTTTAAGGGAACGTGATTTTTAGACTGCATGTTAGAACATTTGTGTCGCTATAAAGGAATACCTAAGACTGGGTAGTTTATAAAGACAAGAGGTTTAATTGGCTCACAGTTCCGCAGGCTGTACAGAAAGCATGGTGCCAGCATCTGCTTCTGGTGAGGGCCTCAAGGAGCTTACTATCATGGTGGAAGAAACCTGTATATTACATGTGAGAGCAACAGCAAAAGGGAGAGGGCAGGAAGTGCGTGCTCTTTTAAACAACCAGATCTGGCGTGAACTCAGAGGAAGCACTCACTTGTCACCAAAGGGATGGTGGTAAGCCATTCATAAGAGATCACTCCCATAATCACCTCCCAGTCACCTCCTACCAGGCCCCACCTCCAACCCTGGGAATCGCACTTCTCAACATGAGATTTGGAAGGAACAAATATCCAAATTTTAGCAGACCACATGGACTAACCCACAAGGAGAATTTGTCCTTCTGTACCTTCTCTGGCCAGGCCCTGCATTTCCTGGTTTGGATGCCAGGTTGGTTTCTGAGCTTTTCCTGTTTCTTTAAAATGTCAAGAAACTGATGCACAGCATGTGCTCCAATCTCTTTACACTTGGGGCATGGGACTTTTTTATTCAGGTCAAGGAGTTAGAAAACAGCAATATTAGGATGCTGACAGGCTTCCAAAATGGGGGGGTGACTCTTTGAGAGAAGTGGGATGTAAATATCTTCTTTGTTCTTTTCCATCCATACATTAGATTTTGTGGGTATTCTCAATCTAGTTTTAATGATATGGAAGAAACTGAACTCCATCCTTTTGCTCGGATGTGCTTTATTAGATTAGGGAGATCTCTTTGCCTTCAAACTGAATGGCCACTGCACACCTTCAAGGGGCCATGGGGTCATGCTCTGGTTGTCATGTCCTGATCTGCATTGCATCCTTGGGGACACAGGTGACCACACCATCTGAGACATCATAATGCACAGAGGGCATGATAGATTTCCTGAGTAGTTGTCACTTTTCTCTCTGCATTGCCCCTTCCTCAGATATACTTAAGGCCAACCTTATTGGGTTCTAGTGTCTCAGATATAATTTCACAGTCAGGCAATTGGGTAACTAAGCTGCCTTACAACTCTTGTCCCTACAATCCTTTACAGTTGAATAGTGTTTTATTTGCTTGTTTTTCAAAGTTCTTGCATATATTTTTTCACTTGTTCCTGATAATAGGATTACTAGAAAACTTGTGCTACTTGATAATCACCACTTTACAGGTTAAAAAGTTGAGTCTCAGGAAGGTTGGATAACTTGTCCAAGTAACTGAACAGGTCATTTTCCAGCTCTGAGCGGCATCCAGTTCTTCCAACTTCAAATCTATTGCTCTTCAATTACATCTCAAAGATGCACAACCCTGGGATTGGATTCTGGCCATGGGTAAAATGCTTGCCAATGGGAAACAAGTCACCTTCTTACCTACCTCCTATCAAGGAGTAATTTGCTCTCCCTAGACTCATGAAGGAAACTGCAGATGAAGCTGCTTCCTGTGCGGTGAGATGTGAACACCCAACAATGAAGGGAACCAGTGACACAGAAAGCCTTTCATTTTCCATCTTCCCTCTGAGAAGCTCTCCACCCAGGCTTTGGCCAGGATTCTACCAACACTTCCTGACTTTTGAGCTCAGGTCCATTTGTAAGCCTCTCGCATTCAGCTCTGCAGGGTAAGCAGACAGCATCAGGGCATCTCCTTTACCTCCCATAATTGAGCTCTCTTCCTCCATAGAGTGAGCAAACACAGTGCACAGAACACTGAACACATCTAGGATTGCCTTGGAAAAGCTTGCCATTTAGTGGGTAGTAGAAAGACTTCTCAGGAATAAAAATAAGGGTGATGAGGTCTGCCCTCATTTGTGATCTAGAGCATTTTAACCCAAGAGGTCCACAAACCAGAAGATCCATATGACCAGGAGGCAGGGGCTAGTTAGAAACAGAAACTCAGACCTCATGCAAGAACTCCTGAATCAGAATCTGCATTTTAGTAAGATCTCCAGGTGATTTATGCACATATCCAAGGTTGAGAAACCTATACCAGGGAACCAATTTCCCTTGAGCCTGCATACAAGGAGGTCTGTGCCCTAATTCCTCCTTCATTCTCTTACCTGTCCCCTCCCCACATAACTGTGTCTGTGTCCACAGTCCTCTCTCACAATGCTCAAGCCTCACAACACTCTTGCTCTTGAATATATGCCTTAAATTCTCACAACAGCTCATAGATATGTTTTCTTGTACCCACATTACAGGTACTGAAACTGAGGTCCAAAGAGAAAATAACTCACCTAGGGTAGAATTACTGCTAGGTGTGGCTGTGCCTGGAATTTGAAGCTAGGCTTGGCTCACTCCAAAGCCAAATCTCTTCCTATTATAACCAGAACTACTTCATACATACCTCCTATGGCCCATTTTTCCCAGAAAAACCCTTTTCAGAATATGGGGAAGCAGTTTTCACAGATCCTATAGACCCACAAGAGGGATACTTTTGTCAGAGGTATTTGAACCAGAGCAACTCCATCTTGAATAGGGACTCGGTAAAATAAGGCCGAGACCTACAATGGGCTGTGTTTTCAACAGGTTAAGGCATTCTTAGTCACAAAATGGGACAAGAAGTCAGCACAAAATACAGGTCGTAAAGACCTTGCTGATAAAACAGGTGTGGTAAAGAAGCCAAAACCCACCAAAATCAAGATGGCCATGAAAGTGACCTCTGGTTGTCCTGACTGCTCATTATATGCTAATTATAACACATTAACATGCTAAAAGACACTCCCGCCAGTGTCATGACAGTTTATAAATGCCATGGCAATATCTGGAAGTTAACCTATATGGTCTAAAAAGCGGAGGAACCCTCGGTTCTGGAAAATGCCCACCCCTTTTCCGGAAAACCCATGAATAAGCCATCCCTTGTTTAGCATATAATCAAGAAATAACCATAACATAGCCAACCAGTAGCCCTCGGGGCTGCTCTGCCTATGGAGTAGCCATTCTTTATTCCTTTACTTGCTTAATAAACTTGCTTTCACTTTACTCTGTGGACTGATCCTGAATTCTTTCTTGCAGCAAGAAAGAATTCCCTCTCTTGGGGTCTGGATTGGGACCTCTTTCTGGAAACACATTCTCTGGCAGTTCAGATGTTCCCCTCACCACTGTTCTTGCCACAAAATAGCTGAGAAAACTCAGCTTCCATCTTCTAACACCATGCAGAAGAGGGAAAGGCTCTTCTGATACGTGCTCGTCCTGGAGGTATTATCATTTATTGGCCCAAGTTGTTTCATGCCCATTCTTTCCCAATCACAGGGGCTGAAGGTGAAAATACTGAAACACTTAAACCAATATGGGGGCATTCCTGGAGCTGCAGGTGGGTCTTCTCACCAGACACATGGTCAAACGGGAGGAAGTAAATTCCCTCCGGCCTGCCTCACCCTAAACAAATCAAGATACAATAGATGAAGTGAGAACGTAGAGGCATACTTCACTTTATTGTGCTTCATTTTATTGCATTTCACAGATACTGCATTTTTTACAAATTGAAGGCTTGTGGCAACTCTGTATCCAACAAGTCTATCGGTGTCATTTTTCCAACAGCCTGCACTCACTTCGTGTCTCTGTGTCACATTTTGGTAATTCTCAAAATATTTCCAATTTTTCAAATTATTATTATATCTTTTATGGTGATCTGTGATCAGTGATCTTTGATGTTACTATTGCAATTGTTTTGAGGTGCAAGGAACAGTGAAGATGGCAAATCTGATTAATAAATGTTGGAATTGCTCTGACTCCTCCACCAACCAGCATTCTCCATCTTTCTCCATCTCCTCAGGCCTCCCTATTCCTTTGAGACACCACAATACTGAAATTAGGCTAATTAATAACCCTGCAATGGCATCTAAGTGTTCAAGTGAAAGGAAGAGTTGCACATCTCTTTCTTTAAATCAAACGCTGGAAATGATTAAGCTTAGCGAGGAAGACACGTCAAAAGCTGAAATAGGCCAAAAGCTAGGCCTCTTGTGCCAAGTAGTTAGTCAAGTTGTGAATGCAAAAGGAAAGGAATGAGAAAGCAAAATGACTTATTGCTGATATGGAGAAAGTATGAGTGGCCTGGACAGAAGATCAAGCCAGCCACAACATTCCCTTAATTTAAGCCTAATCCAAAGCAAGGCCCTAACTCTCTTCACTTCTGTGAAAGCTGAGAAATGAGGAAGCTGTAGAAGAAAAATTTGAAGCTAGCACAGGTTGGATAATGAAGTTTGAGAAAAGAAGCTCTCTCAACATAAAAGTGAAAGGTGAAGGAGCAAGGGCTGATGGAGTAGCCACAACAAGTTATCTAGAAGATCTAGCTAAGAAAATTGATGAAGGTAGCTACACTAAACAAATTTGCTATGTGGATTAAACATCCTTCTGTTGGAAGAAGATGCCATCTAGGACTTTTATAGCTAGGGAGAAGTTAATGCCTAGCTTTAAAGCTTCAAATGACAAGTTGACTCTTGTTACTAGCTAATGCAGCTGGTGACTTTAAGTTGAAGCCAATGCTCATTTACCATTCGGAAAATACTAGAGTCCTTAAAACTTATGCTAAAGATACTCTGCCTGTACTCTATAAATGCAACAACAAAGCCTGGATGACAGCACATTTGTTTACAGCATAGTTTACTGAATATTTTAAGACCGCTGTTGAAACTGATTACTCAGGAAAAAAGAAAAAGATTCCTTTTATTAGGTTATTGCAGTTCTGCAAATACTTTTGCACCAAACTAATAAAATGTTACTGCTCATAACAATGCACCTGCTCAACCAAGAGCTCTGATGGAGATGTGTGAGGAGATTAATGTCGTTTTTGTGCCTGCTAACACAATGTGCATTCTACAGGTCATGAATCAAGAAGCCATTTCAACTTCCAAGTCTTGTTATTTAAGAAGATGATTTTGTAAGACTGCAGCTGCCATAGGGCTTGGTTCCACTGATGGATTTGGGCAAAGTACATTAAAAACCTTCTGGAAAGTATTCACCATTCTTGATGCCATTAAGAACATTTGTAATTCATGGGATAAAGTCAAAATATCAACATTAACAGGAGTTAGGAAGAAGTTGATTCCAACCCTCATGAATGACTTTGAGGGGTTCAAGACTTCAGCAGAGAAAGTAACCACGGATGTGGTAGAAATAGCAAGATAACTAGAATTGGAAATATAGCCTGAAGAAGTGACTAAATTTCTGCAATCTCATAATAAAACTTGAGCGAATGAGGAGTTGCTTCTTTGTTTTTTGTTTTGTTTTGTTTTTAAGACAGTCTTACTCTGTCACCCAGGCTGGAGTGCAGTGGCATAATCCTGGCTCATTGCAACCTCTGCCTCCCAGGTTCCAGCGATTCTTCTGCCTCAGCCTCCGGAGTAGCTGGGATTACAGGCCCACACCACCAGGGCCAGCTGATTTTTTTTTTTTTTTTAGTAGAGATGGGGGTTTCACCATATTGGCCAGGCTGGTCTCGAACTCCTGACCTCAGGTGATCAGCTCACATTGGCCTCCCAAAGTTCTGGGATTACAGGTGTGAGCCACCATGCCAGCCAAGGAGTTGTTTCTTATGGATGAGCAAAGAAAATGGTTTCTTGAGATGGAATCTACTGCTGGTCAAGATGCTGTGAACATTGTTGAAATGACAAAGACAAATTTAGAAAATTACATAAATTGAAATGACAAAAATGATTTAGAATAGTACATAAACTAAGTTGATAAAGCAGTGGTAGAATTTGGGAGGACTGACTCCAATTTTGAAAGCAGTCCTACTGTGAGTAAAATGCTATGAAACAGTATCACATGTTACAGAGAAATCTTTTGTGACAGGAAAAGTCAATAGATGCAGCAAAATTCATTGTCATCATATTTAGATCCTGCAAACAGGTTACAATGTGCTGAAGCCTCAAATGATCTTGAGTATTTTTTTTAGCAACAAAGTATGTTCAATTAGGGTCTGTACATTGTTTTTTATACATAATGCTATTGTACAATTAATATACTACAGTATAGTGTAAATATCATTTTTATTTGCACTGAAAAAAAAAATGCATGTGACTTGCTTTATTGTGATATTTGCTGTATTGTTGTGTCTGGAATCAAACCTGCCTATATACTGAGGAGAAAACAAACAAACAAAAAAAAACTACAAAAATTAAGAATGTGCTAGAAATATATTTATTTATTGGCAAAGCCATATATTAACTGGAAAAAATCAAGTCACAAAACAGGAATTTCAGCATTTTCTTATGTCTTTTTTTCCCAAGAATCTGTCTATCTATAATATCAAGTACATAAGGGTGCTAAAATAATAAGTTTATGGGAGTTCTTTAGTTTATCTTTAACGCTTTTCTCAATCTTTTGATTCTTTTCTCTACGATAATAAAAAATTACATGTAGAGCACATATTTAAAGCATATTTTTTTAAACACACACTTTTTTTCTATAGCAGTATTATTATCCCCAGTATCAGTATCCACATTTTAGGACCTATACAGCTGTAGAGCACTCTATAAAGTCAGTTTTTTTGAACACCTCCTTGTGGCATGATCTCAGTAGTTTATGCCAATCTATAAAAGATTCCTTCAAAGAGAAGTACACCTACCTTAAAAAAAAATGGACCCCAGAACCTGGTAGCATTAGAAGGAGAATCTGCTCCTGGAGAGGAGGGATAAGTCAAGGAGCCCAACTTCCTTTCCCTGGAGCTGCCTGTACCCTAAGGTCTTATCTCCACCCACCAATTCCTGTGGGTCTTCTTGGCCTTTAACACTTCTAAACACATTTAAATTAAACATCTTCATCTAGTTGCCTCTTTGCTTAGCTGAAAACATGTAGCAAAATTTTAATATTAAATTAAAATTAAAATTAAAGACTTTACCAATTACTGAAGAATTACAAAAGACGAATAAACCCTAACTACTTGACTCTGGAGAGCCTATTACATATGCCATGCTCTTTGGGGGAGAATTGATGGGATCTCATACATGTGAAACCTTCTAGAAATGAGAAGGCTTCATTCCACTCCCTGGATCCACTTCTCCATTCTCCAAGCCTCCCTTTCCCTTTGAGGGAGAGAGACACACACAGAGAGAAAGAGAACAAGTTTCACAGTGTATCGATCAACCACTACGTTTTAAGAATGATTTCACATAGACCCAGATCATCAACAAGGTATTTATTTTCATTGGCCTCTCTGTGCAGATGGATAATAAATAGAATGACAAATAATGGTTCCTGCTCTAAGAAGCTTACAGTTTCTGGTGGGAATATCAACAAATGCCTGGAATTCTGTTGAAACATCAAGAAAGGAATATGCAAATACTCTCTGTTTACTCCATTTATCATTTGGCTCATGGTTGGATGGTTTCTGCCTCCTTCATCATTGCTTCCTCAAATTATAACTAACCTTAAAACCCAGATGTTTTTCACAAAGCTGTCTCTGATCCCTTCCTCCAAAGTCATAGAATTCCTTTTCTTCTGAACCTCCAGCATATATAGTATTTTTCATGGGAGACATTTTATAATTTAACACAATGATTCTCCACCAGAAGAAAGGGTGGGAGTATATGTAACACAAACCTTATTAAGTTCTAAAAAATTACATAAATTACCAAGAGTCACACAGATAGTGGAAGGTACCACATTGTAATCCATATCTTCATTCCAAAAACCCTGCTTTAAACTACTGGTGTCTCCTGATCATTCTCAAACCACTTTCTACATCCTCCTCTCCTCCACCCCACCAGCCTGGATTGCAGTCCCCTCGTCATGTCCACATACCTTTGTCCATCTCTGATGAGTCCCTGGGACTGATGGCAGGGAGTGGCATCGCCCTCAGACCCTGAGGCAAAACAATATTGAGGACCACGTTTTTACCCTGTTGTGGTCCTTGTCCGTCCTACTGGGTTATGTACTCCTCTAGGGAAGAAACTGTAGCTTCTTCATCCAGCTCTACCTCCCCCAGACACCATCATTATGGGAACTAGAGCAATGTCTTGCCTTATCATTTTTGTATGAGTTTTTCAATAGATTTTTTTGAATAAAGGAAAAACATAGAATATACAGATTATGTAAGTGCAAATAAGGTGTAAGTGATAACATTTGTGGATAAACAGGATGATGTGGAGAGACTTTCTGGAGGAGGTGAGGTTTTTTTATTTCTTTTGGCTGGAGGATCCTGACTTAGCAGAGATGAAGGTGAAAGGTAGTTCAGTTAGGGAGAATTGCATAATGGCCTGATTTAAAACATTCCTCGTTGTTGATGAGAAATGACAGTGCTGATAGATTTCCTATGACCATAGAACAGATGAGCAAGACAGTTTAATTCTGGGAATTTCTGCTTTCCATCTCAGCGATTACTCCTTGGGCCATTATCTCTTCAGTGGATGAAGGTACTTGCTAAAAATAGGCTACTAATGTTTTCCTTAGAATTACAGCACACGTCAGAAGAGAGTAATGACCCAATCCCGCACTGTTTTCTTTTCATTTCAGTTGGCCTCAAACAAATAAACCCGATAAATATTATCGGAGTCACATATGCTCATTAAGGGTTATAGTCAGTGGCTCTGTTTGTTTTACTGTGTAATAGATGATGAAACCATGGTGATGAGTGGAGTAAGCTGGGATGGTTTTCGTATTTCCCCATCTCAACACTGAAGACTTGCTCATTGTTATTTCACTGGCTTGTACAAGAAATAGAACAGCTCACTAAAACTCTTATTCATTTTGACATGTCTTAAAGAAGTCCACATTCACATATTCTGATTTAGCTCAATGACACATGATACATGTTTGAAAGGGGTTCTTAAATAAATCATTGAACATTAAATAAGCATTTTCACTGGCAAGAGGAACAGTGTGAAAACTTTCAAATAAGAAATAGTATTCTTAATAACTTATTAACTCACCATAACTGAGGATTCTGTTGGTAATCATTTTATGGGCTAGAGGACAAAATTCGGCTCATGTTGTGTAAAATTTATGCCTCAAAAAGTCAAAGTATATAGTACTGGCCTACTGTGTTTTTAAAAACATTTCAGCCTAGTAAAAGAAAATAAACACTGTAATTATTCCTAATGAAATTTCCACACATTTTCATATCTAAGCCTCATGGCTTTCATTTTTTGTTTAAAGAGACTGAAAAACCATGGGTCTTCCCACTCTTGTATGAATTTTTACCAAAACCCTAATTTTACTATCCAGAAGGGCTGCTTTTCCCTATTTGCCCTAATCCTTCTGTCCACAGAGTGATCTTTCTAAGATACAGATCTGATTGTATCACTTTCTAGTGAAAACCTTCAACAGTTCCCTGTTAACATAATCCAAATACTTTTGGATGATATACAGCACTATTCATACTATGGTGGTCTATTTTTGGCCCTTTTAAAATTCCCTTTCTGTGTAATTCACAATTGTCCTGAACTTCATATGTCCCAAAACTTGCAGGCTTTTACCCTTCAGCCTTCAAACACACTTCTCCTTATCTTCCAGGTAAAACTGCTGTCATCAACACTGCACTCAAATTTAACTTCTTCTGAGATTTTTTTCCCCCACATTTACTCCCCAACACCTAGTGGTTCCCTTCTTCCTGATCATTTAGTGCATTTTCCAGGCACTCAAGTCGTGTCATTTCCATCACCAGCATTTTCATTATTTGTTTTGATGTCTATCTCCTGCACTGCGCTGAGGACTTGTCTTTTTTGTAATGAAAGCTCAACGCTGATACAATCCCAAGCCCCAACCAGGTGCTCCATAAATGTCCATTTACAATGCCATTGAATAAATGAATCACAAACTGCTCCTCACTAGAAAGGAACAAGCCCAGAACTCATGCTTTTTAAAGCCCTGATACAATTTGCAATTTCAACTTGCAATTGTATCAAGTTCCAGACTGAAGCCAGGGTTAGGGTTCTGCAAAAGCATCCAAGTAGGTTTTAGCTTCTAGTTAAAACATACACCCAAGAGAACATCAAGGGTTATTACTTGAATAGACAGCCTGTCCACGTAAAAATGGTGAACACATACACTTTGTTCTTTGAAAATGTTCCCTTGAGTCTCTGCTGAGATGTATTCATTTAGAAGAACAAAGGTTGATTAGCATATCACCAAACAGACAGCAGAAATTTTATGTTTGGCAGCCACTTCTGGAGGGATACAGGCCTGCATTTCGTTTCCTAACAGATTTCAGGGACCTAACTTAGTGGGAGAAGTACAATCTTACAGGAGAGGAAGGCTGCACGATACCAAAAAACAAACAAACAAACAAAAAACAGCATCACACTTGATAGTGATAATGTTTCCACCGACATTGTCCAAATCTGTTCTGTAATTACACACTCAATGCCATTGTAAAATGGTAGCCGTCGGAATATAGTTATAGCAACCTAGAACATCACAGATGGAAGGAGTCTTAAAGGAACTGTTGTTAATATCTTTCATTACTCAGATGTGGATGTAATAGCTAAGAAACAAGTCCTATCTGCCCGACTTATTAGAATATAGGAAAAAATTGAGGGGAAGATACTCCATAAACTGGCAGCATAATAGGGTAGACAAGCTATCAGTTCCAGGGGGCAGATCAGTCTGGCTTCATCACCTGTATGGCTATAGGAAAGTCACTTAACCTCTTTGAGGCTCATTTTTTTTTGCCTATAAAAAATATCCACTGTTATCTTTTTTAGAGGGTTGCAGTTAGGATTAAAAGTTCTAAGTTAGGAACACCTAGCACAATGCCTGGAAAAGTATGAGTCTTCAATAATTGATAGATATTATTATTATTGCAGTGGAAATACAGGGAATGTGAATCATGTTTGGAGTGGACTTTTGTCATCTGGGGCTATAAAACAACCAAATCTTCGTATTTGGGAGGAACCCTGATGTAAAGGAAGAAGGCCCACCTTTCATTACAGAGGCTGAAAGGGGAGAGTTCTGTCAGTGAGAGAGTGGTTACCTGGTGGAACCTATTCAATCTGAGCTTCCACTGGGGCTCTGAACCTGGAAGTAACGTGGCCCTACCCCTCGCCTACCTGCATTCTGCCAGAGGATCCAGCTACAGAGGCCCCCTTGGTTCCTACAGGCGATTCAACCCTGATGTTTCTGGGAGCTCTCCATCTATCCCCCAACCAATTCTTTTTTTGTTTAGGATAGACAAAATTGATTTCTGTGACTTCTGACTAGCAAGACACTCACTATAAATATAATTCAAATAGAGGCAAACCGATCATTTCCAATCTAATCCTTGTTTCTCCATTGCTAACATGCTTTGTGCTACATCGCTTTCTCAATTAAAACCATGGCTTAATTTTCTATGTTCATAGACAGAGCATAGATCTTTAAAAATGGGAAACTGTGGATAAACCGCACTGTTTACTTTAATTCACAAAAATGAAGCAATTATATACACAAACCTAGACTGAGAGGCTGCTCTGTCTCCTCTGAGTTTAAAGGGCCTGGGCTAAATGGCAGCAAAGGAGTGGGAGAACAGAAGCCTAGAATGTCCAGTCTCACTAAGTGAGCACCAGTTACAAAAGGAACAATCATCCAGTGCCGGCAGGACTTTGTGCTAAGCAGCCAGTGATTTTCCAATGTTTTTAAGTTGGAGGAAAATATATGACAGATGTGTTGGCTCTGGGAACAATAAAAACAGCTTCTTAAATCACCAAGAAGGGGAGAGAAAGAAAGTAATACAATACAGGATAAATCAGGAGGGAGCTGGCAGGACTGTCTGTTACGGTTGAGGGTAGCAAGGGAATGATGTGTTCAGTAGCAGTAAACAAGCATGGGGTGAGAAGGCCTCAGACCACAAGACCAACCATCGTAGAAAACTGCCCTGAACCCCATCCTGAAGGAACATGATCTACAACTTGAGGAACACAAGACGGATAAAACACTAACAAAAACTCAAATGGGGCAATAACGTTAAAACACAGTCGACTTGTGCATTACTAAAGCAAAGGGATGAAAATAATGAATCAGCAAGCTGTCCCAATTTCCACTAAGACAGTAGTTCTTGACATATAATGTACCTAAGAATGTCCTAGGGTTCTTGCTAAAAGTGCAGAGCTCTGGGCTTCTTGGTCATCAGGTGCTACTAGGCCAGACATGGCAGCTCATGCCTGTAATCCCAGAACGTTGGGAGGCTGAGGTGGGCAGGTTGCTTGAGCCTTGGAGTTTGAGACCAGCCTGGGCAACATGGAAAAATATTGTCTCTACTAAAAATACAAAAAATTAGCTGGGCATAGTGGCACATGCCTGTAGTCCCAGCTACTCAGGAGGCTGAGATGAGAGGATCAATGTCTGGGAGGTCAAGGCTGCAGTGAGCCGAGATCATGCCACTGCACTCTAGCCTGGGTGACACAGATTCTATCTAAAAAATAAAAAAAAAATCAAAAAGAGATACTGCTATAGTAAGTTTTATCTAGAACCTATAGAACCTAAAAATCTATATTTTTAACAAGTTAGAAGGTGGTTCTAATGCAGTTAGTATTACTCACTTCTTGGACTTCCTAGCCTCCAGAACTGTGAGAAAATAAACTGCTATTGTTTATGTCACCTAGTCCAGGGTATTTCATTATGACAGCCTGAGCAGATGAACCCACTCACCTAGTACTTTACACAAAGTAGTGAGTAATGCTAACCCTAACCCTAACCCTAAAAGTCCAGTAAGGGTTTTTAGTTTCAACAGATACAATGCCAGGTCACATTGTCCTAGGATAATATGTTCAAGACTAAGACACCTGGCATTACAGCATTATGAATGATCAGTGGTGAACTGAACTCATTTATGAACATTCTAATGTTCACTGTGGACTTGTTTTTTGGTGATGTGTACAACCTACTGGCAATAATAATGGCTATTATGTATTGAGTTCTCACTGTGAGCCAGGCCCTGCTAAGTGCTTTATATACGTTGAAAAGGTGACTCTTCAAAGCAATTCTGTGAGGTTGATTTTATTATTATCCCTGCTTTATAGATGAAGGAACTAATAAAGAAGATGAGAATCTTGGATATGACATGATGGTTTAATGGCTAATTTTATGTGTCAACTTGACGGGGCCACAAGATGCCCAGACATTTGGTCAAACACAAGTGTGGTGCTTCTGTAACAAATACCTAAACATGTGGAGTAATTTTGGAGCTGGGTAATGAATACAGTCTGAAAGAGTTTTGAGATGTATGCTAGAAATATGGACATTAACACAGATTCTGGTGAAGTCTTAGATGGAAATGAAGAACATGTTATTGGAAGCTGGAGGAAAGGCAATATTTGTCATAAAATGGCAAAGAACCTTGTTGGCTTGTGTTCATGTTCTAATGTTTTGTAGAAGGTGGAACTTGTGAGCCATGAAATTGGATATTTAGCTGAGGAGATTTCCAATCCAAGTATTGAAGGAGTGTCTTGGTTCCTCATGACTGTTTATAGTAAAATGTGAAGAAAGAGATAAATTGAAGAAGGAATTTGTTAAGCAAGAAAGAACCAGAATTTAAAGATTTGAAAATTTCTCAGCCCCTCCATATTGCAAAAAGAAATGTTCTGAAAAGAACACTAAGAGTATGGATGATCAACCATTTAATAAGAGATCATGCATTCAGTTTCTCCATTTAATCAGCCATCTTAACAGAAGCCAGGAATAGAGATGAGATTATACCAGCAAAGACACTGCCAGTGTGAACTAAAGGGGACAGAAAAGACACAACAAAATGCACCAAGTCTGTCAGACTTCTTGGGTTTTACCTGATGGAATCATGAAACTATCTGGTTGCAAACATGTGCTATCTTTCAAGAAAAGGAAAAAAGGACCCCAGAGCCACAATTCAGACTTCATCAGGGCTGCCAATCCTATCACTGGTCCAGAGTGCACAGGCCAGGGGTGCAAGGCTGCCTCCACGTAAGTTTCAGATGGCTGGACCACAACTCTGCAGAAGCATGTGTGGGCAGAGCTACCACAGAGAGCCAAAGAAATGAGATGCTGCCATCCCACTGGGCCTGGAAGGTGGAGGAGCAAACCAAAGAGGATTATTCTTGAGCCTTAAGGTCTAATGGGGCCAGGCTCGGTGACTCACACCTGTAATCCCAGCACTTCAAGAGGCCAAGGCAGGTGGATCACTTGAGCTCAAGAGTTTGAGACCAGCCTGAGCAACATGGCAAGATTCTGTCTCTACCAAAGATACAAAAACTTAGCCTGGCTTGGTGGTGTGTGCCTGTGGTCCCAGCTACTTGGGAGGCTGAGGCGAGAAGATCACCTGAGCTCAGGAGGCAGAAGTTGTAGTGAGCTGAGATCGCACCACTGCACTCCAGGCTGGGTGACAGTGAGACTCCATCTAAAAAAAAAATTTAATGGTATTTGCCTTCCTAGGTTTTACACTTGCTTAGGACTACTCACCTCTTTTTTCCTTCTAATATTTCTCTTTTACAGTACGAATGTCTATCCTATGCCTGTCCCACCATTGTATTTTGGAAACATACAACTTGTTTGGTTTCATAGTTTCACAAGTGGAGAGAAGTTTTTCCTCGGGATGAACTGTATATTGAGTCTCATCCATATCTGATTTACATAATACTGAGGTGAGACTTTGGACTTTAGAGATAATATTGCAAATCAGTTAAGACTTTTGCGGCTATTGGGGAGGAATTAATACATTTTGTATGCAATAAGGGCATGAATTTGGGGGGGCAAAAGGGATGCAATACTATAGACTGAATATTTGTGTCCCCCCCAATATTTATGTACCAAAGTCTTAACTTGTAATTTGAAGGTATTAGGAGACAGGGTCTTTGAGAGTTAATTAGGGGTGGATGAGATAATAAGTGTGGAGCTCTCATGATGGGATTAGTGAGGATGAAACACCAGAGAGCTTCTTCTCTGTCTCTGTCTCTCTCTCTCTCTCTTGCTCTCTCTTGCTGTCTCTCTCTTGCATGTAAGGACACAGCAATTTGGCAAGCCATCTGCAAGCCAGAAGAGAGCCTTCACTGGGGAACAAAATTGGTCAGTACCTTGATCTTGGACTTTCTAGCCTCCAGAACTGTGAGAAAATAAACTGTTGTTGTTTATGTCACCTAGTCCAGGGTATTTCATTATGACAGCCTGAGCAGATGAACCCACTCACCTAGGAAGTGGTAGGATTGAGATTTGAATTTGGAAGCCTTACCTGAGGATTTTTCACTTAACCAACTACGCTACACTTTTAACAGTCCCTTTTCCCCGCAAAGACTTCCAAAAAGAAAGCTAGGTATCCTCTTTTAGGGTATATTTTTGTCTCCAAAATTTCCCTTATACCAATGGATAAGAAAAAAAGTGACTTGATTTCAGGTTCCAGGTGCTTGGATTTATTCTTCTTCTTAAAATGTCTCTGAGTAGTGGGACAGAAATTTCCCCACCCTTCTCCTCATGAAGCTGTGTAGACAGGCCACAAAAGAAAAGAGCAACTGACTTTCCCATTTCTACATGACTTGACCATGTCACCAACACCTGTGTCAAAAGGAAGTTTCACCAGATGCAGTCAGGCCTCCGCAGGGGCTGCTGAGCCGCAGTGTCTCCAGGAAGACCCGCTGATGAGTCACACTCCAATCCACTCATCAGACCACCGTGCTGCTGGCCTTCTGTTGTCTGGTAAGAGCCAGAGCACTTGGAGAAAAATGCAAATGCGTCTTTAGTACCTACATAAAGGTAAAACATTTTGCAACAGCATTTCTGGTCTTTAGATTAACACGTACACTATGTCAGCTTCACAGGTAGTTTGGGCCCACATTTGAGTCTTGGGAAAGAGTAGAGTAACAGGAACCCTGCTTCTTTCATGTGAGTAGGAAAGTGTCCCAAGGATGTTTGCTTGTGGATGTCTTGAAGCTTGGAAAGTGGGAAATGCTAAGGGGGAAACTAAGTCAAGGAAGTTCTCCTCACAGATATGGGGCTCAGTATTTTGTGGAGGCACAAGCATAGGGCATAATGGAAAAGGCATGGGGGGCCAGGGACTGTGAATATGGGGGTACATCAACCTTGCACCAACTCCCAATCAGGAAGGTACATTATGAGGCTGAGCAAGGCATATAAAGGAAATTACAGCAACTAGAGCTGTCAGCCAAAGTGATCTTTGTAAATCTAAACCCAATCATGTCATTATCCTGCTTAAAGCCTTTCAAATGACTTCCATTGCATGAAGAATGCAGTTGGAAAGCCTTAGTGAGTCCTGCATAACCTGTGTCATACACATTTCAAAGACCTTACTCGTGCCTCCCTTCTCGGGCTTCATCGCCTCCACTCCAGTGCCCCTTTGGTTCCTGGAACATGTCAGTCTTTTTCTGCCTCATGGCCTTGACACATGCTGCTTTTGTTTTTCAGATGGACCACTCATGCTCTTGGCTTTGGCTTATCCTTATCCTTTTGGTCTCGCCACAATTGCCCCATTCGAAATCCATCCCTTGCTTTTCTATTATTTTCTTTCTCAGCAGTCTGGTCATAACTTCCTCAGCCCTCATACATTATGAAATTACTATGCCCACTCACACGTTTTTGACTGTCCCACATTTCGACTTTGAGGCCCATGAGCACGGGGACCACATCTGTCTTGGTGTGCCCTCAATATCCCCAGCATCTTACACATGCCTGGCACTTGGTAGGTGTTCAGTCAGTGTTTGAATAAATCAGTGAAAGTCCCATTGGCAAGAGTTAAGCTGTCCTTGCCAGGACATTGTGGTCGCCTGACACAGCAGTCAAAGAAGCCTGGAGAGCAACCCCTGCCTGACTTGCCATCAGAGCTGACTTCCCTTTGACACTTTGGCCAGAGGCAAAGACAAATGACAGAGGTGTTGCCATTCTCCAGCCCACAGCATGTGTCTGTGTGCTGAGCAGAGGGGTGCAAGTGAGGGCTGAGGACCAGCCTGTATTCCAAGGGCTGGCCAGGTGCCAGCCACCTCAGTCCACAGGGGGATGCTTTTCTGGTTAGACTGCCAAGAGCTGAGAGCTTTTGGAAATTCACACAAAGACACTGCAGGGGCTATCCAAGACCCTATCAATAACTCAAGGGGGTTACAGACAAGAGAGCCAATGGCGAACAGGAAAAAATTGAATCGCAGCCCCAAGATGGCCGAGGTTTAAGGGTCAAGTGGCAGGTTCATCAGGCTACAGAGGCAGGCTTTGGATCACAGAAATACATCAGCCAGACCCAAGACTAGAATCTCCTGGCAGGAGCAATAGCAGGAAGTGGTGGCATTCAGATAAGATCTGCCCAGGTAGGGATTTACTAGTCACTTTAATGCAGTTTGGCTCTAATTAATTTAGAGGAAAAAGCAAACACCAGGGGAACCAGAGAAACAAGACAAAGGAAAATAACCTTATCTGATTTCTATATCCTCTGACTACCTCTGAAAGGTGTTTATCAACAATAACTTCCTTGTGAGAGGGAGTGGTTTCCATTTCTGGTCGGAGCAGCCACCTTGTAAGCTTGTTCATACCCCTTCCCCTAGAAGCCCCATGCAACTTGTCACCAAAGAATACCTTGAGAAATACTGAAGCCCTAACTCCTTCATATTCTTTTTCCTATAGCATACAAATAGGTCTGGGTAAAATGAGATAGCACATACAAGTTGCTTTGCAAATTCGCAAAGACTCATGACAGACTTTAAATAATCTACCCCCAAGGGAAAACTAAGAGAATGAAGAAATGGAAAATGACATTGCCATTCATTTTAGTAGTAGGAGCTCTGTCCTGTCCCTTCAACCTTGTCGCCAGCATGCTCTGGAAGTCAGATCAACAGCTTCCTTTTACAGATGGTCTATTGCATTTGCTATTATTATTGACATTGCAACCTGTTCCCTTTTCTCTCCCTCCCAGCAGCCGCCAGAGGATCGGCCAAATGGCCCTGAATGAGGAAACCCATTCACGGCCATTTGTCTGCGGTTGTGTGTGTGTTCAGGTCTCCATCTCACACTCACTCCATCCTGACAAGTACAGAAGGTGAAAACATTGCTAGTCAGCCTATTTTCTGAAAGGGATCAGCCTGTTGCTGAAAGATTTATCATCAGGGAACTGCAGGGTAGGGGAAGGCCTTTACTTGAACCAGAATTGGTCATTCAGAGTTCTTTCTGTAACTTGATCATTTATTTCTATTTTATGTACCTTCTACCAAGGAAAGAGGGTGCATGTGGGACCATTACCTCATTGAAAGTAGTGTGGTCAAGTAACTATCTCATTGAACAGCCTGTTAGAGAGGTAGTGTGCAGCTCATTTGACTGTTGCTTTAAACCTTTGGGGTCTGTGTGACCTCTGGTGAGAAAAGGGGATTTCAGGTTTTGCCTTCTCCAGTCACATGCACTGCAAATGGGATCATGAGACACAGCTCCTGATTCCAGAAGACATATTCCATCCTCCACTCTCAACCACTCATTGGAAGAGAACATGCTGAGTGAGAGGTGACAAAAAGCCTGGAAAAATTGAAGGAGGGGTTGTAGGAAAAATAATTCTTCTTGTAAATATTGGTGGCCCATGTGCATGAGATCACATTCAGAGATGTGAAACCTATCAATGGCTAGGAAAGGTAGTCATAGTTTGGCACTGTTATAAGATACAAATCATAGCAACATCTTCTATTTATCTAAGGCTTCAGTCATGTCAGAATATACTTATTTCAATTTCTCACTTAATCCATGGATATTTTTATTCTTACTGCACAGATGAGGCAATGGATATTTAATGAATAGTTTGCCCAAAGTCATAGCTAAGAACTGGGATACCTCCCATGTATTTGGATGCTCAGACAAGAGCTCTGTTCTCCAAGGTCTCTAAAACCACATTTAGAAGCAATTGAGGGCAGCAGGAGGTGATATTGGAAAAATCTGCCTGCAACGCACTCACCTCCTCCAAGAGTAAATAGACCCACCTCATGGCTCCCTTGTTCACAACGACTCCTCTTCTGTGAAAATTGCTATTAGTAAACCGAATGCCCCTACAACCAATGTTTGAACCATCCAACCCTGACCCTCAGCTTGCAGGACGCTAGCCATAACTGATCCACAAAGGGTGGGAGGGATATCTGATCCTGGTTTGGCCATTTAGATTGGAACTAGATGACACAGACGTGGTCATGGAGCTTAGTTAAGGCAGGGCTATGAAAGAATTGGCCATAACACTTTTTGCTGAACTCTCAGAAGCTACTCTTACTTCCAAGTCTTGTTTGGCATTCTCAAAAACGTCCTCTTCTTACTTAAGAAAGTGTAGAAGATACTTGCATATGAGTGTTCATTCAACACACATTCTAAACCCAGTTCTTCCTTGCCTTCCTCTCTCCCTTGCATCTAAGGATGGCAATGCACTGTAACTCTGGCCAAGAAAATATAGGTAGAACCCTGTGGGCTGCAAGATGGGTTTCAAAATAAAAAGGCAAAGGCATACTCTTCCCATTTCTCACTGACTAGGAAGCAGATGTTATGCCTGGAAAAGAAGCCACCATCTGGAAAACATTTTTAAAGGCCACAGAACTGAAGAATCATTGAATCAAAGGATCAGAGGGACAGCCTACCTCTAGTATTTGTATCATATACAGAAAAGAAAATACAACTATTGGTTTAAGCTCCTGTGAGTTGGGTATTCTGATATTTGCAAACAGAGAGATGGCTTCTTATACTTAGAATGAATAGAATCTTGCATACCTCTTGAACATCATGAAACGGACTTAAATGATTTGAACATTTCAGCTGTGATATGGGACCCAAGGAAGTCATCCACATATAGAGATCTGAAGGAACACTCTGTACATGTGAGGAGGATGATCCTTGAGATTTCCGCTTCCAAACCCTTCCTCCTTTATAGTGTAGAACACGATGAAGAAATCTTGGTTAGGCTTCTTTAGGTTTCTTGAAGGGAAATGTATACAAAACCATGGGTAATGAAGGTTTTTGGAAAGACAGAAGATATGTGGAATATTTATAAAATTGATCAGACACTAGAGTCACCTCAGATTCTATTTGTTACTGATTCATTCTTTCATTAACATTTGTTCACTCACTTAGCCTATAACAAGAGTTTATTGACCACCTACTGCGCCAGGTGCATGAATATTCTGGTAATTAAGATTTATTTTACTCTCAGAGAGCTTTAATACAGATCTTGAAGCAGATTTTCGCAAGTACTTCCTATAAAGTTGGATGAATATCTGGATAGTTGGGATATGTCTACATTTTACAGAGAAATGAAAAAAATGTTCATTATAGATAAGAATGAAAACTTGGTACACATAATGTACTTTCCTTAATTCACTTAGCATTTGTGCTTTCCCAAGAAGAGATTTCAGAGAATTCATTTGGTACCAATCAGTGAGGGTGAAATGCTACTCTTGGGCACATGTAACATGTCATCTCAAAGGTGATTGGACTTCCACCTGCCCAGTCCTAGGTGGCTGTTTCTGGAGTGTTCATGTGTCTGTATTGGTCATCTCAGGCTGCCATAACAAAATATAATAGACTGTGTGGCTTAAACAACAGAAATGTATTTTATCACAGTTCTTGATGCTGGAAGTCCTAGATCAAGATTTGGCAGGGATGGTTTCTGCCGAGGGCTCTTGTCTTAACTTGTGGATGGTCACCTTCTTTTTGTGTCTTCATATGATGGAGACAGCAAGCTCTGGCATCTTTTTCTCTTTCTATAAGGGCATCAGCCCTATCAGATTACACCCCCACACTTTTGACCTTATTTAACCTTTATCACCTCCTCATAGGTTCAATTTCCAAGTATAGTCACATTGGAGGGTTATGACTTCAACATTTGAATTTGGGGGAACATAAACATTCAGTCTAAAATAATGGCTGATTCTTCCTGCTTTGGTAGCAGGGCAGATGTCACTCAAAGGGCACCCTATGTGAACAACACCACAAGATCAGAAAGAAAAATAGAGTCACTTTTCTTTGAAGGTGGCTCTTTAGGCACTATGGACTTTTCCTTCCATCATCCCTGGTGTGGGGACAAAAATAAACCATCTTGAGAATGCAGTAGCCAGAATTCTTTCTCTGAAAATACTGGACTCATTGACTTCAAGCAAATACCATAGGTAATCCATTAGCAGCTAACTATGAACAATCACTATTAGCCAATACATAATTGATTTCAATTTATCTGCCTCAAATGCCAGGAAAAGCATGGGTAAGATCATGGACAGCCACTACTGGGGGATGAAAGAGAGAGGAGCTCTAGAAGGAAAACAAAATACTGTCTTGGGTTATATGCTTTGGTGTCACATATATAAATAAAATACAAGGGCTATTAGAAATGATTTTGTGATTGAAGTAAAGGTCAGATATTTGTAGTTTCATTTAACTGAAGAATAAATAAAAAGGAAATGAATATGCCAAAATTATAGGAAAGTTCTATGATGAAAACAGAGTTTCCCATGCCCAAACCCACTGGCTCTAGCCACTGCCAGGACGCATGCACCAGCGTCCTATCCCGTGGGAGGCTTTAGTCCAAGGACAAACCTTTCCTACTTAATTAGCTCTCTGATAGTTCAGACGTGCTTTTAACAGTATTAGCTACTGCTTAGGGTCCCTTCCCCTAGATTTTCCTATATATTAAAGACAATACACCTGGAAAAGAGAGACACTGAAACTTTCAACATCAAAATTCAGACTGGCATAAGCCAAAAGTCCCCAGGGAAGGGTAGTAAAAAAGTAAGAATTGCATATTTCCACATCTGTTTTCAATGAGACTTATGTCAAATAATTTTGTTATTTGACAAAAGCAATTCAAAGAATTGCTTTGTTTTTTCAGAATGCCTTGAAAATGTCATTAAAATTCACCTATCAGCACACACAGAACATACCACCTGTCCAGAGTGTTAGATCAAATGAGAAAACAGGGGCTTAGGCCTCATGGGTAGGAAGAGACTTGACCTGCTGCAGAGGAGGAGAGGCAATGTTGTTTCTAAGCATTCCTGTTTCCACCAACCTGGGGGCAAGCAATCTATTTTCAGCTTGACACCAATCAGGAAATGGCTCTGCTAAAATACCCTCCCTGTTAATACAAATGAGACATATCTCCGGAAAAGCAGAGAATGCCAACATGGATCTGAGTGCTCAGATGAGAGAGGCCATTCCTGGGTTAGTAAGTGAAAAGCTATAGTTATACGTGAGAAAGCAAACCTGCAGGAGCAAGTTTCTAGATGGTAATTTGGTAATTACATTACAATTAGAAAGTCTTACAGAAGGTCTACAGCAGTGCAAACCCTTTGGTCCAGTAATTTCACTCCTTTGAAATTATCCCAAGGATATGTAGGCAAGGATGCTTATTGTTGGGAGGTAGCCCTAGATAAATCTCTTGTGTTACAACACACCTTGCTGGATATGGCAAGAATGTAGCATCCTTTACCACTCTTTACCAAGGCCATTTCCCAGGCTGGTGCTTATAGCAAGCAACCTTGGAGGATGAGGTAATGTCTCTTACTGAGACAAAGAGCAGGCTTACTTACCATTTACAAAGCAGAAGTAGATTCCCTAAGCTCAGTATTCCTGTTGCAATGCAAACCCACTGTGTGCAAAGTGTCCCTCTGGGCCCACTGAATCAGGTCTGTGGGGCTTGGAAGCAAGGGGAACCAACGTACATGCTGATATTCATGCTATCTGCAGTACTGTAGTAATAAAGCCCTTTGTCTCTGATCCAACATCTTATGTCTTCTACCAGCATCCATGAAATGGTAGCAGATTTACTTTTTAGCTGGCAAGGAGTGTAAAATCGAATCCCAGACCTGACAGCTATGATGATTGTTTCGTAAAAACAAGGACATTAACTGTCTTCTAAGGAGAAATTGGTTAAGTTAATTGTGGTACATAGATACACAAGGTAGAGTGCAGACATTTAGAATGGCTTCGGGATGTATATTTATTGACATGGAAATAAAATAACAACATATTTTTGAGTGAAAAACCAGGTAAAAAAGAAACATATATAGATGAACCACTTTTATATAAACACATAAACATTTCACAGGTGTATATATATATAAAATTTCTGCATGGTTCCATACCAAAAAAGAAAAATGTTAACCAGAGCTTTCTCTAGGTGGTGGACTAATAAATGAGTTTTATTTATTTTCTCATCTATGAGGTTTCTTATTTCTCAGTGTAAACATGAATTTTTTATGTAAAAAAATATTAATTGACAAAGACCTGCTAAAAAAAAGAGCATATGACAAAATCCTTGTACTTGAAACAAACTGTAAAGAACTGCTCTGCAAATACAGAGGGAGCTGCAAACAAAAGTGAGGTTCCTGATGGGACACAGCTCTGCCTGTGGTACTGACGACAACCCACAGAACCTGAAAGAGAAGAAATAATGGAAATACCCATCTTAGACATGATCCTCTTAGAACAACTGAAGATCAGTCTCAGAATCTAACATTTAGAATCTGAGGTGCCAATTATGCCTGGTGTTGTAATGAAAAAACACTCTCACTCAATGTCTGTGTGTTATCCAGTGCCACAAGTCACCCAGGAAGCCTGAGACTCAGCCCTCAATCACTGACTAACCTCTGCATAAACCCCTTTTAAATCTCTTCTGCTTATCCCTTCCAGTGCATTTCACTGCTCTGGCTTGAATCTAGGTTCTCATCATCATTTGCCTGGATATTAGAATATTCTTTGAACTGGTCTCTCTATCTCCACTTCACATCCTGATATAGTTTGGAAGTCCCCTCCAAATCTCATGTGGAAATGTAATCCCCATTGTTGGAGGTGGTGCCTGGTGGGAGGTGATGGGATCATGGGGGCAGATGAATGGCTTAGCACCATCCTCTTCATGCTGAGTGGGCTCACATGAGACCTGGTTGTGTAAAAGTGTGTGGCACCTCCCGCATCGCTCTCTCTTGCTCCCGCTCTTGCCATGTGACATGCCTGCTTCCACTTCACCTTCTGCCATCAGTGAAAGCTCCCTGAGGCATCCCCGGCAGCCAAGCAGATGCTGGTGCTATGCTTATACAGCCTGCAGAGCCGTGAGCCAATTAAACCTCTGTTTTGAAAAAATAAATTACCCAGTCTCAGGTATTCCTTTATAGCAACACAAGAATGACCCAACACACACTCCTTTAACCCTGCCACCTGATTTTTTAAAAACGTAAGTCAGAGTGTCACTTCTTTGCTTAAAATCCTTCAGTGTCTCCCAAATACCTACAAGATGTCCCAGCATGTAAAGTCACCTGCTGGCCTCACTAAACTTTCTCCTTGTCCCCCTTGTCCTTCTCCCAAGACTCATTTCTTTTGATTTCTTGCATCTCCTCTATGGAATGTCCCCACTCCCACCCAGCCAGGCAAATGCTCATGTCAAGATTCAGATCCTCCAAGAAGGGTTTCATAATGTCTCCCCAAGTTGAATTCCTTCTTTGGAGTCTCAGTTACATCATATTCAAGTTCATCAAAACACTTACCACCCTTTGCTTTTGTATTTCTCAGAACTTTCCTATTTGGTCGTGAACACATGAGGTCAGGAGCCACATCTTATTTATATTTACATTATCAACATCTAGTCCTATACTTGGCACCCAAAAGAAAATCTATACCTGAATGAAAAAAATACATAGTTAAAACCATAGAGTCTGGCCAGGTGCAGTGGCTCATGCCTGTAGTCCCAGCATTTTGGGAGGCCAAGACAGACGGATCACTTGAGATCAGAAGTTCAAGACCAGCCTGGCTAACATGGCGAAACCTTGTCTCTACAAAAAACACAAAAATTAGCTGGGCATGGTGGCGAGTGCCTGTAATCCCACCTACTCGGGAGGCTGAGGCAGGAGAATCACTTGAACCCAGGAGGCAGAGATTGCAGTGAGTTGACATCGCGTCATTGCATTCCAGCCTGGGCCACAGAGCGAGACTCCGTCTCAGAAAAAAAAAAGAAAAACAAAACCATAGAGCCTGAGTACAAACACACTCAACAAACCTTCTTGATTCTGAAAAGTTCCCAATTAAAAAGCCTCCTCGCGATGGACTTTCATTGTATTGCCATCAATATTTTGCTGCCCAGAAAGAAATAAATTAGGTGATTTTTACCTGCAAAGAATGTTGCTTTAGACATTTTTGTTTCTGTTGGACACAGGGCAGTCTCCCCCTCCTGCCACCTTGGAAATGTTAGCATCACTGGGACAAAAGCCAACAGGAAAAACTAACACCATAACAGGATAATATGCTTTATCAGATTATCCTGTGGAACTAAGCATACTAAGAGATACTTTAAACCTTTTCTGTAATTTATTCAGAAAACATTCAAGGACAGAAATAAATGTCAACTCAGATGAACCAAAACAGATGTAGAAAACAAACAAAAGCCATGACCAGACATAAAAACTGACCCAATAGGATGTGGGCCTGAAACTGGAAATCAAGTTTCTAAGTTCTATTTAAAATACAACAGTTGAAAGCTGGGTGCAGCGGCTCATGCCTGTAATTCCAGCACTTTGGGAAGCTGGGGTGGAAGAATGGCTTGAGGCCAGGAGTTCAAGACCAGCCTGGACAACACAGTGGGACCCCCGTCAGTACAAAAATTAAAAAAAAATAAAATAGCCAGGCATGGTATGGTCCTAGCTACTCAGGAGGCAAAGGCAAGAGGATCCCTTGAGTCTGGGAGGTTGAGGCTGCAGTGAGCTGTGATTGTGCCACTGCACTCCAGGCTGGGCAATAGAGCACCATTCTGTCTCTAAATAAATAAATACATAAATACATAAAATGTATCAGTTGGAATAGGCCTCCAAAATATAGAACACACGTAAATTTGAAATAATCTTTATTTCATCAGTGTGATCCCTTATCATAAGCAGAGTATAACACAGTGTTTCCAGAAAGGGTTTGAAAGGTCAAGACAGACCATGTAACATGAGGACTGATAAGCCATTTTTAACATGATGACTTTTCCCAAGAAAGGCTCTGGAATAATCGGAAGCAGTGGAGTTTAAAGAACTATCTCTTAAGTGAGGATCAGAACAAACTTCTTTGCCATTACAGGTTCTTTCTCTTCCTGACACCCACAGTGCCCTGAGTTGGCCTCGTGGGGCCGGCTGGAGCAGGAGCTGGAATAAGAGGACAGCCTCAGGGGCTTCTGGGTGGGACTGTGGTCTCTGGGAGCTGCTCAGGATCCACTTGGCTACAGGCAGGCCTTCTGGATGCTCACACCACAGGTGCTTGTGAGGAGGGGACTTCCACCCTCAGGTCTGTGGGGTCTGGGTGCCATGTGGAGGAAGAGTTGGCCCATGTCCTGTAGCAGCTCAGCCACAGCCCTCCACAGATGGGCCTTGTTACTTACTGGAGGGTTTGCTTCAGAGATCGCTTCTGTGCCCCAGCCTTGGTTACTCCTCTTGTCTTGGTGAACATTAAGCCCCGTATCCTTTCTCTACCTTTACCCAGCTATGCCTTTTGGTCTTGAGATCAGCAGCACTTATTTTCCTGTAGGCCACGGAGAACTTTGTTTTGTTTTTCGATGTCTCTTCTAGAGGCTTCAGGAGCTGAACCTCACCTTGGAGGTGGCTGATCACAGTTTGGGCACTAATAATGTACAGTCATTGCACTGCATTAGTTTCTCAGCTCTCCAGTGCTGGACCTGTCCACTGAATTATATATAGGGAGGCAGCATCCTCAACTGGTCATGGTTTGCTGTGTCCATGCCAGTTAGTGTTAAGCCCTGACAATAAAATGAGGCTGTGCTGGAAGCAGCCCTCCTCACAGTGGACTCGGCAGACACGGTTCCACTGTTTGGTTTCACGTTATGGGCAAATGAAGAAGGGGTTTGGTGTGTGACCTGGTCCATGGTTGTTGTAAATTATTTGTTGTAAAAGGGTTTGTTTTATAAACATTTCAAATATATCTAGATTGCCTCATCCTATTTTATTCTTTTCTAGTTTTACAGAAATATGCAAATAAGACTTAAAGCTGTGGACAAGAAGAGGAATTGATCCCAAATCTCATCAGGTCCGTTGTTCATACAATGAGTATGTTTTTCATTTGGAAAATTTCTTAGGTTCATGAAAGAAGAAAAGAAAAATGGATGGGTACATAGAAATGTATTAAATAGCATCTGTTATTAAAATTATGATCCACAGGTTAGAAATAAGTATTACGTTTAGCTTTTCTATATCCATTGAGTCCAGTCTTAGACCCTCTATTAGGGAAGAAATAGTAGGAGTGGGTTCTTGTGGTTATTGTATGTATTTCTGTATAAGAATTCACTGCGTTGGAGATCGAGACCATCCTGGCTAACGCGGTGAAACCCCGCCTCTACTAAAAATACAAAAAAAATTAGCTGGGCGTGGTGGCGGGCACCTCTATTCCCAGCTACTCGGGAGGCTGAGGCAGGAGAATGGCGTGAACCCGGGAGGCGGAGCTTGCAGTGAGCTGAGATCGCACCACTGCACTCCAGCCTGGGCGACAGAGCAAGACTCCTTCTCAAAAAAAAAAAAGAATTCACTGCATTTTATTTCCAGAAGTTCCCATAATTTGGAAGAGGACATTCAATGCTATGTAGCCAGAATTTATACAAGTACTTTTTCAACTTCAGTTTGATTGAGGGTGAGGGTGTGTGAGATTGGGAAGCAGGAAGGAGGTTATTGTATTTTAATTGCTTGGGTGTGGGAGGATCTGGTTATCAGTTTCCTATGAAACGCACTCTATTCTGAGGGATTTCGTACTTGTCTTATTAAACGGAGATTCTGTGATTTTCTCATTACTTACACATGAACTTAGTGACTTGTAATAACACTTCATGATTCCAATCTCAACTTGCTCTTTTCCAGCTATGGCAAGGATAACATCCCTGCCTCTGGGAGCCTGGCAGCACCTTTTGCATACTGGTGAGATTGCACTCTGGCCTGTGCAGAAGAGGAGGCTACTGGATAGCATGAGACTCTGTGGTGATGGGAGAGAGGGCACAGGGTGAGTCTTTTCTCACCCATTTGGGTAACAAAACAAAGAACCTGAGAAACACCTAAGTTGTGCTTTACAGACTTGAACTCAGAGAAGGATGAGCTTGGAAATGCCCAGGGTTCCATGATGGTAAGCATCAAATTTTTCAAAAGATGTAAGAAAAGAAAAATGAAGTCTGATGCACCCACAAGCACAGCTTTCTGGATAGTGAACAAAGAGCTAAGATACACATCTCTGGGTTCATTGAAACAACCTCTAGAACAGTTTCACATATTTCCTTTTCTCTGTTTCTTTCAGCTCTTTCAACCAAACCATGAGTCATTTTCCAATGTGGCAGTCTATTCCTCTATGTTTAAGTCACTTTAGGCAATTTGTAAACCCAAGTATGAAGCTTCTATCGGTCTAGCTTGAATAGAAGCATTAACGGAGTGCTTAACCTTTAGACAACTCTTTTGTGAAGGCTGGACAACAGACGGCTTGATATTATCTTTTCAGTAGGGACACGGAAGACCAGTGGTGTGATGAGGTAGTTGAAGGCAGATGTGTTGTCCTGAACCAGATATATCTCAACCACAGGACACGGATCTGCCAAAACCAATTTAACAGGTGGGCAGCTGTTACTCGCCTCCCACCGCCTCACAGAGTTAGGCTCTGAGCGTGAACGCAGACAACTTTTGTCACAGGAATTTATTCCCAGCATATGAATAAGAGAGTCTCCTTAAGAGAGTCTTTAACTTCTTAAGGGCAAAAGAGGACAGTCAATTACCAGAAAGAAAACATTGCTATTATATGATCACTCATGAATGTCCAGAGGATGATATGTAACAGCTTTGTTTTCTATTTTTCCATCAATGCAGAATCCTTCTCAGGAGCCCTCTCCTCTGGTCTCCTTTCACTATCTCTGTGTCCTGCTTACCTTCTCCCAGAACCCTGGCTCTCAATCTGTTGTTCCATTTAGTTTTACCACCTGTAAAATTTCTGTGAAATCCACAGGGTCCTATTGGTTTTGAAACTAGCTTTAGGTTCTTCAAAACTCAAACATGTTCAACCTTTGTCTTACTAATAGTGCCCACTTTTTATTGAATGATTGTGATGGCCTATGCAGTCCTATGCAAATAGAGATACTTATTTTTTTAAAAAGGGTTTCTGTGTAAAAGAGTGGTGAGGCAGAAGAGAGTGACAATGCGGGGGAAACACCCTGAAACCTGCCTTGTGGTATTTGAAACTAGGCCATTACAATGACTGAATTCTTACCATTTTTTTTAGATTTTCAACCAACAGTCTTCTTTCATTCATGATATCAGCAAATTAACAAAGTGCAGCTAATGTAAATAACTTTCATTTTCCATTGTCCATTTTAAAACAAAGAGGTCATTCTCTGATAGTAGATGCATAGATGGTATGTTCTACATCAGTTTTTGTTTTGTTTTCCAAATAGTCTGTTTTGTCTTTCAGAGGTAGAATTACCAAATCTCTGAAACTTAAATCAACCCAAAGACAAAAGTATGTTTTATTTTGTTTCATTTGTTTTAGTATGAATATATAGTACTTTAAAAGAAACATCATATACAACTCGATTAATATGAATTCATAATGTTGACATTAGAAATAGGCCAACAATCATTCTAAAGTGAAACCATCTTTATTTTGAAAATTACCAAATATTTTCTACTTTTTAAGTTATTATTAATATATAACTCTGCCTATTTTTTCAGAGTAATTGACGAAGGTAAGACTAAAACAAATGAATTAATGAATAAAGGAAAAAAGAAAGAAAGAAGAGGCAGGTGATACAAGGATGCAAATACACAGGCCCATATAGGCTTACATTGCTGCAAACATAGTTAAATTTGGCTCTTAGCCCCCTGGCAGTCAAAGCAAAAGAGGGGAGATATGGTCAGTTGCATAGTTCTTATTATTAGATGAGAAGAAACATGCTAGTTCCTCAGGGGAAGCGAATGTATTTTTCTTGTACTAATGTCTCAAGCAAATCAGGCTGGTGGGGCCTCACATGGGAAATGCTGAGTGATGTTATACACACTGAACTTAACAGGAGTCCTACAAGCAAGGCTAGAGTCTCCTCCTTAGAAACCAAGGGCACAACCTTAAAATGCAATCCAGTTTAGGCAATTTGTAAACCCAAATATGAAGCTCTTATCGGTCTAGCTTGGGTAGAAGCATTAACAGAGTGCTTAACCTTTAGACAACTCTTTTGTGAAGGCTGGACAATAGACAGCTTAATATTGCCTTTTCAGTGGGGACAAGGAAGGCCAGTGTTGTGATGAGGTAGTTGAAGGCTGATATGTTGTCCTGAACCGGATATCTCAACCACAGCATAGGGATCTGCCAAAACCAATTTAACAGGTGAGCAGCTGTTACTCTCCTACCAACACCCCACAGAGTTAGGCTCTGAGTGTGAGTGCAGACAACTCTTCTAGTAGAAATTTACTCCCAGCATATCAATAAAGAATTAAGTATTCACCTTCTGCAAACAGAATATTTACTTGGGGCCCATTTAGCTGGGATCATTCCCATGAAGTCACATGACTAAGGTTGGAACACGTGGCAAAGCATCGTCTCACTCAGTGGTGCACACCATTGGCTACTTTTCACTATGTGAGCTTTGCAAAGTGATGTTACTGAGACCCACCCAGAGGGATCCAAGTGCCTATGACATTTGAGGCACTTGCCTGGACTGTGCTTTCCTGAACCCCTCTCCAGAATCTGGGTCTCAGAGACTTGTCTCTTGCTGATCAATACATTCAATCTAACATCCCCACAAAGATGGAGTGTATTTCTGATTTTATGATGCATGCAAATAAGATGTTCAAAATTAAGTTTAAATTTCAGCAAGTTCCTTTCTGTTTCCCTTTATATACTCTCTCTTTGATATAAGTGGAGCCTTCTCTCTACCCAGGAAGACCTTTCCAATCAAGAGCTACATAGGCAAGATCCAAGTTTATTCAAGCATAGCCAGACAAATCTGTCTTAATTTATGAATGATTCATTGATACAAAATGAATAGAGAAGTCCTTCTTGAGCAAGGATTGATAGGACATTTTGATATCTTCATTACATCAAGAAATACTATGTAGAATGTGAAAGTCTTTCTGATACTTCTAAATACCAATGTTCAATTTAACATTCACCGGGCTGGGGGACATCAGTTCAAGGGTTAATGTGAAGGAAAAACAATTGCTTTCCACAAGTCCAGGATATCCCTTCTGATGATGGTCTTAATTAAGATGAGTGAGTAAGTCAGCCTCACATAAATGCAGTCTAAACCTGCATCTGACATCTTTTCAAAGGATCAAAATACTGAACAGCATGAAACACGGCAGTTTGACCTCTCTTACTTTTAACTTCTATCTTGATGATTTGCAACTACTTCTAGATCTAGAGGCACATCTGCCAGAAACAACGAAGAGAATGAATACACATTGATGACTGTATATAAGCAGAATGAATCATACTAGGATTATCGATATATGTAAGCAATATTCCCCCATATTTATGCCATAGAATGCCATTTGCCATTATTAAATTTTGTGTGCAAATACATTTGGAAAGGAGTATTCCATTTAATTTAACAGAGCTTTCTTAAGAGAAACACAAAAACATTCTTCCCCAATACAAATTGGCTCCAGGTAAGGCATAAGAGCATATCCTGCTATTCAGGTTACAGATGTAATTATTTCATTCCTAAAAGCAGAGAATAAATAGATGTTTAAAAAGTATCAATTGGAGTTTAATACCCAAGTAGACAATGCATTTGCTGCATTGGGAAGACTAAAAATTGGGACTAGTAAAAATCAATGAAGAAATCTATCTCCATCTCATTAGGAAGCTGAATTGGGATAGGACATGTTCTTGTTCAGTGGGCCAAAGAGCCTGATGATAGTCTCCACTTGGGGAGTCCATGATACCTTTACATTCACCAAAAGTATCTCTCACTTCTGGGTACAAAAAAAAAACCAATATTCTTGAAAAGAATAAGCATAATACATACATGTGGGAATAATTCAAATAATAATTAGGTAAATTTTGAAATGATATAACTTGGAAGAGACAACATGTGAAAGTACAGGGCTGGGGCAACATAATAATGTTTCTTTGTTTATATGCAATTCCCAGAAAAAGGTGTAGTTGATGCTTAAAATACAATCCCCTTGGTTTGGTCAGTTTCTTCTTCGACATTATTATAAGGGGAGGAAGCTGGAAATAAACTCATCTCCAGATGATCTTCCTGGAAACCTGCCTAAAAGAGTGGTACACAGGTTTGAAAATAAACAAGCTGGGCAGATTAGGGTAGAAAAGTTTCCAGGAGCTGATCCATAACACTTCTATCTAACAAGAACATTGAACTCAGCTGTGTTCCTTATCAAAAGTCAACCCGGAGCCATTGTGTGATCAGCCCAGGAAGAGCCAACTCACCCACCCTTTTCCCATTGTATTGCACACTCTTTTCATGACATGAATGGATTTTTTAACCTAGAACTTCTCACTAGTAATGCAAGTATGCTGTCTTGAGCAAAACTCTCCATTTTTCTGATGTGTGTGTGTGTGTGTGTGTGTGTGTGTGTGTGTGTGTGTGTGTGATTTACCTTTGAAGGAATTCGTATAGTAGGGGTTGAGGGTTCTTGGTGAGCACAGTCTATTGAACTGAATATTATGCAATCTGAAGGATCTTGAGATACCAACTGTCCACTTGAGGCAAACAGGACAGCAAGCACACTACCTTCTTTCTGAGAGGTGAAGCCAGCTGGGTTTCTGGGTCAGGTGGGGACTTGGAGAACTTTTCTGTCTAGCTAAAGGACTGCAAATGCACCAATCAGTGCTCTGTGTCTAGCTAATTGGGTAGGGAACTTGGAGAACTTTTCTGTCTAGCTAAAGGATTGTAAATGCACCAACCAGTGCTCTGTGTCTAGCTAAAGGTTTGCAAATGCACCAATCATCACTCTGTAAAAATGCACCAATCAGTACTCTGTGTCTAGCTAAGGGTTTGTAAATGCACCAATCAGCACTCTGTAAAAATGGACCAATCAGCACTCTGTAAAATGAACCAATCAGCTCTCTGTAAAATGGACCAATCAGCAGGATGTAGGTGGGGCCAAATAAGGGAATAAAAGCAGGCCACCCAAGCCAGCTGGGCAACCCACTTGGGTCCCCTTCCACATTGTGGAAGCTTTGTTCATTTGCTCTTTGCAATAAATCTTGCTGCTGCTCACTCTTTGGGTCTGCACTACCTTTATGAGCTGTAACATTCACTGTGAAGTTCTGCAGCTTCACTCCTGAGGCCAGGGAGACCATGAACCCACCGGGAGGAACAAACAACTCCGGATGCGCCACCTTTAAGAGCTGTAACACTCACTGTGAAGGTCTGCAGCTTTGCTCCTGAAGTCAGCGAGACCACGAACCCACTGGAAGGAAGAAACTCTGGACACATCTGAACATCTGAAGGAACAAACTCCAGACACACCATCTTTAAGAACTGTGACACTCACCACGAGGGTTCTCAGCTTCATTCTTGAGGTCAGCGAGACCAAGAACCCACCAGAAGGAACCAATTCCATACACACTTCTATCTTAGGCTTTAATTGCTTTTGAAGCAAATGAAGAAGAGCTGGGATTTTCTGAGTCCCCCTCTCCCACTTCAGCCACAAAAGGTGTGAGATGAAGTCCATCCTAGCAAAACCCAAGGCTGAGGAAGGAGGTGATTGATCACAAAAGAGAAGAATAAGAAACAGAATAGAGTTCTGTTATCTGGAGTCTTTGGTCACACTCCCTCACTCCCTTGCTAACTTAATGAGGGAGTCTTTGGTCACACTCTCTCTCCTTCCTAGGAAGGCAGGTGTGGCACTGTGTGTGATCCCATCTGTCTCCAGAGCCTTCCCTTAGAAAGGGCCTACATATGGATGAGCAGCCCAGCCTTTAAAGGACAGTTAAATTGCATTTGGTAAACATTAATCCAGTTTGAAGTATTTTTAAATATTTTGAATCCACTATGTGATTTAAAGTAACTTTTATCAGGAGTGTGGGGGTGCTGAGTGTGGAGGAGGAGTCACATGAGTTACAGTAAACCGTGATAGTGTTGTTTTCTAATATCATGTGTATGTGTATGTGCATAGTATTTTGTTCCCTTCTTAAGAGAGTCTTCCAATCTTTTAAGAAGAACATGCAACTTCAAAAATCCTTGTGGTAAGTAAATGCTTTTCAGACTTTCCTGCTCAATTAAATTGTCACAGGACCAGTGATATAAGTGTGTGACTGCTGTCAAACATGCATTAATACACATATACATGTTTGTGGACTAATGCATTAACTTTTTGGGAGAGAAGCAATGTGCTGGTATGGTAAGATACATTAAAGGAAACATAAATGAGATGTAATGCTGAAGACTGTATGAAAATGGAAGAAATTTATATGAAATATTTCTCATTTTCTGTGAGATAACCATGAGAAACTTTGGAAAAACAACAAATTGAAAAAGTTACCCAAATGTCTCCAAGATGATGTAATATATACTTATAATGTTTCTTTTGAAAAATAACTTTCTAGTGCTACTAAAGTACATGGCCTCTGAATCTACAACATCTTTTAGATCTATGGGGCATTTGAAAGTATTTTGGTATCTGAAATGCTTATGTATTGTCCAGGATTTTGTCTGGTTTCAAACATATTGTTTGGACCTGGAAGCAAAATGGAGAATACTTCTAATGGCACTAATGGGACTCTTCTCAAAAATACTGATGTCATTTATGTACCATGACTGATTTAAGAATAAACCTGTGGGGACACAAAACACTGGCATGAGCACAAATCTACATATTGGAAGTCACAACTTCCAAAGAAACTGCAGAGAAACAACTCTCATTGTTTCACTATGAGAAACAGCTTTTGAAGGAGAGTGTGCAAATGAGATACTATGACCTTTTGTGGGTAGTTGTTTATTCACTTCACAAAGGGCCCAAAATCTATTGATCATCACAAGCAATTGGGCAATGTGGCATCAAAGGTTTCTGAGGGATTTCCAGGCAAGATGGCCAAATGGGAATAGCTCCAGTCTGCAGCTCCCAGCGAGACCAATGTAGAAAGTGGGTGACTTCTGCATTTCCAACTGAGGTACCTGGCACATCTCAATGGGACTGGTTAGACAGTGGGTGCAGCCCATAGAGGGTGAGCAGAAGCAGGGTGGAGTGTTGCCTCACCCAGAGAGCACAAGGGGTCAGGGAACTCCCTCCCCTAGCCAAGGGAAGCCGTGAGGGACTGTGCCTTGAGAAATGGTGCACTCTGGCCCAGATACTATGCTTTTCCCACTGTCTTTGCAACCCACACACCAGGAGATTCCCTCAGGTGCCTACACCACCAGTGCCCTGGGTTTCAAGCACAAAGCTGGGTGACCTTTTGGGCAGACACCAAGCTAGCTGTAGGAGTTTTTTTTTTTTTTTTCCTACCCCAGTGGCATCTGGAACACCAGCAAGACAGAGCTGCTCACTGCCCTGGAAAGGGGGCTGAAGCCAGGGAGCCGAGTGGTCTTGCTCAGGAGATCCCACCCATAGAGCCCAGCAAGCTAAGATCCACTGGCTTGAAATTCTTGCTGCCAGCACAGCAGTCTGAAGTCGACTTGGGATACTCCAGCTTGGTGGGGGGAGGGTCATCCACCATTACTGAGGCTTGAGTAGGTGGTTTTCCCCTCACAGTGTAAACAAAGCTGGCTGGAAGTTCAAACTGGGCAGAGCCCACCACAGCTTGGCAAAGCTGCTGTAGCCAAACTGCCTCTCTAGATTCCTCCCCTCTAGGCAGGGCATCTCTGAAAGAAAGGCAGCAGCCGCAGTCAGGGGTTTATAGATAAAACTCCCATCTCCCTGGGACAGAGCACTTGGGAGAAGGTGCAGCTGTGGGCACAGCTTCAGCAGACTTAAATGTTCTGGCATGCTGGCTCTGAAGATAGCAGCGGACCTCCCAGCACAGCGCTCACGCTCTGATAAGGGACAGACTGCCTCCTCAAGTGGATCCCTGACCCCTGTGCCTCCTGACTGGGAGACACCTCCCAGCAGGGGTCAAGAGATATCTCATACAGGAGAGCTCTGGCTGGCATCTGGTGGGTGCCCCTCTGGGATGAAGCTTCCAGAGGAAGGAGCAGGCAGCAATCATTGCTGTTCTGCAGCCTCTGCTGGTGATACCCAGGCAAACAGGGTCTGGAGTGGACCTCCAGCAAACTTCCAGCAGACCTGCAGCAGAGGGGCCTGACTGTTAGAAGGAAAACTAACAAACAGGAAGCAATAGCATCAACATCAACAAAAAGGATGACCACTCAAAAACTCCATCCAAAGGTCACCAACATCAAAGATCAAAGGTAGACAAATCCATGAAGATGAGGAAAAACCAGTGCAAAAAGGCTGAAAATTCCAAAAACCAGAATGCCTCCTCTCCTCCAAAGGATCACAACTCCTTGCCAGCAAGGGAACGAAACTGGACAGAGAATGAGTTTGATGAATTGACAGACATAGGCTTCAGAAGGTGGGTAATAACAAACTCCTCCAACTTAAAGGAGCAAGTTTTAACCCAATGCAAGGAAGCTAAGAACCTTGATAAAAGGTTACAGGAACTGCTAACTAGAATAACCAGTTTAGAGAAGAACATAAATGACCTGATGGAGGTGAAAAACACAGCACGAGAACTTCGTGAAGCATACACAAGTATCAATAGCCAAATCGATCAAGCAGAAGAAAGGATATCGAGGTTGAAAATCCCCTTAATGAAATAAAGCGTGAAGACAAGATTAGAGAAAAAAGAATGAACAGGAATGAACAAAGCCTCCAAAAAATACGGGACTATGTGAGGAGACAAAACCTATGCTTAATTGGTGTACCTGAAAGTGACAGGGAGAATGAAACTAAGCTGGAAAACGTGCTTCAGGATATTATCCAGGAGAACCTCCCCAACATAGCAAGACAGGCCAACATTCAAATTCAGGAAATACAGAGAACACCACAAAGATACTCTTTAAGAAGAGCAACCCCAAGACACATAATGGTCAGATTCACCAAGGTTGAAATGAAGAGAAAAATCTTAAGGGCAGCCAGAGAGAAAGATTGAGTTACCCACAAAGGGAGGCCCATCACACTAACAGACAATTTCTCTGCAGAAACCCTACAAGCCAGAAGAGTGGGGGCCAAAATGCAACATTGTTAAAGAAAAGAATTTTCAACCCAGAACTTCATATCCAGCCAAACTAAGCTTCATAAGTGAAGGAGAAATAAAATCCTTTACAGACAAGTTAATGCTGAGGGATTTTGTCACCACCAGGCCTGCCTTACAAGAGCTCCTGAAGGAAGCACTAAATATGGAAAGGAAAAACCAGTACCAGCCACTGCAACAACATACAAAAATGTAAAGTCCACCGAAACTATGAAGAAACTGCATCAACTAACAGGCAAAATAACCAGCTAACTGGTTATTGACAGGATAATGACATAATGACAGGATCAAATTCACACATAACAATATTAACCTTAAATGTAAATCAGCTAAATACCCCAATTAAAAGACATAGACTAGCAAATTGAATAATGAGTCAAGACCCATCAGTGTGCTGTATTCAGGAGAGCCATTTCACATGCTCTCTCAAAGACACACATAGGCTGAAAATAAAGGGATGGAGGAAGATTTACCAAGCAAATGGAAAGCCAAAAAAAAAAAAAAAAAAAAAAAAAGCAGGGGTTGCAATCCTAGTCTCTGATAAAACCAACTTTAAACCAACAAAGATCAAAAAAGACAAAGAAGGCCATTACATAATAGTAAAGGGATCAATGCAACAAGAAGAGCTAACTATCCTAAATATATATATGCACCCAGTACAGGAGCACCCAGATTCATAAAGCAAGTTCTTAGAGACCTACAAAGAGACTTTGACTCCCACACAATAATAGTGGGAAATTTTACACCCCACTGTCAATATTAGACTGATCAATGAAACAGAAAATTAACAAGGATATTCAGGACTTGAACTCAGCTCTGGACCAAGTGGACCTAATAGACATCTACAGAACTCTCCACCCAAAATCAACAGAATATACATTCTTCTCAGCACCACATAGAACTTATTCTAAAATTAACCACATAATTGGAAGTAAAACACTCCTTAACAAATGCAAAAGAACAGAAATCATAACAAACTGTCTCTCAGACCACAGTGCAATCAAATTAGCACTCAGGATTAAGAAACTCACTCGAAACCACACAACTACATGGAAACTGAACAACCTGCTCCTGAATGACTACTGGGTACATAACGAAATTAAGGCAGAAATAAATAAGTTCTTTGAAACCAATGAGAACAAAGACACAATGTACCAGAATTTCTGGGACACAGCAAAAGCAGTGTTGAGAGGGAAATTTATAGCACTAAATGCCCATAGGAGAAACCAGGAAAGATCTAAAATTGCCCCCCTAACATCACAATTAAAAGAACTAGAGAAGAGCAAACAAATTCCAAACCTAGAAGAAGACAACAAATAACTAAGATCAGAGCAGAACTGAAGGAAATAGAGACATGAAACACCCTTCAAAAGAAATAAATGAATTCAGGAGCTCGTTTTTTGAAAAGATAAACAAAATAGACCACTAGCCAGATGAATAAAGAAGACAAGAAAGAATCAAATAGAAACAATGAAAATGATAAAGGGAATATGACCTCTGATCCCACAGAAACACAAACTACCATCAGAGAATACTATAAACACCTCTACCTGAATAAACTAGAAAATCTAGAAGAAATGGATAAATTCCTAGACACATAAACCCTTCCAAGACTAAACCAGGAAGAAGTCAAATCCCTGAATAAACCAATAACAAGTTCTGAAATTGAGGCACTAATTAATAGCCTAGCAACCAAAAAAAACCAAAGACCAGACAAATTCCTAGCTGAATTCTACCAGAGGTACAAGAGGAGCTGGTACCATTCCTTCTAGAACTATTCCAAACAATAGAAAAAGAGGAACTCCTCCCTAACTCTTTTTGTGAGGCCAGCATGATCCTGATACCAAAACCTGTCAGAGACACAACAAAAAAAGAAAATTTCAGGCCAATATCCCTGATGAACATCGATGCAAAAATTCTCAATAAAATATTGACAAACCGAATCCAGCAGCACATTAAAAAGCTTATCCACCATGATCAACTTGGCTTCATCCCTGTGATACAAGGCTGGTCAACATACACAAATCAATAAACATAATCCATCACATAAACAGAATCAATGACAACAATCACATAATTATCTCAATAGATGCAGAAAAAGCCTTTGATAAAATTCAACACCCTTCATGCTAAAAACTCTCAATAAACTAGGTATTGATGGAATGTATCTCAAAATAATAAGAGCTATTTATGACAAACCCACAGCCAATATCATACTGAATGGGAAAAACTGGAAGCATTCCCTTTGAAAACCACCATAAGACAAGGATGCCCTCTCTCACTCCTATTCAACATAGTATTTGAAATTCTGGCCAGGGAAATCAGGCAAGAGAAAGAAATAAAGGGGATTCAAATAGGAAGAGAGGAAGTCAAATTATCTCTGTTTGCAGATGACATGATTGTATATTTAGAAAACCCCATCATCTCAGCCCAAAATCTCCTTAAGCTGATAAGCAACTTCAGCAAAGTCTCATGATACAAAATCAACAAGCATAAATCACAAGCATTCCTATACACCAACAACAGAAAAACAGAGAGCCAAATCATGAGTGAATTCCCATTCACAATTGCTACAAAGAGAGTAAAATACCTAGGAATACAACTTACAAGGGATGTGAAGGACCTC
Source organism: Homo sapiens (assembly GCF_000001405.40). Taxonomy (NCBI): domain Eukaryota; kingdom Metazoa; phylum Chordata; class Mammalia; order Primates; family Hominidae; genus Homo; species Homo sapiens. The sequence goes on along the minus strand of NC_000007.14, from coordinate 40,955,336 downwards.
TTCAAGGAGAACTACAAACTACTGCTCAAGGAAATCAGACACAAACAAATGGAAAAACATTCCATGCTCATGGATAGGAAGAATCAATATTGTGAAAATGGCCATACTGCTTAAAGTAATTTATAGATGCAATGCTTTTCCCATCAAGCTACTATTGACTTTCTTCACAGAATTAGAAAAAACTACTTTAAATTTTATATGGAACCACAAAAGAGCCCATATATTCAAGACAATCCTAAGCAAAAAGAACAAAGCTGGAGGCATCATGCTACCTGACTTCAAACTATACTACAAGGCTACAGTAACCAAAACAGCTTGGTACTGGTACCAAAACAGATATATGGACCAATTGAACAGAACAGAGACCTCAAAAATAATGTCACACATCTACAATCATCTGTTCTTTGACAAACCTGACAAAAACAAGCAATGGGGAGAGGATTCCCTATTTAATAAATGGTGTTGGGAAAACTTGCTAGCCATATGTAGACAACTGAAAATGGACCCCTTCCTTACACCTTATACAAAAATTAATTCAAGATGGATTAAATGTTTAAACATAAGACCTAAAACCATAAAAACCCTAGAAGAAAACCTAGGGAATATCACTCAGGACATAGGCATGGGTAAAGACTTCATGACTCAAACACCAAAACCAATGGCAACAAAAGCCAAAATTGACAAATGGGATCTAATTAAACTAAAGAGCTTCTGCACAGCAAAAGAAACTATCATCAGGGGCAGTTCCAAGACGGCCAAATAGGAACAGCTCCAGTCCACAGCTCCCAGTGTGAGCGACGCAGAAGATGGGTGATTTCTGCATTTCCAACTGAGGTACCCAGTTCATCTCACTGGGGCTTGTCAGACACTGGGTGCAGGACAGTGGGTGCAGCACACTGAGCATGAGCTGAAGCAAGGCAAGGCATCGCCTCACCCGGGAAGTGCAAGGGGTCAGGAAATTCCCTTTCCTAGCCAAGCAAAGCTGTGACAGATGGCACCTGGAAAATTGGGTCACTCCCACCCTAATATGGTGCTTTTCCAATGGTCTTCACAAACGGCACACCAGGAGATTATATCCCACGCCTGGCTCAGAGGGTCCCATGCCCACAGAGCCTCGCTCATTGCTAGCACAGCAGTCTGAGATCAAACTGCAAGGCAGCAGCAAGGCTGGGGGAGGGGCACCCGCCATTGCTGAGGCTTGAGTAGGTAAATAAAGTGGCCAGGAAGCTCGAACTGGGTGGAGCCCACTGCAGCTCAAGGAGGCCTGCCTGCCTCTGTAGACTCCACCTCTAGGCACAGGGCATAGCTGAACAAAAGGCAGCAGAAACCTCTGCAGACTTAAATGTCCCTGTCTGACAGCTTTGAAGAGAGTAGTGGTTCTCCCAGCATGGAGTTTGAGATCTGAGAACAGACAGACTGCCTCCTCAAGTGGGTCCCTGACCCCCGAGTAGCCTAACTGGGAGGCACCCCCCAATAGGGGCAGACTGATACTTCACGTGGCCGGGTACCCCTCTGAGACAAAACTTCCAGAGGAATGATCAGGCAGCAACATTTGCTGTTCAGCAATATTTGCTGTTCTGCAGCCTCCGCTGCTGATACCCAGGCAAACAGGGTCTGGAGTGGACCTCCAGCAAACTCCAACAGACCTGCAGCTGAGGGTCCTGACTGTTAGAGGGAAAACTAACAAACAGAAAGGACATCCACACCAAAACCCCACCTGTATGTCACCATCATCAAAGACCAAAGGTAGATAAAACCACAAAGATGGGGAAAAAACAGAGCAGAAAAACTGAAAATTCTAAAAGTCAGAAGACCTCTCCTCCTCCAAAGGAACGCAGTTCCTCACCAGCAATGGAACAAAGCTGGACAGAGAATGACTTTGATGAGTTGAAAGAAGAAGGCTTCAGACAATCAAACGTCTCCAAGCTAAAGGAGGAAGTTCAAACCCATTGCAAAGAAGTTGAAAACCTTGAAAAAAGATGAGACAAATGGCTAACTAGAATAACCAATGTAGAGAAGTCCTTAAATGACCTGATGGAGCTGAAAACCATGGCACGAGAACTACATAATGGATGCACAAGCTTCAGTAGCCGATTCGATCAACTGGAAGAAAGGGTATCAGTGATTGAAGATCAAATGAATGAAATGAAGCGAGAAGAGAAGTTTAGAGGAAAAAGAATAAAAAGAAATGAACAAAGCCTCCAAGAAATATAGAACTATGTGAAAAGACCAAATCTACGTCTGATTGGTGTAACTGAAAGGGACGGGAAGAATGGAACCAAGTTGGAAAACACTCTTCAGGATATTATCCAGAGAACTTCCCCAATCTAGCAAGGCAGGCCAACATTCAAATTCAGGAAATAGAAAGAAGGCCACAAAGATACTCCTCGAGAAGAGCAACTCCAAGACACCTAATTGTCAGATTCACCAAAGTTGAAATGAAGGAAAAAATGTTAAGGGCAGCCAGAGAGAAAGGTTGGGTTACCCACAAAGGGAAGCCCATCAGACTAACAGTGGATCTGTCAGCAGAAACTCTACAAGCCAGAAGAGAGTGGGGGCCAATATTCAACCTCTTAAAGAAAATAATTTTCAATCCAGAATTTCATATCCAGCCAAACTAAGCTTCATAAGTGAAGGAGAAATAAAATCCTTTACGGACAAGCAAACACTGAGAGATTTTGTCACCACCAGGTCTGCCCTACAAGAGCTCCTGAAGGAAGCACTAAACATGGAAAGGAACAACTGGTACCAGCCACTGCAAAAACATGCCAAATTGTAAAGACCATTGATGCTAGGAAGAAACTGAATCAACTAATGAGCAAAATAACCAGCTAACATCATAACGACAGTATCAAATTCAGATATAACAATATTAATTTTAAATGTAAATGGGCTAAATGCTCCAATTAAAAGACACAGACTGGCAAATTGGATAAAGTGTCAAGATCTATCAGTGTGCTGTATTCAGGAAACCCATCTCATGTGCAGAAACACACATAGGCTCAAAATAAAGGGATGGGGGAAGATCTACCAAGCAAAGGGAAAATAAAAAACGGCAGGGGTTGCATTCCTAGTCTCAGATAACACAGACTTTAAACCAACAAAGATCAAAAGAGACAAAGAAGACCATTACATAATAGTAAAGGGATGAATGCAACAAGAAGAGCTAACTATACTAAATATATATGCACCCAATACAGGAGCACCCAGATTCATAAAGCAAGTCCTTAGAGACCTACAAAGAGACTTAGACTCCCACACAATAATAATGGGAGACTTTAACACCCCACTGCCAACATTAGACAGATCAACAAGACAGAAAATGGACAAGGATATCCAGGAATTGAGCTCAGCTCTGCACCAAGCGGACCTAAAAGAAATCTACAGAACTCTCCACCCAAAATCAATAGAATATACATTCTTCTCAGCATCACATCGCACTTATTACAAAATTGACCACATAGTTGGAAGTAAAGCACTCCTCAGCAAATGTAAAAGAACAGAAATTATAACAAACTGTCTCTCAGACCACAGTGCAATCAAACTAGAACTCAGGGTTAAGAAACTCACCCAAAACCACTCAACTACATGGAAACTGAATAACCTGCTCCTGAATGACTACTGGGTACATAACAAAACGAAGGCAGAATAAAGATGTTCTTTGAAACCAACGAGAACAAAGACACAACATACCAGAATCTCTGAGACACATTTAAAGAAGTGTGTAGAGGGAAATTTATAGCACTAAATGCCCACAAGAGAAAGCAGGAAAGATCTAAAATTGACATCCTAACATCACAATTAAAAGAACTAGAGAAGCAAGAGCAAACACATTCAAAAGCTAGCAGAAGGCAAGAAACAACTAAGATCAGAGCAGAACTGAAGGAGACAGACACAAAAAACCCTTCAAAAAATCAATGAATCTGGGAGCTGGTTTTTTGAAAAGATCAACAAAATTAATAGAACGCTAGCAAGACTAATAAAGAAGAAAAGAGAGAAGAATCAAATAGACACAATAAAAAATGATAGGATATCACCACCGATCCTACAGAAATACAAACTACCATCAGAGAATACTATAAACACTTCTACGCAAATAAACTAGAAAATCTAGAAGAAATGGATAAATTCCTCGACACATACACCCTCCCAAGACTAAACCAGGAAGAAGTTGAATCTCTGAATAGACCAATAACAGGCTGTGAAATTGAGGCAATAATTAATAGCCTACCACCCAAAAAAAGTCCAGGACCAGATGGATTCACAGCTGAATTCTACCAGAGGTACAAGGAGGAGCTGGTACCATTCCTTCTGAAACTATTCCAATCAGTAGGAAAAGAGGGAATCCTTCCTAACTCATTTTATGAGGCCAGCATCATCCTGATACCAAAGCCTGGCAGAGACACAACAAAAAAAAAGAGAATTGTAGTCCAATATCCCCGATGAACATCGATGCAAAAATCCTCAATAAAATACTGGCAAACTGAATTCAGCAACACATCAAAAAGCTTATCCACCATGATCAAGTGGGCTTCATCCCTGGGATGCAAGGCTGTTTCAACATACGCAAATCAATAAACGTAATCCAGCATATAAACAGAACCAAAGACAAAAACCACACGATTATCTCAATAGATACAGAAAAGGCCTTTGACGAAATTCAACAGCCCTTCATGTTAAAAACTCTCAATAAACTAGGTATTGATGGGACGTATCTCAAAATAATAAGAGCTATTTATGACAAACCCAGAGCCAATGTCATACTGAATGGGCGAAAATGGGAAGCATTCCCTTTGAAAACTGGCACAAGACAGGGATGCCCTCTCTCACCACTCCTATTCAACAGAGTGTTGGAAGTTCTGGCCTGGGTAATCAGGCAGGAGAAAGAAATAAAGTGTATTCAATTAGGAAAAGAGGAAGTCAAATTGTCCCTGTTTGCAGATGACATGGTTGTATATCTAGAAAACCCCATCGTCTCAGCCCAAAATCTCCTTAAGCTGATAAGCAACTTCAGCAAAGTCTCAGGATACAAAATCAATGTGCAAAAATCACAAGCATTCTTACACACCAATAACAGACAAACAGAGAGCCAAATCATAAGTGAAATCCCATTCACGATTGCTTCAAAGAGAATAAAATATCTAGGAATCCAACTTACAAGGGATGTGAAGGACCTCTTCAAGGAGAACTATAAACCACTGCTCAATGAAATAGAAGAAGATACAAACAAATGGAAGAACATCCCATGCTCACGGATAGGAAGAATCAATATTGTGAAAATGGCCATACTGCCCAAGGTAATTTATAGATTCAATGACATCCCTATCAAGCTACCAATTACTTTCTTCACAGAATTAGAAAAAACTACTTTAAAGTTCATATGGTACCAAAAAAGAGCCTGCATTGCCAAGTCAATCCTAAGCCAAAAGAACAAAGCTAGAGGCATCATGCTACCTGACTTCGATACTATACCATAAGGCTACAGTAACCAAAACAGCATGGTACTGGTACCAAAACAGAGATATAGACCAGTGGAACAGAACAGAGCCCTCAGAAATAATACCACACATCTACAACCAGCTGATCTTTGACAAACCTGACAAAAACAAGAAATGGGGAAAGGATTCCCTATTTAATAAATGGTGTTGGGAAAACTGGCTAGCCATATGTAGAAAGCTGAAACTGGATCCCTTCCTTACACCTTATACAAAAATTAATTCAAGATGGATTAAAGACTTAAATGGTAGACCTAAAACATAAAAACCCTAGAAGAAAACCTAGGCAATACCATTTAGGACATAAGCATGGGCAAAGACTTCACGACTAAAACACCGAAAGCAATGGCAACAAAAGCCAAAATTGACAAATGGGATCTAGTTAAACTAAAGAGCTTCTGCACAACAAAAGAAACTACCATCAGAGTGAATAGGCAACCTACAGAATGGGAGAAAATTTTTGCAATCTACTCATCTGACAAAGGGCTAATATCCAGAATCTACAAAGAGCTCAAACAAATTTACAAGAAAAAAACAAACAACCCCATCAACAAGTGGGCAAAGGATATGAACAGACACTTCTCAAAAGAAGACATTTATGCAGCCAACAGACACATGAAAAACTGCTCATCATCACTGGCCATCAGAGAAATGCAAATCAAAACCACAATGAGATACCATCTCACACCAGTTAGAATGGCGATCACTAAAAAGTCAGGAAACAACAGATGCTGGAGAGGATGTGGAGAACTAGGAATGCTTTTACACTGTTGGTGGGACTGTAAACTACTTCAACCATAGTGGAAGACAGTGTGGCATTTCCTCAGGGATTTAGAACTAGAAATACCATTTGACCCAGCCATCCCATTACTGGGTATATACCCAAAGGATTATAAATCATGCTGTTATAAAGACACATGCATACGTATGTTTATTGCAGCAATATTCACAATAGCAAAGACTTGGAACCAACTGAAATGTCCATCAATGACAGACTGGATTAAGAAAATGTGGCACATATACACCATGGAATACTATGCAGCCATAAAAAAGAATGAGTTCATGTCCTTTTCAGTGACAAGAATGAAGCTGGAAATCATCATTCTCAGCAAACTAACACAGGAACTGAAAACCAAACACGGCATGTTCTCACTAATAAGTGGGAGTTGAACAATGAGAACATATGGGCAAAGACAGGGGAATATCACACACTGGGGCCTGTCGGCGGGTGGGGGAAAGGGGAGGGATAGCACTAGGAGAAATACCTAGTGTAGATGACGGGTTGATGGATGCAGCAAACCACCATGGCATGTGTATACCTACGTAACAAATCTGCACATTCTGCACTTGTATTCCAGAACTTAAGCATCATCATCATCATCATCATCATCATCATCATCATCATCATGTTTTTCAGGGAGGAAGTTACTGCCAGAGTTGACACTAAATCTGTTTGTGGGTTACATTTCAGTCTAAGTGGCATGAATCATGGAATGATGCAGAAAGTTACTTATTGAAAGTTGCTTTAGTGATCTATCTTGCAACTGCCTTGGAACATGATCGTCAGTTGCAGTTTCTTTAAACAAATAGCCATGCTTGTATTTTCATGCAGAGAAGGAATGGCATGGCTATAACAAATAAAGAACTAAACTGTAGAAACTATATTCTGTTTGACATTTAGTTACTTGTGCAATATCACAGGACATGAAGAGAAACTCCAAGATATGCAACGGGTTTCTTTGTAAAACAAACAATCTAAAGGGCATGACTTCTTTTGCCAAACACAGAGTATAAAAGCATTAGTTACTTCTTCTCCATAATCAAATTGTCAATAGAGGCTTCATCGGCTAAAGGAGAAGAGTCTGTTCTGCTGCATGCTGGATAAGATAAAAGTCATTCTTGCTGCTATTCTTATAATCTCACTAAGAGACTGATGAATGAACTTGGGGTTCTGCACAAACAATAAGTGAAGGTTAAGGAAAAGTTGTGAACTGCCTGCTTGAGCATTGAAGATATCCCTTAGCACATATGAAGAGACTCTTGGCAATGGCAGGGAAACAAGCATTTAAGGAAATGTCTTTCCAATGATTAGTGGACTGCCAAGCTAACTGAACAGACTTCAGTGTGTAAACATGACAAAGAATATAGACTTCATTTAATTAGTTCAGGAAATTCACTAAACAAACAATATCAGCAACAATAATAAAACATGGCACCATTACAAATTCTAGGGAGGAAGTCAAATTAGATTTCCAGAATTGCTATACTGTATTATTTTAAATGTCTAGTTTTCAACAGAAAAATTCTTAGACATGCAAAAACAAACAAACAAAAAAAAAAAGAGAGAAAGTATGGCCCACATGCAAAACAAAAGCAGTCAATAGAACTTGTGCATGAGAAAGCCCAGACACTGGACTTACTATAAAAAGACTTTAAATCAGATAATTTAAACATGTACAAACAAGTAAAGAAAACTATTTCTAAAGAAATAAAGGAAATAATGCCTCATCAATTGGAGAATGTCAATAGAAATAGAAATTATTTTTTAAAAGAGCCAAGTAGAAATTATGGAGTTGAAAAGTACAACTGAAATGGAAAATTTACTAGAATGGCACAACAGCAGATTTGAGCTGGCAGAGGTGAAAATTGGTGAACTTGAAGATAAATTAATTGAGATAATCTAGTCTGAAAAACAGAAAGAAAAATAGAGTCTCAGAGACCTGTGGGACACCATCAAGCATACCAACATATGTATAACGTAAGTCTCAGAAGTAGAGAAGAGAAAAAGGCAGAAAAATATTAGAAGATAAAATGCATGAAAAATTTCCAAACTTGAAGAAAAATATTAATCTACACATCCAAAAAGTTCAACTAATTCTAAGTAGGATAAACTCAATGAGATTCAGATCAAGACATTACAATCAAGCTGTCAAAGGATAAACCAAAGAGAGAAGCCTAAAAGCAGCAAGACAGAAGCAAGTCGTGAAATACAAATATCATCACATACAAAAGATAATCAATAGTATTAATTGCTGATTTCTCATTTTAAAAAAATGGATACCAGAAATCAGTGGAATGACACAATAGAAGTACTGAAAGAAAATAATTGCCAACCAAAAATTTTATATCCAGCAAAATTGTTCTTCAAAATAAAATTTGAAAATAAATAAAGACATTCCTAGATAAACCAAAACCAAGAGAATGTGTCACTAGCAAACCTGCCCTAAAAGACATACTTTAAAAAGCCCTTTAGAATGAAATAAAAGAGTAACTTAAATCCACATGAACAAATAAAGACCTCTAGCAGATAAGCACATAGGAGCTGGATTAGCCTACTGCTGCTTGCTACTCCCCACTCCCTTTGCTGACTCTTCTGTGCAGCAGAGGCAGTTGTACTCCTTCTTGGAACATTACCCCAGTGGCTAGAGAACGGCCCTCCAATCCCCACTGGAACCACAGCTTGTATCCACATGTGCAGAGCCAGAGAGTGGACTTGCCTGTCTCAGCCCCGACCTGACCTTACCCCTCCACCCACTATGGTCACTTAATACAAAGGACAGAAATTTTTGAGAGGTCTGTGGTCCTGCCCATTGCCTGAGACACCAGAGTACTTTCCCTAGGTAGTATAAAGCAAGCATAAATCCCATCACTACCTCCTAGCTGAAGGCCAATCAACACAGTCTGTTACAGCATCTGTAGGCAGAAGAACAGAGTGCCATGAAAAAAAAAAAAAAACTTGTATGTGACCTCAGATATCACCATCGCGTGCATCATCCTGGCTAACCAGAAGGTTCTGAGTCTATTAATGAATCACTACTACAGCTGGCATTTGAAAAAGCCAACACTCTACAGCTATTTCTAACCAAGGTATCTCACAGATTCTATATCACTCCTCTGCCACCCCCATCAGAGTTGGTGCTGGTACCTGCTCCTGGGAGACTAGAGGACAGGTCACATTACTGTAACCCTTGCAGATATTGCTCATCACCAGCCTGGAGTGTAGTGTGGCAGCCCCACTGGGTGGCTAGACTCAGAGGAGCAGCAGCATTCACAGTAGTTTGGCCCTCAGGGAGGGACTCCTACTCCTGGGGCAAGGGGAAGTCCATCACATCAAGGGAGCACCCCATGGGAACAAATAATCCACATGGCAGACGTTGAGTCTCAGAACTTTTGCTTGTGAAAATTTTCATTCAGCAGAGCCACAGGTGCAGTGCTGGGCTCAGTGGGGGAAAGCCTACAGTTCTACCCCAACAGTCAAGCAGCCCTGGTACTTGTGAAAGGTTTGGTGAAAAGGACTTCTTCTTCCTCTCACCCACCATTGCAGACATAGTGGGGCTTCTCCTGCAGGAGCTTGGTGTGGGTGCATCTGTAGACAGCCTTTCTAGAACACTTCAGGGTGACTGCATCTCCACAGGAGGAGTGCCCTCCAGGTTCAGGCTTGCATGAGGGGTAGAGTTACAATCCCTCTGTACATGAAACATCAGCATTCAGCATTCCTGCAGACAAAAACAGATGCCTGTTTAATCTGAATAGCTAGAACACTGGATCAGGAATGTGACTGGGAGGTAGTCCACTTTTCTGCTGGCTTGGCAGTGGAGTTGAGGTGGCTTCTTCCTTTCCCCCTAAAAAGACCTCAGTGTGTTTCACTGAGGACTCTCCCAGCTGCCTCTGTCAAAACTTGGACCCCTGCCCACCACTGGGTATTGCATTTACCCACCTGTTTTAGCCACAGCTTGTTTTTACCCATAGATATCCCCTCTACTGCCTGAAGTCTGAACTATGCAACCCAGTAAACAAAATACTGGGGAAAAATTAATAAACAAATAAATGTACACCACTAAGGAATGACATAAGCCTCAAGAGACCTCTACCATTCCAACCCCACAGAAGATAGTGAACCTGCTCACACACTAAGCAGTTTTTAGGCATCATCCTCTACAAAGGAACTCATACAGAGTCTTCACCCTTGAAAGCACCAAGAGCTGAATTAAGTTTCAATAAACTGTAACCATTAAAGTCACATCTTCTTTTTTGGTTCCATATGAACTTTAAAGTAGTTTTTTCCAATTCTGTGAAGAAAGTCATTAGAGCCCGCATTGCCAAGTCAATCCTAAGCCAAAAGAACAAAGCTGGAGGCATCACGCTACCCGACTTCAAACTATACTAAAAGGCTACAGTAACCAAAACAGCATGGTACTGGTACCAAAACAATGGAACAGAACAGAGCCCTCAGAAATAACACCGCATATCTACAACTATCTGATCTTTGACAAACCTGAGAAAAACAAGCAATGGGGAAAGGATTCTCTATTTAATAAATGGTGCTGGGAAAACTGGCTAGCCATATGTAGAAAGCTGAAACTGGATCCCTTCCTTACACCTTATACAAAAATTAATTCAAGATGGATTAAAGACTTAAACGTTAGACCTAAAACCATAAAAACCCTAGAAGAAAACCTAGGCATTACCATTCAGGACATAGGCATGGGCAAGGACTTCATGTCTAAAACACCAAAAGCAATGGCAACAAAAGCCAAAATTGACAAATGGGATCTAATTAAACTAAAGAGCTTCTACACAGCAAAAGAAACTACCATCAGAGTGAACAGGCAACCTATAAAATGGGAGAAAATTTTCACAACCTACTCATCTGACAAAGGGCTAATATCCAGAATCTACAATGAATTCAAACAAATTTACAAGAAAAAAACAAACAACCCCATCAAAAAGTGCACAAAGGATATGAACAGACACTTCTCAAAAGAAGACATTTATGCAGCCAAAAGACACATGAAAAAATGCTCATCATCACTGGCCATCAGAGAAATGCAAATCAAAACCACAATGAGATACCATCTCACACCAGTTAGAATGGCAATCATTAAAAAGTCAGGAAACAACAGGTGCTGGAGAGGATGTGGAGAAATAGGAACACTTTTACACTGTTGGTGGGACTGTAAACTAGTTCAACCATTGTGGAAGTCAGTGTGGTGATTCCTCAGGGATCTAGAACTAGAAATACCATTTGACCCAGCCATCCCATTACTGGGTATTTACCCAAAGGACTATAAATCACGCTGCTATAAAGACACGTGAACACGTATGTTTATTGCGGCACTATTCACAATAGCAAAGACTTGGAACCGACCCAAATGTCCAACAATGATAGACTGGATTAAGAAAATGTGGCACATATACACCATGAATACTATGCAGCCATAAAAAATGATGAGTTCATGTCCTTTGTAGGGACATGGATGAAATTGGAAATCATCATTCTCAGTAAACTATCGCAAGGACAAAAAACCAAACACCGCATGTTCTCACTCATAGATGGGAATTGAACAATGAGAACACATGTACACAGGAAGGGGAACATCACACTCTGGGGACTGTTGTGGGGTGGGGGGAGGGGGGAGGGATAGCATTAGGAGATATACCTAATGCTAAATGACGAGTTAATGGGTGCGGCACACCAGCATGGCACATGTATACATATGTAACTAACCTGCACATTGTGCACATGTACCCTAAAACTTAAAGTATAATAATAAATAATAATAATAATAATAAAATAAAGTCACATCTTCAAGGGGGGGAAGGAAATTTAAAAATAAACAGTCAAAAAATAAATTAAAAATAATTAGAAGAAATCATCAACCCAAATTAGAAGGAACCAGAAAAATAATTCTGGCAATATGACAAAACAGGGTTCTGTAACACCCCTAAAAGATCACACTAGCTCTCTAACAATGCATACAGACCAAGATGACATCTTTGAGATATCAGATAAAAAATTCAAAAGGTTGATTATTAAGTTACTCAAGGAGATACAAGAGAAAGGTGAAAACCAACATAAAGAAATGTAAAAAAAATTCAGGATATGAATGGAAAATTTTCTAAAGAGACAGATATTTTTTAAAAAGTAATCAGAACTTCTGGAAATAAAAGACACATTTAGGGAATTACAGAATGTACTGGAAAGTTTTAACAATAGACTAGATCAAGTAAAAGAAAGAATTTCAGAGCTTGAAGACAAGGCTTTCAAATTAACCCAATCAGACAAAAAAAAAAGACAGAGAATTTAAAAGAAACAATGTCTCCAAGAAATATGGCATTATGTAAATTATCCAAACCAAAGAATGATTAGTGTTCCTGAGAGAGAAGAAAAAACAAAAAGTGTGGAAAACTTATTTGAGGGAATAATTGAGGAAAACCTCCTGGGCGTTGCTGGAGATTTAGACATCAAAATACAAGAAGCTCAGAGAACTCCTAAGATATTCATTGCAAAAAGAATATCACCAAGCTATATAGTCATCAAATTATCTAAACTCAATGTAAAGGAAAGAATTATGAGTATTGAAACAAAAGTATCATGTAACCTACAAAGGAAAACCTACCAGACTAGCAGCAGAATTATCAGCAAAAACCATACAAGCCAGAAGGGACTGGGGTCCTATCTTTAGCATCCTCAAATGGAATAACTATCAGCCAATAATTTTGTATCCAGTAAAACTAGGTTTCATAAATTATGCAAAAGTAAAGTATCTTTCAGACAAGCAAATGCTGGGGGAATTTGTCATTACCAAACAAGCCCTATAAGAACGGCTAAAAGGAATTCTAAATCTTGAAACAAAAGGTCCATATGCACTAGAATAGAACCTCTTGAAAGCATAAAACTCACAGGCCTATGAAACAATAACATAGTGAAGAAGTTAAAGTATCTAGGTAACAATCAACATGATGACTGAAATAGTACTTTATATCTCAATATTAATGTTAAATGTGGTCTAAATGCTGCACTTAAAAAATACAGATTGGCAGAATGGATAAAAACTCACAAACGAAATATCTTCTGTCTTCAAGAGACTCACTAACACATAAAGACTCTTATAGATTCAAGGTAAACGGGTGGAAAATATGTTACATGAAAATGGAAACAAAAAATGAACAGTAGTAGCTATTATAATATCAGATAAAACAGATTTTAAGGCAACAACAGTAAAAATAAGAAAAAGGTCATTATATAACAATAAGAGGATCAATTTAACAACAAGATATTACAATCCTAAATATATACCCACCTAACTCTGGAGCTCCCAGATTTATAAAACAATTATTACTAGACCTAAGCAAAGTGATAGGCAGCAGCACAATTATAATGAGGAACTTCAACACTCCACTGACAGCACAGACCGATCCTCAAGGCAGAAAGTCAACAAAGAGAAACACTCGACTAAATTGCACTCTAGCACAAATAGACCTAACATATATTTGCAGAACATTCTACCCAAGAACTGCAGAATATACATTCTTCTAATCAGAACATTAAACATTTTCAAGATAGATTATATGAGAGGCCACAAAACAAGTCTCAATAAATTTTTTTAAGTCAAAATCCTATCTTCTCAGACCACAGTGGAATAAAACTAGAAATCAACTCCAAAAAGGACCCTCAAGACTATACAAATACATAGAAATTAAATAATTTGCCCCTGAGTGATTTTGGGGTTGACAATGAAATCAAGATGGTAATTTAAAATTCTTCAAAATGAAAAATAGCAACATAAGTTATCAAAACCTCTGGGATACAGCAAAGTGTGTTAAAAGGAATGTTTACAGCATGAAATGCCTAATTCAAAAAGTCTGAAAGGTCACAAATGTGACCTTTAATTTAATTCACCACATAAAATTAAAAGCAAAAACCATATGATCATCTCAATAAATGCAGAAAAAGCATTCAATAAGATCCAGCATCCCTTTAAGATAAAAACCCTCAACAAAATAAGCATAGAAAGAACATACCCAAAAATATCAAAAGCAATATATGACTAACCCACAGCCAACAACATACTAAATAGGGAAAAGTCAAAGGCATTTCCCCTAAGAACTGGAACAAGAAAAGGATACCCACTTTCACCATTTCTATTCAACATAGAACTGGAAATGCTAGTTAGAGCAATCAGGCAAGGGAAAGAAATAAAAGGCATCCAAATTGGGAAAGAGGATATCCAACTGTCTAGAAAACTCTAAAGATTGTCCAGAAAACTCTAAAGATTCCTCCAAAAGACCCTAGATTTGATAAATGAATTCAATAAAGTCTCAGGTTACAAAATCAACGTATACAAACCAGTAGCATGGCTATACACCAAAAATGACCAATCTGAGAATGAAATCAAGAACTCAATCCTTCTTTACAATAGCTGCAAAAATTTAAAATATCTTAAAATATACTTAACCAAGAAGGTGAAAGATCTCTACAAGGAGAACTACCAAACACTGCTGAGAGAAATCATAGATGATAAAATCAAATGGAAATACATCCCATGCTCACGGTATGGAAGAATCAATATCATGAAAATAACCATACTGACCAAAGCAATTTACAGATTCCATACAATTCCTATCAAAATAGCAATATCATTTTTCACAGGATTAGAAAAAACAATTCTAAAATTCATATGGAACCAAAAAAAGAGCCCAAATAGCCAAGGCAACCCTAAGCAAAAAAGAACAAATCTGGAGGTGTCACATTACTGAACTTCAAATTATACTACAAAAGGCTATGGTAACCAAAGCAGCATAGTCCTGTTATAAAAGTAGATATATAGACTAATGGAACAGAATAGAGAGCTCAGAAGTAAAGCCAAATATTTACAACCAACTAATCTTCAACAAAGCATACAAAAACATAAATTGGGGAAAGGACATCCTATTCAATAAATGGTGCTGGGAAAACTGGGTAGCCACATGTAGAAGAATGAAACTGGATCCCTATCTCTCACCACATACAAAAATCAACTCAAGTTGGATTAAAGTCTTAAATCTAAGACCTGAAACCATAAAAACTCTTGGAGAAAACCTAGGGAAAACTATTCTGGACATTGACTAGTCAATGAATTTATAACTAAGAACTCAAAAGCAAATGCAACAAGAAAAAAAATACATAAAACCTAATTAAACTAAAAAGCTTCTCCACAGCAAAAGAGACAATCATCAGAGTAAAAAGACAACTAACAGAATGGGAGAAAATATTTGCAAACTATGCATCCAAAAAAGGACTAATATCCAGAATCTACAAGGAACTCAAATCAGCAAGAAAAATGCAATCCCATCAAAAAGTGGGAAAATGACATGAATAGACACTTCTCAACAGAAGACATACAAATGGCCAACAAACATATGAAAATGTGCTCAATATCACTAATCATCAGGGACATGCAAATTAAAACCACAATGACATACCACCTTACCTCAGCCAGAATGGCCATTATTAAAAAATCAAAAAACAACAGATGTTGGCATGGGTGTGGTGAAAAGGGAAAACTGCTGGTGGGAATATAAATCAGTGCACCCTTTATGGAAAACAGTATAAAGAGTTCTCAAAGAACTAAAAGTAGGATTTACCATTTAATCCTGTGATACCACTACTAGGTATGTGATATGGTTTGGCTGTGTCCCCACCCAAATCTCATCTTGAATTCTACACCCATAATTCCCACGTGTTGTGGAAGAAACCTGGAAAGAGATCATTGAATAATGGGGGTGGTTTCTCCCATACTGTTTTCGTGGTAGTCAATAAGTCTCAAGAGATCTGATGGTTTTATGAGGGGTTTCCACTTTTGCATCTTCCTCATTCTGTCTTTGCCTGCTGCCATCCAAGTAAGACGGGACTTGCTCCTCCTTTCCTTCCTCCATAATTGTGAGGCTTCCCCACCCACGTGGAACTGAAGTCCAATTAAACATCTTTCTTTTGTAAATTGCCCTGTCTCGGGTCTTTATCAGCAGCATGGAAATGGACTAATATAGTATGTATCCAAAGGAAAAGAAGTCATTATATTAAAAAGACACCTGCATGAATATGTTTATTGCAGCACAATTCACAATTGCAAAGATGTGGATCCAACGTAAGTGCCCATCATCCTATCAGTGGATGAAGAAAATATGGTATATAGACATCATGGAATACTACTCAGCCATAAAAAAGAATGAAATAATGTCTTTTGCAGGAACTTGGATGGAATTGGAGGTCATTATTCTAAGTGAAGTAATTCAGGAATAAAAAACCAAATACTATATACATTCAGAGTGGTATAGTGGACTTTGGAGACTTGGTGGGAAGAGTGGGAAGGGGTATTATCAGCAGTGTGAAAATGGACTGATACAGTATTAGTATTAATATCTAATTACATCTAATATCTAATACAGTAATAGATATTGGGTACAATGTACACTATTTGAGTGATGGGTGCACTAAAATCTCAGACTTCACCATTAAACAATTCATTCATGTAACCAAAAACCACTTGTACTTCAAAAACTATTGAAATAGAAAATGTATCTTTAAAAAATTAATTAGTTAATTAATTAAGTTGGTAATAATCCAAATTAGGTTGTTATAAATTACTGTGTTATTTGTAATCTTCAGGGCAACCACTGAGACAACAACTCAAAAAAATAATAAAACAAATAAGGGAATTAAAATGATATACTAGAAAATATTTAACACAAAAGAAGGCAGTAACGAAGGAACAGGTGAACCCAAAAGATACATGATATAAAAAAGAAAAGGCAAAATGGTAAATTTCTTGTATCCTAGCAACTACAATAAATGTAAATAAAGTAATCATGCCAATCAAACAGCAAAGATTTAAAGAAAAAAATCCAAAAATATGTTGTCTACAACAGGAGTCCCCATCCCCAGGCTGCAGGCTGGTAGCAGTCCGTGGCCTATTAGGAACCTGGCTGCACAGCAGGAGGTGAGCAGTGAGTGACTGAGCATTACCACATGCACTCCACCTCCTGTCAGATCAACAGAGGCAATAGATCTTCACAGGAGCACAAACCCAATTGTGAACTGCACATGCGAGGGATCTAGGTTGTGTGCTCCTTATGAGAATCTAACTAATGCCTGATGATCTGAGGTGGAATAGTTTCATCCCAAAATCATCCCCTCTGGCTCCTGCCTGTGGAAAAATTGTCTTCCACAGGACTGGTCCCTGGTGCTAAAAAGGTTGGGGACCGTTAGTGTATAAAACACAATTTAGATTCAAGACAAAAATAGGCTAAAAGTAAAAGGATGGAAAAAAATATATACTATCCACGCGGTAACCAAAAGAGAGCTAGAACGGACATACTAATATCAGGCAAAATAGACGTTCAGACAAAAAAAATTGTTGCTAGAAACAAATAGCAAAATTTTATAATGATACAAGGGCCAATTTATCAAGAATATATAACAATTATAAACACATATGCAGCTAACATCAGAGCCCCAGAATGAAACAAAAAGTGACAGAATTGAAGGGAAAAATAAACAATTCAACAATAATGGCTGGAGACTTTAATATAACACTTCCAATAATGACTAGAACAACTAAACTGAAGCCAGGTGCAGCGGCTCATGCCTTTGCGAGGCCAAGGCAGGTGGATCACCTGAGGTCAGGAGGTTGATACCAGCCTAGCCAACAAGGTGAAACTCTGTCTCTACTAAAAATACAAAAAAATTTGCTGGGCATAGTGGCAGGCGCCTGTAATCCCAGCTACTTGGAAGTCTGAGGGAGGAGAATCGCTTGAACCTGGGAGGCAGAGGTTGCAGTGAGCCGAGATTGAGCCACTGCACTCCAGCCTGGGCTACAGAGCAAGACCTCATCTCTTGGTGGTGAGGGGGTGGAGGAAGAACAACTAAACTGAAAAATAACAAAGAAATAGTTGACTTGAATAGCACTATAAACTACACCTAACAGACATCTATTTGGTCCACCAAACAACAGCAGAATACATATTATTCTTGTGTGCATACAGAAATTCTCCAGGAAAGAACATGGTAGGGCATAAAAGAAGTCTTAAAATTTTAAAAGAATTCAAATCATACAAAGAATTGACATGACATACAAAGAAATGAAATTAGAAATCAATACTAGAAGGAAATTTGTGAAATTTTTATATATGTGGAAATAAAGCAACACATCCTTAACCAACCAATGGATCAAAAAAGAAATCATAAGAAAAACTTAAAAACAGCTTGAGATGAATGAAAATTTTAAAATGCAACATATCATAATATATAATATGTAGCTAAAGAAGTAATTAAGAGAGAGATTTATGGTTCTGAAAGCTTATATAGAAAAAGAAGACAATCTCACATCAATAACCTACCTTTCTGTTATAAGAAACTAGAAAAAAAAGCTAACTAAACACAAAACAAGGAGTAAGAAAATAATACAGATTAGAACCTAAATACATGAAATAGAGAATAGAAAATATTAATAAACAAGAAAGCCAACAAAACCAAAAGTTGATTCTTTGAAAATATCAACAAATTTAATAAGCCTTTAGCCAGACCTGACCAAGAATAAAAGAGAGAAGACTCAAATTACTAAAATCATGAGTGAAAGAGGGAACATTATTAATAATAACAAAAAATTAAAATAAGAATTTTAAGGGACTACTGTGAACAATTATATACCAACATTTTTGATTACCTATCTGAATAAACAAATTCTAGAAAGACACAAACTACCAAAACTGAGTGAAGGAGAAATGAAAAATCTGAAAAGACCTATAAAAGATAAGGAGATTAAATTAGTAATAATAATAATAATAATAATAAACATCCCACAAGGAAAAACCCAAGCCCAAATGGCTTCAGTGGTGAATTATACTGAACATTTAAATAATTAATGCCAAGTACATCACAATTCTTTGAAGAAAATCCAGAATATATAAATAAATCTTACAATTCAAAAATAAAAGGCAAATAACTCAACTTAAAATGGGCAAAGGATTTGAATAGAAAATTTTCCATCAAATAATTAATAAGCACATGAAAACGGTATAATACATTTTTGAATCATCAGTGAAATGAACATCAAAACCACAGAAAATATTACTTGACTAGTCTACTAGGAAGGCTCTCTCAAAGAAGACAATAACAAATGTTGGTAAAGATCTAGAAAAGTTGGAAACCATATAAACTGCTGGTGAGATTATAAAATGGTACAGCCTGTTTGGAAAATAGCTTCATTATTACTCACGAAGTTAAATATAGAGTTACCATATAGCCTAGTAATTCAACTCTTAGCTATATCCCAAGGTAATTGAAAACAATGTTCATGCAAAAACTTGTTACATGACTGCAAATAGCAGTATTATTCATAATAGTTAATTATTGGGACCAACAACATTTTTTGTCAAGTGATTAACAGAAGGTGGTATATCCATTCAATGGAATATTATTCGGCCATAAAATAAATAAAGTATGTATACATGCTTCAATATTAATGAACCTTGAAAGCATTATGCTAAGTAAAAGAAGCCAGACACAAAGGCCATGTATTGTATAATTCTATTTATATGAAATAGCCAGAACAGGCAAAGCCATAAACATAAAAATTAGAATAGTGGTTGCCAGGGCTGAGGTCAGGAAGGAATTGGAGTGACAAAGTAACAACTAATGATATGGAGTTTCTTTGGGGGATGATGAAAATGTTCTCGAATTCAATGGAAGTGATGGTTGCACAACTTTGTAAACACACTAAAAACCATGAATTGTATACTATCAAAGGGTGATTTTTATGGTATATTAATAAAATATCAATTTTAAAAAATTAGACAGACTGCCAAAATTATAAAACACATGAAAATACCTGAAGCTAGTGAGCAGAATCAACAAATAGACAATTTGAGCATAAATTTATTCCAGATGAAATTTGCCATGTTTTCTATATTATCTTCTATTCACTTATCAGTGAGAGAAAGACTTTAAAATTAGAGTTTTGGGTCCATTCCAAGATGGCCAAATGGAAAAGCTCTGTTCTGCAGCTCCCAGCATGATCAACGCAGAAGACAAGTGATTTCTGCATTTCCAACTGAGGTACCTGGTTCATCTCACTGGGACTGGTTGGACAGTGGGTGCAGCCCATGGAGGGTGAGCCAAAGCAGAACTTCAGGAAGCACAAGGGGTCAGGGGATTTCCCTTTCCAAGAGATGCTGTGACAGACTGTACCTGGAAAAACAGGACACTTCTGCCCAAATACTGCATTTTTCCCACGACCTTAGCAACCGGCAGATCAGGAGATTCTCTCTTGTGCCTGGCTTGGCGGGTCCTACACCCATGGAGCCTTGCTCACTGCTAGCGCAGCAGTCTGAGATCGACCTGCAAGCTGCAGCCTGGTGGAGGGAGGGGCGTCCACCATTGCTGAGGCTTGAGTAGGTAAACAAAGAGGCCAGAAAGCTCAAAATGGGTAGAGCCCTCCACAGTTCAGCAAGGCCTACTGCCTCTATAGATTCCACCTCTGTGAGCAGGGCATAGCTGAATAAAAAGCAGCAGAAACTTCTGCAGACTTAAACATCGCTGTCTGACAGCCCCAAAGAGAGCAGTGATTCTCCAAGCATGGCATTTGAGTGCTAAGAAAGGACACACTGCCTCCTCAAATGGGTCCCTGACTCCCATGTAGCCTAACTGGGAGACACCTCCCAGTAGGGGCCGAAAGACACCTCATACAGGTAGGTGCCCCTCTGGGATGAAGCTTCCAGCAGAAGGATCAGGCAGCAATATTTGCTGTTCTGCAGCCTCTGCTGGTGATACCCAGGAAAACAGGGTCTGCAGTGGACCTCCAGCAAACTCCAACAGATCTGCAGCTGAGGGACCTGACTGTTAGAAGAAAAACTAACAAACGGAAAGGAATAGCATCAACATCAACAAAAAGGACATCCAATCCAAAACCCCATCTGTAGGTCACCAACAACAAAGACCAAAGGTAGATAAAACCACAAAGATGGGGAGAAACCAGAGCAGAAAAGCAGAAAATTCTAAAAAGCAAAGTGCCTCTTCTCCTCCAAAGGATCGCAGCTCCTGGCCAGCAATGGAACAAAGCTGGATGAAGAATGACTTTGATGAGTTGAGAGAAGTAGGCTTCGGAAGGTCGGTAATAACAAACTTCTCCGAGCTAAAGGAGCATGTTCTAACCCATCGCAAGGAAGCTAAAAACCTTGAAAAAAGGTTAGACGAATGGCTAACTACAATAAACAGTGTAGAGAAGACCTTAAATGACCTGATGGAGCTGAAAACCATGGCATAAGAACTTTGTGATGCATGCACGAGCTTCAGTAGCTGATTTGATCAAGTGGAAGAAAGGATATCAGTGACTGAAGATCTAATTAATGAAATAAAGCAAGAAGACAAGTTTAGACAAAGAAGAGTAAAAAGAAATGAACAAAGCCTCCAAGAAATATGGGATTATGTGAAAAGACCAAATCTACATTTAATTGGTATACCTGAAAGTGATGGGAAGAATGGAACCAAGTTGGAAAACACTCTTCAGGATATTATCCAGGAGAACTTCCCCAACCTAGCAAGGCAGGCCAACATTCAAATTCAGGAAATACAGAGAATGCCACAAAGATATTCCTTGAGAAGAGCAACCCCAAGACACATAACTGTCAGATTCACCAAGGTTGAAATGAAGGAAAAAATGTTAAGGGCAGCCAGAGAGAAAGGTCGAGTTACCCACAAAGGGAAGCCCATCAGACTAACAGCAGATCTCTCGGCAGAAACCCTACAAGCCAGAAGAGGGTGGGGACCAATATTCAATATCTTAAAGAAAAGAATTTTCAACCCAGAATTTCATATCCAGCGAAACTAGGCTTCCTAAGTGAAGGAGAAATAAAATCCTTTACAGACAAGCAAACGCTGAGAGATTGTTGCCACCACCAGGCCTGCCTTACAAGAGCTCCTGAAGGAAGCACTAAACATGGAAAGGAAAAATTGGTACCAGCCACTGTAAAAACATGCCAAATTGTAAAGACCATCGATGCTAGGAAGAAACTGCATCAATTAATGGGCAAAATAACCAGCGAACATCATAATGACAGGATCAAATTCACACATAACAATATTAACTTTAAATGTAAATGTGCTAAATGCCCCAATTAAAAGACGCAGACTGGCAAATTTGATAAAGAGTCAAAACCCATCAGTGTGCTGTATTGAGGAGACCCATCTCATGTGCAGAGACACACATAGGCTCAAAATAAAGGGAGGGAGGAAGATCTACCAAGCAAATGGAAAGCAAAAAAAAAAAAAAAAGCAGAGGTTGCAAACCTAGTCTCTGATAAAGCAGACTTGAAACCAACAAAGATCAAAAGAGACAAAGAAGGCCATTACATAATGGTAAAGGGATCAATGCAACAAGAAGAGCTAACTGTCCTAAATATATACACACCCAATATAGGAGCACCCAGATTCATAAAGCAAGTCCTTAGAGACCTACAAAGAGACTTAGACTCCCACACAATAATAATGGGAGACTTTAACACTCCACTGTCAGTATTAGACGGATCAATGAGACAGAAGGTTAACAAAGATATCCAGGACTTGAACTCAGCTCTGCACCAAGCGGACCTAATAGACAACTACAGAACTCTCCAACCAAAATCAATAGAACATACATTCGTCTCAGCACCGCACTGCACTTATTCCAAAATTGACCACATAGTTGGAAGTAAAGCACTCCTCAGCAAATGTAAAAGAACAAAAATCACAACAAACTGTCTCTCAGGCCACAGAGCAATCAAATTAGAACTCAGGATTAAGAAACTCACTCAAAACGACACAACTACATGGAAACTGAACAACCTGCTCCTGAATGACTACTGGGTAAATAACGAAATGAAGGCAGAAATAAAGATGTTCTTTGAAACCAGTGAGAACAAAGACACAATGTACCAGAATCTCTGAGACACATTTAAAGCAGCGTGTAGAGGGAAATTTATAGCACTAAATGTCCACAAGAGAAAGCAGGAAAGATCTAAAATTGACATCCTAACATTACAATGAAAAGAACTAGAGAAGCAAGAGCAAACACATTCAAAAGCTAGCAGAAGGCAAGAAACAACTAAGATCAGAACAGAACTGAAGGAGATAGAGACACAAAAAAACCCTTCAAAAAATCAATGAATCCAGGAGCTGGTTTTTTGAAAAGATCAACAAAATTGATAGACTGCTAGCAAGACTAATAAGGAATAAAAGAGAGAAGAATCAAATAGATGCAATAAAAAATGATAAAGCAGATATCACCACTGATCCCACAGAAATACAAACCACCATCAGAGAATACTATAAAGACCTCTATGCAAATAAACTAGAAAATCTAGAAGAAATGGATAAATTCCTGGACATGTACACCCTCCCAAGACTAAACCAGGAAGAAGTTGAATCTCTGAATAGACCAATAACAGGCTGTGAAATTGAGGCAATAATTAATAGCCTATCAACCAAAAAAAGTCCAGGACCAGACAGATTTACAGCCGAATTCTAGCAAAACTACAAAGAGGAGATGGTACCATTCCTTCTGAAACTATTCCAATCAATAGAAAAAGAGGGAATCCTTCCTAACTCATTTTATGAGGCCAGCATCATCCTGATACCAAAGCCGGGCAGAGATACAACAAAAAAAGAGAATTTTAGACCAATATCTCTGATGAACATTGATGTGAAAATCCTCAATAAAATACTGGCAAACTGAATCCAGCAGCACATCAAAAAGCTTATCCACCACAATCAAGTCAGTTTTATCCCTGGGATGCAAGGCTGGTTCAACATATGTAAATCAATAAATGTAATCCATCATATAAACAGAACCAATGATAATAACCACATGATTATCTTAATAGATGCAGAAAAGGCCTTTGACAAAATTCAACTGCCCTTCATGCTAAAAACTCTCAATAAAGTAGGTATGGATGGAATGTATCTCAAAACAATAAGAGCTATTTATGACAAACCCACAGCCAGTATCATACTGAATGGCCAAAAACTGGAAGCATTCCCTTTGAAAACTGGCACAAGACAGGGATGCCCTCTCTCACCACTCCTATTCAACAGAGTGTTGGAAGTTCTGGCCTGGGTAATCAGGCAAGAGAAAGAAATAAAGTGCATTCATTTAGGAAAAGAGGAAGTCAAATCGTCCCTGTTTGCAAGTGACATGATTGTATATTTAGAAAACTCCATCATCTCAGCCCAAAATCTCCTTAAGCTGATAAGCAACTTCAGCAAAGTCTCAGGATACAAAATCAATGTGCAAAAATCACAGGCATTCCTATACACCAATAACAGACAAACAGAGAGCCAAATCATGAGTGAGCTCCCATTCACAATTGCTTCAAAGAGAATAAAATATCTAGGAATCCAACTTACAAGGGATGTGAAGGACCTCTTCAAGGAGAACTACAAACCACTGCTCAACAAAATAAAAGAGGACACAAACAAATGGAAGAACACTCCATGCTCATGGATAGGAAGAATCAATATCATGGAAATGGCCATACTGCCCAAGGTAATTTATAGATTCAATGCCATCCCCATCAAGCTACCAATGACTTTCTTCACAGAATTGGAAAAAACTACTTTAAAGTTCATATAGAACCAAAAAAGAGCCTGCATAGCCAAGACAATCCTAAGCAAAAACAACAAAGCTGGAGGCATCACGCTACTTAACTTCAAACAATACTATAAGGCTACAGTAACCAAAACAGCATGGTACTGGTATCAAAACAGATATACAGACCAATGGAACAGAACAGAGGCCTCAGAAATAACACCACTCATCTACAACTGTCTGTTCTTTGACAAACCTGACAAAAACAAGAAATGGGGAAAGGATTCCCTATTTAATAAATGGTGCTGGGAAAACTGGCTAGCCATATGTAGAAAGCTGAAACTGGTACCCTTCTTTACACCTTATACAAAAATTAATTCAAGATGGATTAAAGACTTAAATGTTAGACCTAAAACCATAAAAACACTAGAAGAAAACCTAGGCAATACCATTCAGGACATAGGCATGGGCAAGGACTTCATGACTAAAACACCAAAAGCAATGGCAACAAAAGCCAAAATTGACAAATGGGATCTAATTAAACTAAAGAGCTTCTGCACAGCAAAAGAAACTACCATCAGAGTGAATAGGCAACCTACAGAATGGGAGAAAATTTTTGCAATCTACCCATCTGACAAAGGGCTAATATCCAGAATCTACAAAGAACTTAAACAAATTTACAAGAAAAAACAAACAACCTCATCAAAAAGTGGGTGAAGGATATGAACAGACAGTTCTCAAAAGAAGACATTTATGCAGCCAAGAGACACATGAAAAAATGCTCATCATCACTGGTCATGAGAGAAATGCAAATCAGAACCACAGTGAGATACCATCTCACACCAGTTAGAATGGCAATCATTAAAAAGTCAGGAAACAGATGCTGGAAAGGGTGTGGAGAAATAGTGACACTTTTACACTGTTGGTGGGAGTGTAAATTAGTTCTACCATTGTGGAAGACAGTGAGGCGATTCCTCAAGGATCTAGAACTAGAAATACCATTTGACCCAGCGATCCCATTACTGGGTATATACCCAAAGGGTTATAAATCATGCTTCTATAAAGACACATGCACACGTGTGTTTATTGCGGCATTATTCACAACAGCAAAGACTTGGAACCAACCCAAGTGCCTATCAATGATAGACTGGATTAAGAAAATGTGGCACATATACACCATGGAATACTATGGAGCCATAAAAAAGAATGAGTTCATGTCCCTTGCAGAGACATGGATGAAGCTGGAAACCATCATTCTCAGCAAACTATCACAAGGACAGAAAACCAAACACCGCATGTTCTCACTCATAGGTGGGAATTGAACAATGAGAACAGGGTGGGTAACATCACACACCGGGGCCTGTCAGGGGGTGGCGGGCTGGGGGAAGGATAGCATTAAGAGAAATACCTAACGTAAATGACAAGTTGATGGGTGCAGAAAACCAACATGGCACATGTATACCTATGTAACAAACTTGCACATTGTGCACATGTACCCTAGAACTTAAAGTACAATTTTAGATAGGAAGAAAGAAAGAAAAAGAAAAAGGAAAAAGTAGAGTTTTGCCGGGCAGGGTGGCTCATGCCTGTAATCCCAGCACTTTGGGAGGCCAAGGTGGGCGGAGCACAAGGTCAAGAGATCAAGACCATCCTGGCCAACATGGTGAAATCCCAGTCTCTACTGAAAATACAAAAATTAGCTGGTCATGGTGGTGCGTGCCTGTAGTCCCAGCTATTCAGGAGGCTGAGGCAGGAGAATTGCTTGAACCTAGGAGGCAGAGGTTGTAGTGAGCCGAGATCACGCCACTGCACTCCAGCCTGGGAGATGGAGCAAGACTCCGTCTCAAAAAAAAAAAAAATTAGAGTTTTACTGTCCTCAAAGAAACAAATGCTGGGATACTTTACATTAAAAATGTGAAACAAAAACTGAAAGAACAAAGCAATTGCAAATATAGAATAATCATTTAAAAATATTATAAATGGAAAAATACATTTATCGAAATAAAAAGAAACAATAGAAAAATCACCTCCAGATATGATGGTATAAAAGTGAAAGTTAATTAAGTGAAAGATAGTATTCAGGAATTTGCCAAAAATAAAGCAAAAAAAGGAAAAGATGTTTTAAAAACTGAAACTAGTGAAGAGATAAGCTAAATAGATTGAGAAGTTCCAACATATGTCTAATAGAAGTTCTTGTAAAAGAAATGGAGTGGATGTTGAAAAAGAAACATTTGAATATTTTTCATAATTGAAGAAATCCATAGGTTTTTATAGGGAAAATGTACTCTGAGTACTGAGGAAGTTAAATAAAATTAAGGAGAAATGGGTGGGAAAAAAAATAAAAATAATTAATTTAATTAAACCAACAGCTAGGCATATCTTTGGGAAATTTTAGGAAAAAATAAATAATATAAAGAAAAGAGAGATTACTTTCCAAGGAACAATTTGACTACCACTAGAGATTCATTAGCAACAATAGATTCCAGAAGAAAATGAAATTATATCTTTTTAAATGCCAAGGAAAAATAATCATTAAACTAGAATTTTATACCTAAACTCTCATGTATGAGTAAAGACAAATAAAGGTATCTAAAGACATAAAAAGACTAAATAAATTAACTACAAACATACGAGCTCAGGCAATGATTCTAACTTCTCACAAATTTTGAATGATATGCAGGAAACACAGACATTTCTATATCCCATTTTAGTGGTGTTACATGGAGGCTCCAAAAGGGTCAGTGGACTGAAAGATGCCTGAGCTCAGAACCAAGAGGCTCATATATTGCAGGGACATCATGACTAGAAGCAAATAGCCAGGACTTAATTCAGTGGTCTTTTATGTTGTCCCAAAAGGTTAGATATGACTATATGCCCCTCAACAGTCAATTTCGGTGACCAACTAAGTTTTCCCAGGTCTGAAGTATTTCCTGGTATGCAAAGTGTTTAATGCTAAGACAAGAACAAGCCTGGTTCTGGTTGGTTGGTTATCATAGCAAGCATCAATACAAGAATCATGTCCTCCACAGGAAAGACCTCAGCAAGCATGCAGAGGATATTGTATAGTTCTGACTCCCCTTTTCCCACCACTCAGTGATACCTATATTCATGTACCACACAAGAGCAAGGCAAGACAAGAGAAAGGAAATCCACATGACTATGTTTTCACCAAAAGATTAAGACATCTCAAAATAATAATTTAAATCAATTTATTTTATCTTTATTTTCCCATGATTGAGTGGGTAGCACTCACAAACGAGATCAGATACCTTAGGGAATGCTAAGTAGCTACATTTTCCTTTGCATATCTTAGACTATGTGAGATTGGTTAATTTGCCATGCCACATATACAAGTTTTTAAATAATACTTTTTATAGTCTTTGAGACACTATTTTCCAGTCACAAAATATGTTTCCCATATTGAGATTTTGAACATGATCCCCTTAAAGGCAATGTCTAAACAGTTATACTGTCAGAGATAGCAGGAACATTCAGGTTTACAAGAGCCCTGGCAGCTCTATTAAATGAATCAGTCTTCACAACTTGGAATTTACCTCAAACTAATATTTGGCCTTGATGGAAAGACTGAAAAACAAACCAAAGTGTATTTGTCTGGTTGGGCTGCCATAACAAATTACCATACACTGGGTGGCTTAAAGAATAGACATTTATTTCTCACAGTTCTGGAGGCTGGGAAATCCAAGATCAAGATGCCAGCTGATTCAGTTCCTGGTCAGGGTTCCCTTCCTGGCTGAGGCTGGCTGTCTTCTCACTGTTTGTTCACATGGTAGAGACAAAACTGGAAAGTTTTCTGGTGTCTCTTATTATAAACACACTAATCTCACCATGAGGGACTGACCTTCATGACCCCATCTCCAAATACCGGTACATTGGAGATTAGGGCTTCAACATATAAATTTTGGGGTGATACAAACATTTGGTCCATTACACAAAGCAAACTACTTGAATCTAGAAACTATCTTATTACTTTATTCTAAGTTTTTATCTTTGCTCTTTAACAATCTTCTGGTTTCCAGCAGCAATTTTAGGAAATCCTCTGATCTAGTATCTATGAATCTAGTAACATTTCTCCATTAAGGAAGAAATTTTGTGGATGTTTCACTGAATAACACCAAACAAAGAGTCCAATACAAAGACAATCTTACCCAATTCTCAAGAGTTAGTTTCTATGATTTCCATTATAAGCTAAGAAGAATAAGGCTTGATTACTACTATTGAAATATTGAGTAACATGGATGGTCCTGTTTGGGAAGAATCAAGCTGTATTAGGTAGTATTTACTCAGCATCAGTAGTAAGTTCTTAATTAGCAGAATGAGCAGTGGAGTGGGATTTTTTTTTTTTAAACAGGAACTTGCTCTGTCACCCAGGCTGGAGTGCAGTGGCGTGATCATGGGATCATAGTTCACTGCAACCTCAAACTCCTGGCTCAAGCAATCCTCCCACCTTGGCCTCCTAAGTAGCTAGGATTACAGGCATGTGCCACCATGCCTGGATAATTCTTGGATTTTTTGTAGAGATGGAGTTTCGCCATGTTGCCCAGGCTGGTCTCAAACTCCTGGACTCAAGCAGTCCCCCCATCTCAGCCTCCCAAATTGTTGGAATTGCAGGCATGAGCCATCATGACTGGCAAGAAATTTTAAATGACACCTTAACCAGTGCTTTTGGCTTGAGTATGATTCGTGACTCTGCTGAGGTTCCATAAATTTGTATTGTGAATACATCATTTTGGATGGGATTGGAAGCTGGTCCAGTTTTCTTATCTTGGTATCCGGTTCAGCTACTTTCTCCTCCCTGCTCTCAACTGGGGTTTCTCCAGACTCATGTAAACCACCAAGCCCAAAAGAGTTGTTCTGTGATGAAGAGAACACCTATTGAGCTTTATCTGAGCGGCTCTGCAGAATAGGGAATAATACCACTTAAAATTAAAT
Source organism: Homo sapiens (assembly GCF_000001405.40). NCBI lineage: Eukaryota > Metazoa > Chordata > Mammalia > Primates > Hominidae > Homo > Homo sapiens. The sequence goes on along the minus strand of NC_000007.14, from coordinate 40,925,512 downwards.
AGAGCTAATATCTCAAAAAGCTGAAAGAATGCCAAGGTTTGTCACAATAGTTATCTCTGGGAAGATGATATACATGTGGACAACTGAGGAGGATGAATTCATTGTGATTGTATTCTATTAGGCATATTAAAAAGCAAGTCAGACAAGACCATTCCTTTCCCTGAAACAATTCAAATTGAAAGAGTCATGCAGAAACCAGTCTTTACATGGGGGAATATCATGTGGGTTCATCCCATAAGATAAGAAACCATTTTCAGTGTGAATTTTAGCTTTTGACTACTGTCAGAAAGTATAGAAAATTCTCATAAAAATAGAAAGTCAGGATTTGCTTAAGAAAAGTAAATTTTATTCCAAGGGTTAGTCAGGGGCTATTATAACCCAGAGATATCATTAATTAAGCTCTGCAAGCTGTGGCCTGCTATAGCTCTCTTCCTTCTAAAAACAGAGACTGCAAAAAGCTTTAGGTGTATACACCAGACTTGGAGAAACTTACATGTGGTACACTGGGAGTCATGTACAAGAATCTTCATAGCAACACAATATCCATATGACTAGAGAATGAATACATCATGATATTTGTGATAGATTATATAGCATAAAAATAAATGTGCTATAGTTACACATAATGACATGAAAGCATCTTACAATCTGTGAATGAAGAAAGTTCACCTTGACTTTACTAAAGTACTGATGATACAGAATTAATAACAAGCACTGCCTATGTTTTCTTCCTTTGTTCACTCCATCTGAGCATTAAATTATTAGTTTCATGGCCTGTACGTTATGCACACTGTAAATCTGAGCCCCAGAGATAGTCCTCCATGTTTAAGAGTGTCTTGTAATGGATACCTAGTTGAAGGAGAGAGCTGAGGTCCTTGGATCCATGCTGATGACTGATGGGCTAATCATCCAAGCCAGTCCTGGAGCATCTTCCTGTAGGGTCTAATATAGAAAATTGAGTCTGGGCATAGTGGCTCATGCCTGTAATCCCAGCACCTTCAGAGGCCAAGACAGGCAGATCGCTTGAGCTCAGGAGTTTGAGACCAGCTGGGTGGGGCAACCTGGCAATGCCCCATCTCTACTAAAAATACAAAAATTATCTGAGCATAGTGGTGCATGCTGGTGCATGCCTGTGGTCCCAGCTATTTGGAAGCTGAGGTGGGGGGATCACTTGAGCTGGGGAGGCAGAGGTTGCAGTAAACTGAGATCATGCCACTACACACACACACACACACACACACACACACGTAATTGAAAGATCCAGGCCACCTTGGCTGAAGATAAAATGTCTTAGTCAGTTTGGGGTGCTTTAACAAAATATTTAACACTGGATAACATATAAACAATAGAAATTTATTGCTCACAGTTCTGGAGGCTGGAAAGTCCAAATTCAAGGCACCACCAGATTTAGTGGCTGGTGAGGGCCAGTTCCTTATAGATACTGCTTTCTATGTGACCTCAACTGGTAGAAGGGGCAAATAAGCTCCCTCAGACCTCTTTTATAAGGGCACTAATCCCATTCATGAGAGAACTCTGCCCTCATGATCAAATCACCTTGCAAAGTTCCTGCCTGTTAATATATGAATTTGTGGGGGACACAAACATTCAGACCACAGTATCAAATGAGGAAGTTTATCATCAGCAGGGAAATGTTTCTATTCACAGTTCATGGAGATCAAGATCCACGGCCTCCAGGATGACTCAACTGACACTAAAGAAATAAAGACTAGAAGAATGAGAAGCACTCATTTAGAAAAGCAGAGAAGATAACTTAGAATGGGATCTGAAACACCAAATACCATATTTTTGCCAAGGATGTAGGCAATATTGATGGACTAGAGAAAATTGCAGGCCTGGGGAATCTGGTGGTCCCCAAGAAGAACCTTGACCAGTCAGTGCTTTTTCCTTAGAGGAGAGAAGATTTAGGGGCCTGTGAATTTATTCTCAAGCCAGAAATTCTGAAAATTATTTTCTGTCTCCTTGAATTAAGGTAACAGAACATGTTTCAATTTCAACGTTGATTATTGACTCTCTACCTAAGAGCTTTGTGCTCTGAATGGGTAAATGGTGCAAAACCATGGTTAATGATTATCAATGACCAAGCCAAAAATCACTATGTGAGCTAGAATTCTTGTCAAAACTGCTAAATGCCCTTGTTTTTTCTGATTCTCAAAAGGCATTTTTTCAGAATAAATGTCTCCTGCATGTAATATCTTCAACATAAATAGCAGACAATTCTATGATGTTCTCTGATGGTAACTTGCCAAGTAACTGCAATGCTTTTAAAACCAGGTAGGGAACCAAGGGGCCTAAGTTCCTATACAAAATCTCCACAGGGTGCACACCCAGGACAAAACACTGCTCATCTCTTTCTCCTCTTTCTTCACATTTATAGGCTAAGGAGTCTCCCTCAATTTCTATTTTATAGAGGCTCCAACTGAATCTTGAAAGCGCTGGCCTTGATGTCTACCTCTCCACCCATCTCAGCTTTCTAATCTTCCCAGAAGCACATACAAAATGGCCTTCTACCAAAGGGTCTGTCCAGTAGCTAAGAGCTGGGCACTTTCAAGACAGCTCAGAGGGCAAATCTCCTATTAGTAATTACTTGGTATTGCCCATGCCTGTGTAAAACAGCCAAAGGGCAGGAAATACCACCGGGGCAAAGAGGGGAAAGATAGAGGCCTGTAAAGAAATATGTCTGAAGGCAAGTCAGCTATGTGTGGCACTTATTGCAAGGTAAAACTCCACTCACCATTATGAGAAAGTTACTAACTCCAACTCGAGGCAACTGTCAAGGGCACCTTTCAATTTACTAACCCAAAGCTCATGTGGCCTCTCCTTGAATTTTGCTCTATTTTGGATGAAGTGAAATATACCAGTGGATTCTTTCAAGAGAAGCTACAGTCATTGTTGATTTCTACACTCTCAGTAAAGAAACCTTGTGTTTTTTGCTTCCTTTTAAAGTATGCATGTGATGTCAGTTTTGCCCAAGGCTGCTGTCTCTGTCTCCTTGGCAAGGACTAAGAACCCTGCCCCATGAGTCAAGCTCTCTGACTCCTGAGGCGTGAATATGAGGCAGACTGCAAGAGCCACCTAATGAAGAAGGAAGGTGTTCTCTTCAGAAGCACCCAGGTCTTAAAAAGCACAGGCAAAGAGCCAAAGAGTTTCCTGAAATTAGGACTTGGAGTGCTGGTGCTCCTACCACCAGGGAAGCCAGGTGAAACAACATCACCTCTTTCCTGATCAATTTTACAGAAACTCTGGGATAGGTGACAAATACTTTACTAAGCCCAAAAGGGGTCACTAGAAGACATAGTCCGATTTGGAAGAATGCTAAGCTTAATCATTAAGGAACTCCTCACCCCTCTAAACCCTGGAGTAAAAACCAAGTGTCTCTCCTCATAGCATTGGATAACCATGGAAACAATCCAGGGGGTGACAAATACGGGAAGATACATTTTTTTCCTTTCTAACACATCTGAGTTAATATAGGAACACTGGTGTCTCTTTTGAATCTGCAACTTAACTGACTTCACTACGATTTATATTCATGTTATGGATATATGCAACTTCTCCAGGGTAGAGAGAAAAAGATGGCAATATTTAATTTTAATGTTCTAAATAAATGGCTGGAACTGCCACCTCCCTATTGTGAGATTGTCCTCAGCTCCAGTCTAGAGCCTTTCCTTGCATGCTCATACATGCACACACCCACACAAACCTCTCAAAGTGCAGTGGGCAACCTCACTTTCGAGCTGAGGCCCACGAAAAGCAGGAGGTTACAGCCACCACCCCCGGGGGTTGGTAGCTTTGGAAGCAGACAAAGGCCTCTGCAGGAGATGACAGCTGGGAAAAGCCGAGGCATCTGATTGTGCTGTTCTTGCTTACTGGGCTCTTCTTTGCCACTGGAGAAAGTTTAGAGTCCTGACCTAGCTCCAGGAGTTCTTCGAGGTGAAGAGTATTCCAGCCTACACTAAGCCTGGTCTCCCAGTGCCGCCTGCTTCACCTAGGTGAGATCTGAGCACCCTGATGACCTGCTTCAGTACGAAGGTGCACATGGCCCCCAGCCTCTCTCTACCTCCATGGAGGTTTTATTTCAGAACCCTTGCTATTCCCTCTCACTAGGACCTTTCCACCCTGGCGGAGTGCAGCAACTTTGGATTTTGAAAACACAAGGTTCAGGGACCTGTGCTTCTTTGTTTTTAAAAGGCCCCTATAGTCCACATACAAATTTATTCACCTCGCTTCCAAATAATATATTATTTTGTAAAAAAATAAATAAATAAAATAAAATTTAATTTAAAACCAGAATTTTCACCTTACAAGCACCTATTAAAGTGATTCTTACAATATGAATATTTTTGATTTATACTAACACATTTCCATCTGTATCCCTAGAGCACTGGCAAATGCAGGAAGGTGCCAATAACATCCAACCTGTGATGGGAGATACAGGCATAGAGTGTGGAGCTAACAGTACCTGACCCAGAAACAATTACCCTCAGGGCCAACACCAACCTGTCCACTTCCTTAAAGTGAGCATAGCACAGGAATACTAATCACAGCAATGGGACTGCAATTTAATTACCATCCAAATGAACACGCTTGGCATTTTGTTCTTTTCTTTTCCTTCTGAGGCTTTCAGAAAACAAGGTATTAAGTATTTAAACCTTAAACTTGCTTATCTTTCATTTTATTTTTATTTATCTCTTGGCTACATTCTCTCATGCTGTGTCTCCTTTGCTCTCTGATAATATCTAAAGGTAGTCCATCCTTTCTCTTTCATCTGGGGATCTAGAGATACATTGACAAATAGAAGATCTGCCAATCAACAATTTGGGAGGATGATTTTCCTGTTTAGACAAAGAATAATGAAAGAGAAAGAAGAAATAAAACCAACCAACTGACAAACAACAATAAAACTGAAGCCCAATTCATGTCTGAGGCTCTGACATGACCACATGCCAACAGGAAGTAGCTGGACCACCTCGCTTCCAAATGGGCTGAGTTGGGGGTGCATTTTTCAGTCATTCCTGGAGAAGTCCCACCCTCTCCTTCAGCCCTTTCTTTTTGGCAATATCAGCAGGTACAGGTCAGGTGATAGCAGATATTGAACTTTCCAGGGCTTCTGGTGATATTCTTGTTAATCTCACTCATAATTGTCATTTGTCCTGCACAGGGCATACTTTCCTCACAGAAGAAGCCAATTCAACGGGAGAAATATTTATCATGGGCATCATATATGCCATATCTAGGCACTTAGGAAAGAAGAGACCGAGATATGGTTCCTTCTATGAGAAAATGACAATCTAACCAGTGAGCTAGAAATATAAATGACTTCAACACAAGGTCATAAGTGGAGAAATAATTCTGGAATGTATAGGGGACTATGGAAGCACTCAGAGGGGCCTTTAACCAAGTAGAGGAGGTGGAAGAAGGTAGTCAAGAAAGATACCTCCGAGAAGGTGCTCCCAGGCTGAGTTATAAAAGAAAAGGAGGCAACACCATGATAAAAACTATGGAGGAAGAAAGAAGCATGAGCCACACACTGGATCAGCAAGATGTGTTCAGGCAATTGGAGCTAATGCTAGAAGGGAAGGTGCAGAAGGGCTGTTAAAGGAGCTCTGGGAGATGCATGTGAAGAATCAGGAGGAGTCAGGCTGTGAAAGGCCTGGCTGTGTTCTGAACATGTAGGACTTTGTCAGGTAATTGGGAGTTGTGGAAAAGTATTACACAAGTAAGTTAGATGGTCAGGTAGGTCCTTCTAGCAACAATCTAAAAATGTAGTGGGGTGGGGGCAGTGGGGAAGGAGGAAACTAGAACAAGGAGACCTGTCAATCAGTTATTATAATACTTCTGTATACAGGATCATAAAAGATAAATTAAGAAACCTTGGGTTGGAGTTCTGTGTATTTTATTAGCAACAATCTGAAATGTATTGGAGTGGGGGCAATGAGGAAGGAGCAAAGCTAGGATGAGGAAACCTGTCAATCAGTCGTTACAACACTTCTGTATACAGGATCATAAACAATATATTAAGAACCCCCCGTTTGGGGTCATTTAGGAGGTAAAATGAATAGGACTTTCTGAGTGATTAAACAGAAAATGGTGAAGATGGTTGATTCAAAGGTAATTTCCCAGTGCCTGGTTGAGATAATTGGGTGGATGCTGGCACCAACAAATAACAGACAATCCAGGAGGAAGCTTACTTTTAGGGAAAGATGAGTAGAGTGTTAGACAGAGTGAGTTTGAAGTGTCCGTGGGACATGCAGGTAGAGATATCTGGTAGTCCCTGAGCAAATGAGTGGAAGCCTGAGGAGAGGTCAGGGCTACAGAAATAAATGTGTGAGTTATCTGTGGCTAGCAGGTGGTTAAAGGCATGTGATTCAGTGAGCTCATCCAGAAAGAACACTTAGAATGAGTAGAGAGGAAAGATAAAACTCAGGAAAACCCCAGCAGCTAAGTGGATGGCGCTCCATGCCTGTGAAATAAGCCAGAGTGTGTCAGGTAACTTTTCTCTCATCACCACTTGTGAGGTAACTTTTCTCTCATCACCACTTGTGAGGGAACTTTTCCATCTATTCAGAGTCCCACAGATACCAGATCCTTCTGACAATGACATAAGCATATTTGTATAAAACAGTGATATAAGAGATTAAAAGTATTACCCTGTCTTGTGGAATTTAGACTCTAAGGAACTCTGGCTGTTTGAGTATTTGAATACCAAAGAAATGAACCACTAAGAATGGAATTTCAGTCATAAACAAAGATTTCTAAAGCTAGGATGGGCACCAAGGAATACATTCTCTCTCCCCTCCCTCCTTGTTCTATCCTTTTATTTCGATCATCTTCCAGAATTCTGGTCTCACTCAGTGGGTTCCATTGCATTTCAACCTGGAGAATGGTTATAAGGTCTGATAGAAGGTAATGTCTCTAAAACAAGTAGATTATTCCCATGCTAACTTGACTTTCCTCTTATCATCATAGCTTTGGGGCTGTAATAGACTAACAGATTTTTCTATATCCCCCAAACCTTTTTTTTTTTTTTTTTTGAGACAGAGTCTCGCTCTGTCGCCCAGACTGGAGTGCAGTGGCACAATCTTGGCTCACTGCAACCTCTGCCTCCCGGGTTCAAGTGATTCTCCTACCTCAGCCTCCTGAGTAGCTGGGATTACAAGCACACGCCACCATGCCCGGCTAATGTTTGTATTTTTAGTAGAGACAGGGTTTCACCATGTTGGTCAGGCTGGTCTCAAACTCCTGACCTCGTGATCCGCCCGCCTTGGCCTCCCAAAGTGCTGGGATTACAGGTGTGAACCACCGCGACTGGCCTATTTTCCCCTTTTTACCAAAGACCCTTTTCAGGGGGGTATGAGGAGATGAAGAGACTTATTTTCCACCCAATTTTATTCTCCTGCCTCTAGGCTCATGGCTAGGAAACATTTCCCACCTCTCCATGTAGTGATCCTCTAACTGGGTTTTCTCCAATGGAAAGTGCCTGCCCTCCTATATCTAGGCCTTCAGGATGTGGATGAGTATTATGAACTGAATGATTGTATCCAGCCAAAATATATATGGTGAAGTCCTAACCCCCAATGTGATGGTATTAAGAGATGGAGCCTTTGAGAGATAATTAGGATTAGATGAGGTCATGAGAGCAGAGCCCTCATTCTAAGATTAGTGCCCTTGTGAGAGGAGAAAGGGATGCCAGAGGTTCTTCTCTCTACCATCTGAGGACCCAGCAAGAAGGTGGCCATCTGCAAACCATGAAGAGGGCCCTCGCCAAAGGCCAAATCTGCCAGTGCCTTGTTCTTGGATGTCTCAGTCTCCAATACTGTGAGAAACATGTTTGTTGTTTATAAGCCACCAAGTTTGTTTTTGTTGTTGTTGTTATAGCAGCTTGAACTGAGACAACTGGCTTCTTCTCTCCTCCTGCAGCCTAGATCCTGGGTATGTCTGTAACTCAGTCTCTACCATGCAGATGATGGCAAGGCCCTAAAGGATGATGTGGTCACAAAAGGAGAGGAATCTGGGTGGCTGCGTACATCCCAGAGACCTTGACCTCTCATCTTGAACTTCTAGAGAAAAATTAACTTCTTGTTCTTTGAGCCTCTAAATTTGAGGAAATATTTTTATAAGAGTAACCTACTACCCTAACTTATGTATGGTAGAAACTGTGGGTAAGATGGGTAATAAAACCAAGAACTGCTCCTTCTTCTAAAGGGAATTACATAGTATTTTTCAATTATAGAAAACATTGTAAGGTCATTTTATAATGATTAGAAGAGTCGAAGATACAAAAAAAGTTTACTAGAGTTGACAGTCATGAATTTTTGTCCAAAGTCTTCCCCCATGGGGAGCTAATGCTTCTCAACCCAGAGGAAAAGAAATCTACATTGTATGATTGAGGAACTCCTGATGTCCCTCACTGGGTCTGTTGAATAATAGCTTATTGCTGTGTTGGACATTCCCAGGCTACTTTGTCAGACGAGAAGATTACTTAACATATTCAGTTCCTGGGGCCCTCTTTTATCTACAGTGTTTTTTATGACTCCTTATTTACTTGAACCAATAGATTCCGACATTCTGCACTCTTAGTTATGGTCAATCAATCATGTGTTTCTAATTCTGTAACTACTCCAGACTCCATAAGGCTTTGTCAATAGCTTCATGTATGGACATTTTTAAAGTATAATATCTGTGTGTATAAAGAAACAAATGAATAATAAATGTTAAAGCCTACACAGTCTGACCCTCAAAAAGTGCCAGTAGCATGTCTTTGTCTTTTCTGTACACATACATACAAACACATGCACATACATAAAGTTGTTTTTTAAGTAATTGAAAAATCAAACACCAGATAGTAGAATGTAATTAAAATGTCAGCTTACTGATTCAGAAAGAGAAGTATTCAAGTGTAGACCTAGATTCAGTTATGATAGGATGCTATTACCCACATGATGTTATCAGGATTCAGTTTATCTCTTTTCATCTGTATTGGCTTCATTCTCAAAAAGACTCCTCCTTCATCCTCACAAGATGTCAGAAGCTCATGAGCTACCTAATGCCAGGTTAAAATCTAGTAGTAACTAGTGAGAGTCTTTCCTAACATGGTCCACATCCTGGGATTCACTTTAACTGGACTTGCTCCATTCATACCCATCCTTCAATCAACCACTGCAATCAGAATGACTTAGGACTACATCATGCACTTCATTTCTAGAGCTGTAAGTGGACCCATACCTAGACTGTGTGGACTGAGAAGAAGTAGATCCCATACAAAATATTAGGTCTGGTACTGAAAGAAGAAGAAACAGGTGATGGAGAAACAAATAGCAACCACCCACTGCGGTTAATCTCTTGGCTGCCTAACATTCATATACAATTCTAGTGCTAATATGTATATCTGTGTGTGTGTGTGTGTGTGTGTGTGTGTGTGTGTATGTAGAGAGAGAGAGAGAGAGAGTGTCCCACATCCATATATGACATATATAATATACTCACTCAGTCTCCAGAAAGAAAAAGTAAAATCTCATTTGATGGTTTCACCCCACTTCAAGTTTAAGATTAATGGGTGATGTGCAGTTCTCACAAGGTACCCAACATGCCCAATATACAATGGTGGAGAGAGAACCAAAAAAACAGGGTGCGATGGGAAACATTAGTAATCATTGATTCAATGCATGTATCAAATTCTATTTTATTTACTTATGTATTTCTACATTGTCTGGAACATAGTAGGTACAGTAGTATTTGCTGAATTAATGAATGCACACACAGCTGGACAGGAATGGGAAGGGCTGCCTGTCCCAGCAGGAGAATGAGTTCCTTGCCCAGCTTGTCAAGTTCTTCCTGCTCTTCCCTCTGAGAGAATGGCTCCTGTCCTCTGCCTTTATGGCTACCTTTTCTGCTTTTGGTAGAATCCTCTTGGTCTTTTGTTTTCTGTGACCATATCTTAACACGGCATTGCCAAAACTGTCCCCATTATTAGCCTGTTTTTGTTGTTGTTATTACTGTTGTTGTTGACAACATTTCTTAGACCTCAGGGTTTTCTTAGAGACTAAACATTCATAGACAATTCCTCCTATGAATTGTCTGGCTCCTCCTTTAGGAACATTTGAGGTCTTACCTAGTTTCATATACTGAACTCCATAAGCCAGTCTCCAGATATCTTGTTGAGTCATGATCCTTGAAATTGGATTCCAGCCTGAGAATTTCTCTTTCTCAGTGATAAGACCGGTGCTCTGTCCATCCCTGAAGTCTTTCCCTTAGTGACCTTCGACTTTGTACTGCCCAGAGCAATTTGAAACAATAGTTGAGGTAAGAAAACTCATCTGGCACTCAGGCACCAACCAGCCGCACCTTAAGAATGTGGGTCATTATCCTCTTTGTCACGTAGGGAACAAGATATGCTCAGCAGTGATCGGAAAAGAAGTTAGCCCCACATTCTAATGGTATTTTCTGATACGATCCCTATCTTCCTGATTAGGTTTGCACTAATTTATGATTACGGTAAGAATAAACTTTTCTAAACCTGCAAAATTCCAGATCACCCAATTCTCATCTTCCTTATTTTACAGGGTTCATGCAGAAAGGCATCTCTTAGCCAAATTGTATTTTCCTTCCTCTCTGATTTCAGATATAGAAGGTTCAACATCAGTTTGTCTAATTCTGGTGGGACCTTTATTGTGCCTTCTAAAAGGCCACAAAAGGCAGGCATGTGTTTCAATATCCTGAATTTCTCCTCCAAATTCCATAATGCTGCAGCCTCTATAGGCCTATGGTTTGAGGTCTGAGATACAGCAGTGTAAGATATGGCTACACTACCAAACAACATAAAACGCCAACTTCTAAGCTGTGAATAGGGGTTCTCAGTGCCTTCCACTCTACTTCCTCAGCCTAGCGTTTTCATATTTTAAGATCTAATATTTACTATACTCTACTATACTCTACTCCTGACAATGATTTCTGTGTAAAGATCTTATCCGTGGTAAAGTTTTTAAATCTGAGGTATCAAGCATAGCCATTAATTGGGTGACAAAACTGAAAAGCCCAGGAGAAGACCTGGCTTTGTAGAGGGCTGAAAAGAAGGTCTCATCAGCCTTGTCCTAACCTAATGCTAGATGACGAGTTAGTGGGTGCAGCGCACCAGCATGGCACATGTATACATATGTAACTAACCTGCACAATGTGCACATGTACCCTAAAACTTAAAGTATAATAAAAAAAAAAAAGAAAAAGAAAAAAATAAATAAATAAAATGCATTGAGCACTGTGACAAAGGAAATGTAATTGGACTTTGAGTGATGTGTGTCACTCTTAGGACAAGCCTGGAACCCTTTCCAGACATTAGGGACTGAAAGAGGGGAAGGGGAAAATCCCCAGACAAAAATTAGATACGTAGAAGTGGTGTTGTCTGAGCTAACTCAAGAGTAAGCTAAAAAAAAAAACTGAAAAAAAAAAAATCTTGACTTAACAGCATGTTTAGTCTCATTGTCAAATGCCATATTTTTGTGATAGGATTATTGTTCTGCAAATATTTATTTATTTCCCTTTCTTGTGTGGGTGAAATTTGTTTTCCTGACTCCACTGATGCCAGACCTGGCCATATGATTTTCTATAGTGAATGGAATGTTAGTGGCCATGACATGAAGAGGTCTTCCATGAGCTTGTGCATTTCAGTTTGGCTCTTGTGCTTTGGTAATCACCATGAGAGGAGCATACTGCAGATAGAGCTGCCCCTTTAACCTGGGCCCCAGAATAAAAACACATATAGCAGATCTGAATCCAGCGAGCCCACAGCCTGAAGCAAAGACAACTAGATGAGTCCATTCTAGACCAGCTGAACTGCAAGTCAGCATGCAAAATAGTGAATGGGGAGAACAAATGCTTGTGTTGTCAGCTACCAAGTTTTGAGATTATTTGGTAGGCAGCATTATTTTGGCAAAATCTCATTAAGACATTCTTGTAGTACATGCTCTGGAATTTCTTTCTAAAAGCAAAAATGCAGTTGGAATATGGGACAAGAAAACTTATCTTGAAATTGAATTTTCATAGCAAGGGTACTGTTTTATTTAGATTGTATATTTACTTTGGGTGGACTAATGGAAATTTGGGGGACCATGTGATGTTCTTAGTTTTAAGATGTACAATTTTTTTCCATTTTAATATTTCTAAAACCAGGATGTGTTATAAAATCAATGTGCATGTGGCATAGTGGCATGTGATGGCGTTTCTCCATGTCCTGAGCCCCACTGCTTATGGTGTGTCCATCAAAGGTTGGATCCATCCTGGCTAACATGGTGAAACCCCGTCTCTACTAAAAGTACAAAAAATTAGCTGGGCGTGGTGGCACACGCCTGTAGTCCCAGGTACTCGGGAGGCTGAGGCAGGAGAATCACTTGAACCCGGGAGGCAGAGGTTGCAGTGAGCCAAGATCGCGCCACTGCACTCCAGGCCAGCGACAGAGGGAGATTACATCTCAAAAAAAAAAAAAAAAAAAAATTGGATCCAGCAATTCTGTAGTCAGGAAGGATGGTGAAGGATAGCAGGAGATGGCAGGACTGGAGCAGTCAGATCAGGGGTATATTCTCAGACAAGTGCATCAAGTATCTAAACAGCATCATTAAATATTGATGGAGTACAAGTTGACTGACAGAAAAGTAGCATTCTATTGTGAAAACTAAATAGTGAACTCCACGTTGCATTATGGTGAAGTCAGCTTTTTTTTTTTTTTTTTTTGGAAACGTTTAATTGCCTGAACATGTAGTCTTTCAGAACACAGACTACTGTGTCATGTAGTAATGAAGCAATTGTTTTTAATTTGGAAACTAAGAACAATTCTTACAAAGATGGACACATCTTGACTACAAAAATGCTATCAGCACAGGCCCATCTAGGACAGGAAAATACACAGGATAAGTTAATGATAGATGGAGTTTCTCATGACTTGCCTTGTAAATGTTGGCAACTGTCGACCAAAACAAAATTTTATTTTAGTTTATCTGATATTAAGCTGCTCTTTTTTATTATACTGAGTCAACAGTTTCAGCTGCTAAAGTTTTCCCATGGAACAATGTTATAATTGGTTGGATAATTGGGAGTTGTGTTCCTGACCAAGGACTCAGCAACAGATAAATCACAGATATAACTAACAAAATGTCATACAAGCAAGATACAACAACCATAAACCTCTAAAATCATCTGAATTAGTAAAATTTTGACCCCAGTACCATAAAATGGGCAAGAATTTAAAAATAACACATAAAATACAGGCCTAATGTATCATAAATGTGGCCAATCTAAATTAATAGAAAGATAGGTATTGTAAACATTGAATTAAAACTTTTGTAGGATAATGTGTAAGGCCTAGTTCTTCAAGAAAAAAAAAGCAAGCTGTCACAGTAAGTTGAAGTGAAGCATCCTCTATTCCTCAATAAATTTCAGGGCAGTAAATTTGTCATATAAAAGCCAATAGTTTCTTGAAACGCCAGACCTTGGGGAAGAGTGCTTAGGACGAAATACCAACAGACCTTAAATTTAAATTTTCAACATTTCCACCAATCTTCATATATGATTAGCTGACACCTGTGCACACACACGCGTACATCCACACACACACCATGCCCTCCCTCCTGCATGAGTTCATAGTTACTACAATTCCTTCAGCATGTGAACTCAGGGATGTAAGAAACAAGACCAAGAAAACTGCTTTTCATGGTTCCTTTATACCGATGGTTCTTAACTAAGCATGATTTGCATGACATTTGGCAATGTGTGGAGACATTTTTGGTTGTCACTAATTGGGAGGAAATTACTGGCATCTAGTGTATATAGGCCAGTAATGCTGCCAAACATCCTACAATGCACACAGGACAGCCCCCACAACAAAGAATTATCTGGGCCCCAAAGTGCCAAAGTTGAGAGACTTTTTTTTTTTTTTTTTGAGACAGGGTCTCACTCTGCCACCCAGGCTGGAGTGCAGTGGCGCAATCACGGCTCACTGTAGCCTTGACCTCCCGGGCTCAGTTGACCCTCCTACTTCAGCCTCCCCAGTAACTGGGACTACAGGTGTGTGCCACCACACCCAACTAAAAATTTTTTTTTAATTTTAATCACTATACAATTGTTCTTGTAGCAGCTCTCACATAGAAGATTTTAAAATAATGTCATTGACTTTGAACTGTACTCAAAGTTCAGAAGAGTATTTCCAAAACAGCAAGTACAATGTCTTAATAATCTAGACTTTGATACAACTTTTGGTGGCTTGTACTGTTTCTTTGCTTATTTTGTAATGTTTTGCTTTGTTTGTTGTTTATCTTCTTAGTTCTTCTGAACTTATCCCACCCCCGAAGCAGTATCAGGAAAGTCACTCATGGCTACTTTGGGATAAGCATTCAGAAAGAATGGAAAGTTATGCCTGTCAGCCATGGCGAAGGGAAGGGAAATGAAGATGGGAGGGGGTACAAAGGTTTCAATTAATAAAGCCCAGATTTATTTTTAGTACCTATTATCAGAACCTCCTCCTTCTCTGAGTTCTATTTCTTTCCTGAAAACACAATCCATTGCCAGGATGGTCTTTACTACTAACAAACCAATCAAAAATTTCTTTGTAAAGTCATTTTGACTTTTCCTGGGGCCTACCATCATTTCTATATGTAAAAGGAAATCATTAAATACATGCCAAATTAGTGTATATATTTTGGATTTGTTGTGTGCCATGGGCTATGCTGGGTGCTGGTCATAGAGAGGTATAGTAAGTGTGCTTCCTGCTTTCCATAAAGGGGAACATGGGGTTACCATTATTATTAGCACTTATCAATGGATGCAAGTGCAGAGGAACCAAATAGAGCAAAGGCTGACCGGATCTTCCAAAGTCACCAAAATAACACTGTCAGAGCGGTCACTGGAATCCTTGATCAGTACTAGACACATAGGCAGGCATTCTTACTTCTCATTACTTCCCTTCTAACTGCCATTATGTCCCCTCTCTGTTTGCACTGCAGCACACTTTGTAAGCATGGATCAACTTTCAAGCTTATGTCATTATAAAAATGTTCCATATTTTTACAGGCAGGCCTTGCAATATCTCTTGACCCAGCACATGATAAGTTAACTATTTCCTGTAGATAGCAAGTACCAACCTAAGTTTATAATTCTTGCTACCCTCCATTAAAAGTTAATCTTCTCAGACTGGGCATTTTGCCATCTTTCTTCTATTTTGACCTAACATCTGTCATACCTGGTCTTAGTCTTCCGTCTCCAGCTTGATGTGCATTTCTGGTTAAGCCTGCCATTGCTTCCTGTCTCCAACTCTTCCTCTATTCCATGGATCCTTCAGAGAATCCTTCTTTGTGTGCTGGTAGGTCTTAGGAAAGCACTTTCCATGTTGAAAACCAAGAAGGAAAAAAAAAAGGAAAGAAACCAAATCCTACATCTAGGTCAAGGCAAGAGCAGCTGGATTGGATTGCAGTCTTCCAACTCTGGATGTTCTCCCTGTTGCCACCAGCTTCCAACAAGGAAAATGAAAAGTGAATTAGCCTGTTGAACCCCAAGTCAAGAAGTCAGCAGGTAATGTGAGCACTTTCCTGGAAGATGCCCTTGGGTGAGGCCCTGTCTAACCAAGTTGCTGTTTTTAGACTCAGACATGTTGGCTCTAAAAGCCGCCACTCAGTAAGGAATTTCGTACAGATGAATTCACTCTTCTGCAAACCTTCCTGATAAAGCCACGAGATGAGTCCAAACTACCTCATAACCTTGGAGCCGGTCTGTCTGGAAGGGGCCAGAATAATCAGACAAGTGGAGTAGTTGAAATCTCTCATGAAATATCTGGAAACAGGTAATAATGAGAAAACAGAATTCCAGATGAAGTTACACAGAATGAAAAGCCAAGCAAAGGCCGTCGTTAGTGAAGGAGAACTCCAATGTCTAAGAATAGCCTCCCCCGTAGTTCTCTCCTCCCTGTGACATCAAAGGAAGGTCTGCAGCCCACACCTCAGTTGTATTCATGTTTCACTGCATCTAGCAACCAATTTTGACTGTCAGAAAATACAACACCTTCAGGAACTAAACATTGGCCCACAGCCCATGAGCAGGAGCCTAGCGAACCCCGGGGTGACATGTAGCCATGCTTCAGAGCAGTAAGTCAAAGAGACAGGTGGAGGCACGCACTGTTTGGACCAGTCGCACTCAGAAACCAAACATCGAGTGTCCAGCAGCGTGGCTCCCAGGTTCTTCCAGGATCACCAAGTGATCTACTGTTTTCCAGACCTTGGCCTGTCCTTGGCAGAGCTCCAGTCCAGGTGACCCGAGAAGGAACTGTTGATTTTGGAAATGGCTGAGACTGTATTTCTGCCACAACAGATTGGGTCTCCACTCTCTTTTACTTAATAAAATTTTATGATTGTGCTTGCAGTATACATGCATTGTAGAAAAAGCACATCACAATAAAGTGGGGAAAAAACCTTAAATGACCACCCAGAGATAGTCTTGGGGGTATTTTAGAGTATTCCATTCTGAAGATTTTCTTCTGCATATGATGTATCTATGTATACTTTTCAAAAATAAAACCATACCATCCATGGTCATTTAAAAAAATTTAAATATACATACAGAAAAGCGCATGTACACATGTAGAACTCAATAAAATCCATATTACTTTGTAAGTTGTTGTATTTTCTTTACTAAGTCATCATGCTTTTCTACAGCTACAGATATTCCAATGTGTTTAATAGCCACATGGTATTAAATTGTAAGAATCTTCCAAAGTTTATTTAACCAATTCCCTGATTCAATATTACTATGAAAAATCTGGTAGCTATATATTCTGCTGTTAACTATTTTTATATTTTTTATATTATATGGTATTACAAATTCCTAGGTTAAGGAAAAGAAGGGCTGTATCAAAGCCTATGCAAATGTTAAAGCTTATGATATATTTGGCCAAATTGCTCTTTGAATTATTTCTAATGTTGCCTTTCTTTCCTCATACTTTTTAAACATTGTGTGTTATTAATTTTAAAAATATTTCCATTTGATAGAATAAAGTGGTATATTATTAAGTTTTAATTTGTATGTCTTTGATTTCTAGTAAACTTCATCTACTTGTGGTCCTTTTTTTTTTTTTTTTTTGAGACAGAGTCTCGCTCTGTGCCCCAGGTTGGAATGCAGTGGCGTGATCTCAGCTCACTGCAAGCTCCACCTCCCAGGTTCACACCATTCTCCTGCCTCAGCTTCCTGAGTAGCTGGGACTACAGGCACCCGCCACCACGCCCAGCTAATTTTTTGTATTTTTTTTTTAGTAGAGATGGGGTTTCACCGTGTTAGCCAGAATGGTCTCGATCTCCTGACCTCGTGATCCGCCTGCCTCAGCCTCCCAAAGTGCCGGGGTTACAGGTTGCGAGCCACCGCACCCGGCCGGTCCATACTTTTAAATGGCTGTCCTGGTGATGCCTTTCCAATTTTTCTGTTAGGTTGAGGTTGGATGTGAGTATTTTTCTTACCAATCTGCATATACATCTTACAAAAAAAAAACTAGATAATTACTTTTAAACATTGTAAGTAATGAAACTGGATCCTTATTTACTAATGTTTAGAATTAAAAGGTGAGTATTGACTCCCCTCATAAGATAAATAAATTAATAAACTTTTCTTGTTACAATATCTCAATTTTGGTGAGGATGATGTCAAACTTATCTTAGATTA
Organism: Homo sapiens; assembly: GCF_000001405.40. Classification (NCBI taxonomy): domain Eukaryota; kingdom Metazoa; phylum Chordata; class Mammalia; order Primates; family Hominidae; genus Homo; species Homo sapiens. The sequence continues at coordinate 40,907,809 of NC_000007.14, read as the reverse complement.
CAGCTGTATAATGCAGTGTGTCTCAGGCATTGTCAACGGCCTTGCCTCATCTTTATGCAATTCTGAGTTAAAGATCCCTCCAGAATTAACAGAGTGGTTAAGCGAACAGGCTGTGATGTTAAACAAATCTGGATTCAAGGCCTTTCTGTAACTTGCTAACCATGTGATATTAGGCAATATACTTAATCTCAGTTTCAGTTTTTTCAGCTGTGAAATGGGAAGAGTAATAACACCTACTTCATAGGGTCTTTTGTGAGCGTTAGATGAGGCAATGCATATAAAACCAGTAACAGTTAAATGTTAACTACATTTAGGCACTGCTTTACAAGGCTAGCGCCTGACAGAATGATAACTCAGTAAGTGTTGGCTATATTAAACGAGTATTATTATACCTGTTATTTATGGGCCTTGCCTTGCAATTAGAATCAGGAATTCAAAGCCCAGGAAGGTAAAAACTAGATTACACACCACCCCTTATAGAATTATGTTTCAGGGATGTTGATTTCTGTCTGGGAATATGACACATAACACAGTAGTGGGTGAGCTCAGTCAGGACATTGATACTGCATTTCTGAGCTAAGAAAGAGTTTAGAAGTCAGTGAAGTTCATGATTCTGAGGCAGAAACCCAAGTCCCCACTCAATCTTCTCTCTCTCTCTCTCTCTCTCTCACACACACACACACACACACACACACACACACACACACACACACTATCAGAACAAATATTTCTCCTAACAAGTATAACCTACTTCCATCTTCCTACCCTGAACTGAAGCCCCATCCTATTATGGAGACAAAGAAGCACCAGCTAAGCTCATGACTCTTAACAACAGCACCTCCTTGAGTCTCTGGGAGGCCAGCAATGCTTGAAGGAATGCTCCCTCTCTGGGAAGATTTGTTATTTGGTTTGTCAACTCTAAGTTATAGAGCGTTCTTAAAAATTATAATTCCCATCTATTTCCTATGCAGCAATCAATGTGCTTATTCTACTTCTCCTCTCTCCTTTCTCCCAGTTTTTAAAGTTGTATTATTATATAGGCATGGTATCCATGGGATATCGGTTCCAGGACAACACCTCCCATATCAAATTCCAAGGATGTTCGAGTCCTTTATATAAAACGGCTTAGTATTTGCATATAACCTACGCACATCCTCTTGCATATTTTAAATCACCTCTAGACTACTTATAGTACCTAACACAGTGTAAATGCTGTGTAAACAGTCATTATACTCTATTGTTTTTATTTGTATTTTTTTATTGTTGCATTTAAAAAATATTTTCTATCTGTAGTTGTTTTAATCTGAAGATGTGGAACCCACAGATATGGAGGGCCCACATACTTGTCAGGACAATAAAAAATTACACATTATTTTTCTACCGTTGTTCCTACGTTTATTTTAGTTTGGGATCCATAATTAAATATATCCAAGACTCACTATTAGTCCTTTGGCCAATGTTTCCCCAGTTCTCTCTGATTTGGATGAAGCTTTTCTCCTTGAATAGTTCTGTGGAAAGAAAGTTTCAGAGTACAGGATCACCTGAGTTGTGCATGCTCAATTCTGTTGAGGGATAGCATTGGTTCATAAGCTCCTTGGATCAAATCCTTGAGTTTATCAAAAATGTTCTCCACCACGGTCTTTACTGTTGAGAAGTTTGATGCAAAAAAAAAAACAAAAAACAAAAACAAAAAACAGCTCTGGAAATGGATGGTGATGATGGTTGCACAACAGTATGAATGCAGTTAATACCGCTGAATTATACACTTAAAAATGGTTAAAATGATGGCAGGGTGCAGTGGCTCATGCCTGTAATCCCAGCACTTTGGGAGGCCAAGGCGGAAGTGCAAAGATCACTTGAGGCCAAGAGTTTGAGACCAGCGTGGGCAACATAGTGAGGCCCCATCTCTACAAAAAATTTAAAAATTAGCCAGTGTGGTGGCATGTGCCTGGGGTCCCAACTACTTGGGAGGCTGAGACAGGAAGATCATTTGAGCCCAGGAATTTGAGGCTGCAATGAACTATGATCGCACCACTGCAGTCCTCCAGCCTGAGTAACAAAGTGAGATCCTGCCTCTAAAGAAAAAAAAAAAAGAAAAAAAAAATTTAAAATGGTAAATTTTTTGTCATGTGTATTCTACCACAACAATTTTTTTTCAAGGCACCTATTAGATGCCAGGAAATGTTCTAGACCCTGAGTACACAGTAGTGAATGAGAGAGACCGATATTTGGCCACTGTGAAATTTGCCATTCAGAGGGAAATGTAGAAAATAAATGGCGTTATATGAATGAGACACAGTGCAGTGTAGTGATAAAAAACTTGAACTGGGAGGAAATACATTTCTGTTGTTTTAAAACAAAAAACCTACAAATATCATAATTAATATTAGTTATGCTTGCTCTATTTCCTTTTATCATCTCTTTTCATTAATATTTACTTGTTCTGCTTTTTTGTGAGAAAACATAAATTCTTCAGGTTGTAATCAAAAGAGAGAATGTTTTAAGTCAATGAGAAAATCACTCTTAAGATACACATATTGTTCAGAATCGTCTTCTCACAACCAAGGGTTTCTTGCTGCTTGGAAATGGCAGGTAAGTCATTTTTATGAACCAAATGATTCAAGTAAAAAGATTTACTCAATACGAATAGTTTATTTATTTGTTGGAGATATGTATCAAAGTTCTCAAACAACTATGAGTGATTCCATCACAGAAAATGCTCGAAAATTGTTATCCTATTAGAGGTTTCTTCAGAATTGAACATCTCACTCCATGAGTTAACCATGTTATAGAGATTTTACTTGAAAGTAATGAAACTATTTACCACACTAAAAATGCCATCCGCCACTTGTTTTCAGGCAAACTTGGCTCATATGATAAAACTAGAATGTTTTAGACATCTTGTACTAAATCTGGATATTGGTGTTATCAAAGTAGAAAGTGAAAGAATAGGAAGTTAACTATGTGTTTTGAAAAAGGGATTGTTTTACACACACATATATACATATACATATATGTGTGTATACTTACTTCCCTAAACCTAAATCTCCATCCTCTACCTGAAGGCAATAATATATGTCTTCAGCTTCTAAATATTTTTATTGCAACAAAATATACTTAACATGTATCATCTCAACCATTTTAAGTGGCATCAAGTACATTCACATTGCTGTGCAAACATCATCACCATCCATCTCCAGAAGATTTTCATATTCTCACAATGAAACTCTGTCCCTGTTAAACACCAACTCCCCATTCCTCATTCCTTCCACCCTGCAACCCCTGGAAACGGCCATTCTACTTTCTGTCACTATGAATTTGACTATTCTATTATGTGACAATAATTTTTAAAATTATAACCTAATTATTCTAATATTTAATACAGTTAATGAAGCAAATTACGTCCCTTAAACTATCAGATGAACCCCACATTGGTATATATACAAAGACCTCATGGTGTAAAATCCAAGCCTTGGCCTGGTGGAGACCTGCCTCCATGAGGCAAACACAAAGCCCCTTTATTTGCCCTATTTAGATGAATCCTAAACAGCCTCCCTGGCGTCCTGGGCCCTGCCATATACTCGGTATGTTTCTGATGGTGCAAACTCAGTCGTAAAAACATCTACAGTACTTGCTTTAAAAGTACTCGCTGCTACTTAACTGTAAACAAACTTGTAATTTGGCTGTAAAAACTCATGAGTTGCTGAAAGGGGCTATAATAAAGTCGTAATGATTGCTGGCGAGAACCCTGCCAGAGAGGCTGAGGGTGGTTGGCCGGCTAGGAAGGATGGTATGCGTGATGTAAGCTGCGCCAAGCTTGGGCAGCGGCCATCCAGTACTGCCTTCCAAGAGGTTCATCTTTCTTGTGGTCCTCAATTCCCAAATATATCAAGTGCTGTTGGGTTCATGGCTACTGAGCAGAAGACACAAGGTCAGTTGTCAATCTCAGCCCTACTGGGGATACAGAGGCACCCTTCAAGCCTCTCAGGGCCTTTGAACAATAGCAATCTTTCTTTTTGGTAGGAGGATGTAAGGTAACATTTGGAAATGAAGGCTGGAGAGAATGACAGTTTCCTGCTGCAAACAGGTCCCATTGAAAGCCCAGGGTGCCACCCCTTGCCTTGCGTGTGATGAAAGAACTCGTCTTTCTGCAGGGATTGCTAGAGGGGGGTTTATCTAAGTAAAATGAAGCTTTTGTTGTTGTTGTTCATTCTGAGGTACTGGGAGAATATAACCAAAAGGCAGGCCTTTCAGAGCCAGAAGTGACTTGGCACCAGTAGACCTGTGTGGGGACTTCCAACGACGGCCAAGGAAGTTCTCATATTGGACTTCTGGCTCAACAGACTGGTGTCCTAGCAAAGGCTATGGTCTTACTGAGCCACTGCCCTTCTCTTCTTCTCCCCTGGCCCTCTTCTCCCCCTTTCTGAACTCTGTCCCCATTTACTTTCCATAATTCTCTGTCTAGGCGCTGATGTAAGTGGGGATCCTTGCACTGAGAGCTGTCCCTCAAGTGATACCTGTTCTGCCTGGAGCCCATTTAGAGCTCCCTCTCACCTCCGTCCAGCTGCACAGCCCTTCAGAGGTGGATAGTTTGGCTAGATAGTAACTTGATTACCTGCAAGTGGTGACACGCGCCTATAGTCCCAGCTACTTGGGAGGCTGAGGCAGAAGAATCACTTGAACCCGGGAGGCGGAGGTTGCAGTGAGCCGAGATCGCACCACTGCATTTCAGCCTGGGGACAGAGCAAGACTCCGTCTCAAAAAAAAAAAAAGAAAAGAAAAGAAAAGAAATGAAAGAAAGTAATTTGATTTGGAGTCAGGAGATCTGAACTTGGGGAAATAATTTATCTTTCAAAGCTTGGACCCTCCTCTGTAACAGGAGAGGATTAAATTCATTGCCTATGGTGTTTTCTAGTTTTAACAATTTTGGTTTTTTCAGCTACAGGGTATCTCTTGGAGCCTCTGTTTCTCTGCCTTTTCAGAAAGACGAGGCCAGAGCAGAACTGGATGCAGGAATACTTTTCTTCAGTCAAGGTCCTGGCTTAGACTTACAGAGACAGAGAGAGACATACAAATCCTGAAAATCATGTTGAAAATATGATTTCATTTATATTAAGATTTTAACATTATTAAATGATTCCAAAAGAAATACAAGGAGATGGCTTTATAGATAGGCTGCTCTCATTAATTCTTTGTGGTTTTGGTTTTTTTTTCTCTTTTTTTTTTTTTTGAGATGGAGTCTCACTCTGTCACCCAGGCTGGAGTGCAGTGGCGGGATCTCAGCTCACTGCAACCTCTGCCTCCTGGGTCCAAGTGATTCTCCTGCCTCAGCCTCCTAAGTAGCTGGGATTACAGGTGCATGCCACCAAGCCCGGTTAATTTTTTTGTATTTTCAGTAGAGATGGGGTTTCACCATATTAGCCAGGATGGTCTCAGTCTCCGGACCTCGTGATCCACCTGCCTCAAGCCTCCTAAAGTGCTGGGATTACAGGTGTGAGCCACCACACCCGGCTGGTTTTGATTTTTTTAATTGAAAAATATATTAAACATAAACATATTCTGGCCACATAATGTATGCTTGTTTTTTTGTTTGTGTAGTCACAAGTTTTTCTGTGATGCCTGGATTTGCAGGGAAACCAGCCTGAACACTCATTTCACGGTGTCTGTTACTTGGAAGGAAAACACAGTTTCTTATTTCTTTGCAGAACCACTTGGGTGAATGTAGGCTGTTAAAGTTGAAGGTGAGCTCACGTGCTCGAATTCTGAGCCCATGTGAGGATGTCAGTAACTTCCAGTGGGGCATGAAAACGATACTGTGTTTTAACCCAAGCTCTCTTTGCCTCTCCATTCCCACTTGCCTGGATTTGGCTGGATGTGCACCGCAAGGCTCCTTATTTCTGGCACTACTGTACAAAATGACCAGTGAATCCCTCTTATGTCATGACTCTGATTCTGAGTTCCTGGAATCTTAAAATATATCCAACACCTCTTTTCATGTTTAGCATTTCTGCACTATTTTAAAACTTTTTAAGACCGTAATTCAATTTATCCCCCATGAGAAACCAAATGTATTTGGCACTTCCCTTCATCCTTTGTGCTTACTTCTCAATTCTATTTCTGATTTGTTGCCTGGCATCCTTTGCTTTGGGATCTATGTGCCAAGAAAGCCACAAGGTTAACGTGGACCTGAACAGTGCTCTGTGATCCTCTGTTGGAAATCGCCAGAAATCAAGGCAGTTTGGTAACATCATTCCGTGAGGCCTGAGCTTGCAGAACGCCTTGGGGATGACCTTCTTATTGGATGCACACCAACTGCACTGTCTAGTATACTAAGGTGATGGTTGCTATATAGTGTGTGTTGTGAAGACTCATAAGATTAAAGGTTATTCTCGTGAGATAGATAGGGCCAGGCTCCCGGGAAATTCCCCATAAGTTGAAACAAACAGTAAGGACACATTTGCCTGGCCAAGGAAGTGATCAAAGGATCTTCGTGAGAAAACAGGAGATTTAGGACCAGCCAAGAGAGTCATTGTTTTCTTCGCTGCTAGCCTGGGTCACTTCCTCATTAGTTATGTCCCCAGATATTGGTCACCAAGATCCCTGGGCCACTTTCCCAATCCTTTGTAACCAAGTTCTGCTGAGAGTCCATGTAAGAGCTGTAAGTCAACTGAAATATCTTCTCTACAATGGACTTAAGCTTCTCAAAGCCAAATATAGTATGAATCACAAGATGAAAACCTAAAACAATCAGCTAACAGTTGGGAAACACTACCTCACTCCCCACCACCTACAATATACACACACATACACATCCATCCAAACATTTCTTTCTTTTAAGCTCTAAGTGTCAAATCCCTGGACTGACAATTACATATATTTTCCCTCATTTATCTTATATTTTGAATTGCACGTGCTTTTGAAAACCACCTAAAATCCTTTGGGGAAAAATAACGCATAGGTTAATCACTTTGTAAATGAAAAATAAATGATGTGCCATTCTTCTTCCAAGGTTTTCCCTTTCACTGCAGCCCAGCAGTCCTTACTCTGTCCTAAGTTCCTTTAGCTTCCTTGCGGAAATGCAGCTTCTAGGCTGCCTCGTGGTTTTTGCAGAGCACAGACAGCATCCTGGAAGTATGACGTGCTCTTCACTGGCAAGGACCTTCAGAGTTCCTCAGCCCCTCTCTCACTAGCTATTGACACTCCCCAGCCCAGGCTTGGGCACAGACGATGCGTTTGACAAACAAGTACTATTGTTTGGGCCAGCCAGATCTGTGGAATGAACTTTGGAACTCAAAGGGGACTAAAGATAGTTTTCTTTCACATCTGCTATGCTCCCAAGATAGTTTAAGAGTTGTTGAATGACTATGTGTTTTATGGGCACAATCTCACTTAATCCGCACAACTAGTTCATCCTGTAGACAAGGAAACAAAGGCATAAAGAGGCTTAGTCACCTGTCCAACATGAAGAAACATTGCCGGGAAGTCAGGCAATCAACTTCACAATTCAAAATCTTGGTCATGCAGGAGGAGCCAGAGGGAAAGAAATAGCTGGGCGGTTAGAAATGTGGCTTCAGCAAGACCACGGCGTTTGCTCTGGGCATTGAATGACAAGATGATTTGAAATACGCAGAGAAGCTGGAGGCTGCTTAAGGAAAAGTATGAGCCAAGTTTCCAAATCTGGAAAGCACAGCCGGTCATCGGCTCTTCCCAGAGCCTGGCCAATGCTTCGCTGAGAAGGCCTCGCAGCAGCCCCCGAGGATGAAGGAGGTGGGGGTCCTTGTGCTACTACTGTGACCTCTAGAAGAGAGAGGGCCAGGGCCCACCCACTACCCCCCAGCCCACCGCAGCCAGATCCTGCGAAACTCCAGGCCTGGGCTGCCTTCATCTTTATAATGAAGCTTAATTTATACTCTGGAGCAGAGTGCTGTGTAATGACATACATGGCCATACGCTCGGGAAGGAGTGGCAGGTTAAAGACTCAATTTCCTGGCCTCTCCAGCTTTGCGTCACCCTGCTTAATGATATTTCAACATTGAAAGGTTTGAAGTTTTTTTTCCTCTTTAAATTAAATATACAGTAGGTGTTTTGTGTTTAATTTCCTTAAGAAAAAACTGTGTTGTGGGGGTGATATGGTAAAAACAGCAAAAAAAAAAGTAGGAAAGAGTCCTGGAAGTTTATAAAAACCATATTGTATGCTCAAGAGACGGGAGTTACCTTCTTGGAGCCTTTTTGTTCTCCCGGGAATACTCATAATGCCGTCTTATGAGTTTTGTTTGTTGTTGTATTTTTCGTTGTGCTCTTGCTTTCTGTCTCAGCGTGTGCGTTGCCTCTTGAGTCGCGTGTCTTTTTATATGCTTCACAGAGGTAAATGGCTGACACCATAGCCTGGAGCAAAGAGGCTTTGGCGCAGCCTGCGTTCCATCACGTAATTGCATTCACAGGGCGTATTTATAGCCACCGAGGTGCCAAAATGGGAGGCGGAGGGGTAAATAAAGGGCCTTGCCTTAAGGAAGGTTGCTCACTGAGTCAGATACGCAGAGAACCTCTGCCAGTCAGGGTTGGTGAGGAGGGAGGGAAGGAGGGCGGGCGGCCAGAGATGCCAGTCTGTTCTCAGAAAGGTCAAGAGCTGTGCACAGCACAAGTTAAGGGAGCAAAGCGAGAGGAAGAGCAGCAGGGCACTCTCTCACTCCTTCCCTCCTATCAGAGGTTCTCCCACTGGGACCCTCAGAGCTCTGGGGGGTTCTACAAGAGTGGCTTGGAGGCCACAGTTGGGGAAGAAGGAATAACAATGCCTAAGAGCCGGACGTGGCTGTAGACCCCCCTCCCCAGCCCCAAGGAGAGCCACTGCCCTTTCACTTAAATGTGGCAGTTCCAAGTGACATTTTGTTTGAGGAACAGCTTCTTCATGTACCTAGGAAGTTTTGACTGTCCCTGATCTAGGAACTATTCACTTTGATCACATGAATCACCTAATGGCCCCCAAAAGCCTCACCGAGTATTGTTCTCTGCCACCTCCACCCCATTTTGTGTCCAGAATTGGTAGGCTTTCGGTCTCGCTGACTTCCAGAATGAAGCCGCGTACCCTCGTGGTAAGTGTTCATTTTTTTTTTTTAGACGGAGTCTCGCGGCGCGATCTCTGCTCACTGCAAGGTCCGCCTCCACGGTTCACGCCATTCTCCTACCTCAGCTTCCCCCGTAGCTAGGACTACAAGCGCCCACCACCTCGCCCAAAATAATTTTTTGTATTTTTAGTAGATCTGGGGTTTCACTGTGTTAGCGAGGATGGTCTCGATCTCCTGACCTCGTGATCCACCCCCCCCCCCCCCCCCGACCTCCCGGAGTGCTGGGATTACAGGCGTGAGCCCCAATGCCCTGCCGAGTGTTACAGTTCTTAAAGATGATGTGTCCGGAGTTTCTTCCTTCTGGTGGGTTCGTGCTCTTGCTGACTTCAGGAGCGAAGCCGCAGACCTTCGCGGTGAGTCTTACGGCTCTTAAACGCAGCAAAGCAGCATGTCTGGAGTTGTTTGTTCCTTCTGGTGGGTTTGTGGTATCTCTGAACTCACGAGTGAAAGCTGGAAACCTTTGCAGTGAGTGTTATAGTTCATAAAAGTGGCACGTCCAGAGTTGTTCAGTCCTCCCGACTTAAGTTCATCACTACTGGTGAGCTGGTGGTCTTGCTGGCTTCACGAGTGAAGCTGCAGACCTTCTGGGTGAGTGTTACAGCTCATAAAGACAGCGTGGACCCAAGGAATAAGCAGCATCAAGATTTATCTGAAAAGCGAAAGAACACACCTTTCACACCGGAAGGGAACCTGAGCGGGTGGCCACTGTTGGCGCAGGTGGCCTGCTTTTATTCTCTTATCTGGCCCCATCCACATCCCGCTGATTGGTTCATTTTACAGAGAGCTGATTGGTCCATTTTACAGAGAGCTGATTGGTCTGTTTTACAGAGTGCTGATTGGTCCGTTTTGACAGAGAGCTGATTGGTGCGTTTACAAACCTTTAGCTAGACAGAGTGCTGATTGGTGTGTTTACAATCCTTTAGCTAGACACAAAGGTTCTCCAAGTCCCCACTCAACCCAGAAGCCCAGCTGGCTTCACCTCTCATTTGCTGTCTTTGGAAGTCCTTCAAGCTCAGTTGGAGCCACCATCCCCCACTGAAGGCTCTTGGGGGCCCACTGCAACGGCCACACAATGGGATCTCTCTGCTTCTGAGTGTAACACAACTCACTCTTCCCAGCCACCAGAGTGTCACTCTACAACATAACTTGGATCCTATCCCTGAATGGTTAAAGCCCTTCTGTGGCTTCCTCACGTGCTGGAAGGTAAACCCCAAATATACCAAATGTGTGTGTGTGTGTGTGTGTGTGTGTGTGTGTGTGTCCAGCTTTATTGAGGTATAATTGACAAAAATTGTATATATTTAAAGTGTGCAACATGATTTCTTAATGAAATATCAGTAGTTTAATTCTATTTTTGTTTCCTGTGCTTTTGGGGTCATATCCAAAAAAGTCTTTGCCCAATGTCAAGAAGCTTTTCCCCTATATTTTATTCAGTAGTTTCACAGTTCCAGCACTTACATTTAAATCTTTAATTCATTTTGAGTTGATTTTTGTATGTGGTGTGGGATAAGGGTTCAGTTTCATTCTTCTACATGTGGATATCCAGTTTTTCCAAAACCATTTATTGAAGAGACTATCTTTTCCCCGTTGTGTGTTCTTGGCACCTTTGCCAAAAATCAAATGACCATAAAGGTGTGGATTTATTCTGGGCTCTCTAGTCTGTTCCACTGGTTTATATGTCTGTTTTTACACAGTGCTGTACTGTTTTGATTACAGTAGCTTTGTAGTGTATCTTGAAATCAGGTTATGTGATACCTCCAGCTTTGTTCTTTTTGTTCGAGATTGCTTTGACTATTTGAGGACTTTTGCGGTTTCATATAGATTTTAGGATTGTTTTTTCTATTTCTGTGGAAAATGACATTGGAATTTTCATTGGGATTGCGTTAAATCTATAGATTGCTTTAGGTAGTGTATTAGTCCATTCTCACACTGCTAATAAAGACATACCTGAGACTGGGTAATTTATAAAGGAAAGAGATTTAATTAACTCACAGTTCCATGGGGCTGGGGAGGCCTCAGGAAACTTACAATCATGGTGGAAGGGGAAGCAAATACAACCTTCTTCACATAGTGGCAACAAGGAGAAGTGCCGAGCAAAAGGGGAAAAGCCCTTTATAAAACCATCAGATCTCATGAGAACTCACTCACTATCATGAGAACAGCAGCATGGGGGGTAACCGCCCCCATGAATCAATTATCTCCCATTGGTTCCCTCCCACAACACGTGGGGATTGTGGGAACTGCAATTCAAGATGAGATTTGGGTGGGGACACAGCCAAACCATATCAGGTAGTATGACTATTTTACCAATATTAATTCTTTCAGTGCATAAACATTGGATATCTTTGCATCAATTTCTTTCATCAATGTTTTGTACTTTCAGTGTATAGATGTTTCACTTCCTTGGTTAAATTTATTCTTAAGGTTTTTTAAATTTTTAATGCTGTCATAAATGGGATTGTTTTCTTATTTTTTTTCAAATAGGTAATTGTTAGTGTACAGAAATACAACTTATTTTTGCATATCAAATGTACCCTGAAACTTTACTAAATTTGTTTATTTGTTTGAATCAGATTTTTTGGTGGAATCTTTAGAATTTTTCTGTATATAAATCATGTCACTTGCAAACAATTTTACTTCTTTCTTCCAAATTTGGATCCCTGTAATTTTTTAAAAATCTAATTGCTCTGGCTAGGGCTTCTAGTACTATATTAAATACAAGAGACAAGAGTAGACAGCTATATCTCAATTCCAATCCTAGGGGAAAAGTTTTCAGCTTTTGGCCATTAAAAATGATATTAGCTGTTAGATTATCATATGTGGTTTTTATTATGTTGAGGCCCACAGTACCATACTGTGTTGATTACAATAGCTTTGTACTGTATCTTGAAATCAGATTGTGTGATGCCTCCAGTTTTGTCCTTTTTGTTCAAGATTGTTTTTACTATTTGAGGACTTTGTGGTTTTGTACACATTTTCAGATTGCTTTTTGTATTTCGATTTTCTTTTATGTCTAATGTGTTGAGGTTTTTTATTATAAAAAGATGTTGAAATTTTTTCAAATTTTTTTTCTGTGTCTGTTCAGATAATCAATAATTTTTTATTTCATTCTGTTAATATGGTGTATCACATTTACCTATTTGCATATGTTGAACTATCCTTGCATCCCACGGATAAATCCCACTTGATCATAGTTTGTGATTCTTTTTTCAATTTTTTGTTTAGGTTCAGGGTACATGTGCAGGTTTGTTATTAATATATAGTTAAATTGCATGTCATTGGGGTTTGGTGTACAGATTATTTTGTCACTCAGTAATAAACATAGTACCCAATAGGTATTTTTTTCTGATCCTCTCCCTCCTCCCACCCTCCACCCTCAAGTAGGCCCCAATGTCTATTTTCCCTCCTTGGTGTCCATGTGCTCTTATTGTTGAGCTCCTACTTATAAGTGAGCACATGTGGTATTTGATTTTCTGTTCCTGTGTTAGTTTGCTTAGGATAATGGCCTCCAGCTCCATCTATGTTGCTGCAAAGGTCATGCATAATTTCATTCTTTTTTATGGCTACATAGTATTCCATGATGAATATGTACATTTTCTTCATCCACTCTACTACTGATGGGCATCTAGGTTGATTTAATGTCTTTTCTATTGTGAATAGTGCTGCAATGAACATACACATTTATGTGTATTTATGGTAGAACGATTTATATTCTTTTGGTTATATACTCAATAATGGGATTGCTGGTTCAAATAGTAGTTCTATTTTAAGTTCCTTGAGGAGTTGACACATTGCTTTCTACGTGGCCGAACTAATTTATATTCCCACCAGCAGTGTATAAGTGTTCCCTCTTCTCTGAAACCTCACCAGCATCTGTTATTTTCTGACTTTTTTAATAATAGCCATTCTGACTGGTGTGAGATGGTATCTCAATGTAGTTTTGATTTGCATTTCTCTAATGAATAGTGATGCTGAGTATTTTTTCAGATGCTTGTTGGTCACATGTATATCTTCTTTTGAAAAGTGTCTGTTCATGTCCTTTGTCCACTTTTTAATGAGGTTGTTTTTTGCTTGTTGATTTCAGATCCTTATAGATTCTGGATATAAGACCTTTGTTGGATTCATAGTTTGCATATATTTTCTCCCATTCTGTAGGTTGTCTGTTTACTCTGTTGATAATTTCTTTTTCTGTGCAGAAGTTCTTCAGTTTAACTAGATCCCATTTGTCAATTTTTGTTTTTGTTGCAATTGCTTTTGGCATCTTCATCATGAAATGTTTGCCAGGTCCTATGTCCAGAATGGTATTTCCTAGGTTTTCTTTCAGGATTTTTGTAGTTTTAAGTTTTGCATTTACTTCTTTAGTTCATCTTGAGTTGAATTTTGGGGTCCATTTTCAATCTTCTGCATATGGCTAGCCAGTTATGACAGCACCATTTTTTTCTGAATAGGGATCCCTTTCTCCCAATGCTTATTTTTGTCAGCTTTGCTGAAGATTGGATGGCTGTACATGTGCAGGATTATTTCTGGACTCTATTCTGTTCCACTGGTCTATGTGCCTGTTTTTGTATCAGTACCATGCTGTTTTGGTTACTGTAAACTTAACCTTGTAGTATAGCTTTTTTTTTTTTCTTCTTAAGACAGAGTCTCACTCTGTTGCCCAGGCTGGAGTGCAGTGGCATGATCTCGGCTCACTCTGCCTCCCAGGTATAAGTGAGTCTCATGTCTCATTCTCCCAAGTAGCTGCAATTACAGGTGCCTGCCACCATGTGCAGCTAATTTTTGTATTTTTAGCAGAGATGGGGTTTTGCCATGTTTGCCAGGTTGGTTTCAAACTCCTGACCTCAGATGATCTGCCCACCTTGGCCTCCCAAAGTGCTGGGATTACAGGTGTAAGCCACCATGCCCAGCCTCTTGTAGTATAGTTTGAAGTCAAGTAAATTAATGTGGCCAGGTTTGTTCTTTTTGCCTAGGATTGCCTTGGCTATTCAGGCTCTTTTGTGGTTCCATATGAATTTCAAAACAGGTTTTTTTACTGATTCTGTGAATATTTTTTTAAAAATTCTTTATTTATTGATTATTCTTTGACCCATTGGTTGTTCACTAGCATGCTCTTTAATATCCATATATTGGTTAATTTACCAATATTCCTCATGATATTGTTTTCTATTAATAGTTTGATACAATCGTGGTCAGAAAAGATACTTGGAATGGTTTTAGTCTTCTTGAATTTGTTAAGACTTGTTTCATGGCCTACCTTATCCTTTGATTTATCCAGAAGAATGTTCCATGTGCATTTGAAAAGAATATGTATTCTGCTCCTGATAGATGGAATATTCTTTTTATATCTGTTTGATCCATTTGATCTATAACATTTGAACAGTATTGTTCAAATCCACTGTTTCCTTACTGGTTTTCTCTCCAGATAATCTATTCATTGTTGAGAGTGGGGTATTGAAGTCCCCTACTGTTATTGTATAAATGTCTATTTCTTTTTCTGTTACTATTAGCTTTATATATTTAGGGACCCTGATGTTGGGTGCATATATATTTATAATTGTTATGTCTTCTTGATGAATTGACCTTTTTATCATTATATAGCGACCTTCTTTGTCTTTTGGGACAGTTTTGACTTTAAGTCTATTTTGTCAGATATAAATATATATAAATATAACCACTCCTGCTCCCTTTTGGTTACTATTTGCACAAAATATCTTTTTCTATTCTTTCTCTTTCCACCTGTGTGCCTCCTTAAAGCTAAAATGAGTTTCTTGTAGACAGCATATAGTTAGATCTTGTTTCTCAAAATCTATTCAGCCATTCTGTCAAGTTACATTTAAAAGTAATTACCAGGTCTGGGAACAGTGGCTCATGACTGTAATCCCAGCACTTTGTGAGGTCACGATGAGAGGATCATTTGAGGCCAGGAGTTTGAGAGCAACCTGGGCAACACACCAAGACCCTAGTTCCACAAAAGAAAATTTTTTTAATTAGTCAAGTGTGGTGGTGCACACCTGCTGTCTTAGCTACTTGAGAGGCTGAGGAGGGAGGATTGCTTGAACCCAGGAGTTTGAGGCTGCAGTGAGCTATGATCACAGCATTGCACTACAGCCTGGGTGACAAAGCAAGACCCTCTCTCTAAAAAAAACTTTAATTTTAATTAAACAAGAAGTAATTACTGAAGGTAAGAACTTAATGTTGACATTTTGTTTATTGTTTTCTGATAGTATTATAGTTCCTTTATTCATTTTTCCCTCTTTCTGTCTTCTTTTGTGATTTGATAAATGTTCATGGTAGTATGATTTGATTTCTGTCTCTTTATCTTTTGTGTATGTACTATAGGTCTTTGTTTTATTTTGTGGTTATCGTGAGGCTTACATTAAACATCTTATAGCTATAAAAGCCAATTTTAAGCTGATAATAACTTAATTATGACCACATATAAAAACTCTACACTTTAACTTCTCCTCCCTCCACACTTTGCTATTGATGTCAAAATTTACGCCTTTTATATATTGTGTATCCATTAACAAATTATTGTAGCTATAGTTATTATTAATACATTTATCTTTTAACTTTATACTGGAGTTAAAAGTGACTTATTCACCACTTCTACAGTGTTATTCTGAGTCTGACTATATTTTTATCCTTATGGTGAATTTTATATATTCTTTTTTTTTTGTTGAGACAGAGTCTTGCTCTGTCACCAGGCTGGAGTGCAGTGGCATGATCTCGGCTCACCACAATCTCTGCCTCCTGGGTTCAAGTGATTCTCCTGCCTCAGCCTCCCGAGTAGCTGGGATTACAGGTGTGCACCACCACACCCAGCTGATTTTTGTATTTTTAGTAGAGACAGCCTTTCACCTTGTTAGCCAGGATGGTCTCAATCTTCTGACCTCATGATCTGCCTGCCTCGGCCTCCCAAAGTGCTGGGATTATAGGTGAGAGCCACCTCACTTGGACTAATTTTATATTTTCATATGTTTTCAGCTTGTTAGCATAATTTTTTTCAACTCAAACTCTCTTTAGTATTTCTTGTAAAGTAGGTCTAGTGGTAATGAACTCCCTCAGCTTTTGTTTGTCTGCGAAAGTCTTTGTCTCCCCTTAATTTTTGAAGAATGGCTTTGCTGGGTATAATATTCCTGATTGGCAGTTTTTGTTCTTTTTTTCTTTCAGTACTTTATATATCATCTCACTTTCTCCTGGCTTGCAAGGTTTCTGCTGAGAAATATGTAGATAGTCTGAAGAGGATTCCCTTTTATGTGATAAGTTGCTTCTCTTGTGCTGCTTTGATAATTTTCTCTTTGACTCTGACTTTTGGGAATTTAATTATAATGTGTCTCAGTGAAGATCTCCTTACGTTTAACCTATTTGGGGTTCTTTGGACTTAGTAGATCTGGATATTTATTTCCCATTCCAGGTGTGAGAAGTTTTCTGTTATTAATTTTTAAAATATGCTTTCTGTTCCATTCTCTTTCTCTGCTCCATTAGAACTCCCATAATGCTTATATTGGGTTCCCTTGATTGTGTGTCGTAAGTTCCATAGACTTTCTTGACTCCTTTCTTTTTTTTTCCTCTACTTGGGAAATCCCAAATGACCTGTCTTTGAGCTTGCTAATGCTCCCTTTTGCTTGATTTAGTCTGTTGTTGAGCTCTTTATGAAATTTTTCAGTCTAAACATTATGCTCTTAAATTCTAGAAATTTTTTGTTCTTTTTTATGGGTTGTCTCTCTTTGTTGAATTTCTAATTATGTTCTGTATTGTTTTCTTAGTTTTGTTTGGTTTTCCATCAGTATTCATTTGTATCTCACTGAACTTCTTTAAGACAATTAGTTTGAATCCTTTGTCAAGAGGTTCATAGATATCCATTTCTTTAGATTACTGGTACTTCATTTTGTTCCTTTGTTGGTGTTATGTTTTTCTGATTATTGATGTTTCTTGTGGCTATGCATCTGAAGAAGTAAGTGCCTCCTCCAGTCTTTACAGACCATCTTCACCAGGGAAAGCCTTTTACCAGTCAGCCCATGCAGAGGTTCTGGGTAGGCTAACTGGTGGGGCTTGTGGGCAGGCTTGCTGTTGGAGTCTTCAGGCAGGATGGCCTGATGCCTGAGTCAGCAGGTGAGCAGGCCTGGAGCTTGAGCCCAAAGGGGCTGGCCTGGTACTAGGGTCCACTGGGCTGAGCCTGATGACTGAGTCCTCAGATGGGGCAGAAGCCTGGGTCCATGGGGGTGAGCCAAGAGCATGGGACAGGGAAGCGGCCTGGACATGGGGGCATACCTAGAGCCTGGGTCCACAAGGGTGAAAGCCCAAATATTAATATATTTATATTATTATAAATATATTAATATTTATATATTAATATTTATATTATATAACATAAATATTTAATTTATATTATATAATATAAATATTTAATTTATATTATATAATATAAATATATAATATAAATATTTAATTATATAATATAAATATAAATATATAATATAAATATTTATATAATAAATAATATAAATTCAAAAACTCAGCAGCTTACACACTCTTAGGCTTACCTCTCAGTTGCTCACCTGTCTCCTCATTATGCCCCATATGGCAACCCACACAGAACTTTTATTCATTCAATGATTGAATCAGTGCTCATTGAACAACTACTATATGTCAGATATGCTGTCACTGCTAAGTGAACGATGCAATATGACTGACCTCATGGAGCTTGCATTCTACAGGACAAAGGCAGAAATAAACACAAATACCCAAATAACATGGTTGTCAGGTATCACGTTGAAAACAAGGGGGTAAAAGGGTAGAATCTGAGTTGTGGGACTATTTTATATAGTGCATGAGACTTAGTCTTTGAACTTAGACTTTGAACTCAGGAAAGTGGTAACAGGGATAGTCTTTTCCTGGGATTTTGCTTGTAAAAGGTCCAGTGGAATAGAACCGTGAGAACTGTTGTCAGTAGGTAATAAACTACTTGACCTATATTAATAAGTCAAAGGAAGTTTGAAGGGAGTTTCTTAGGCAAGAGATTGGTGATGAGATAATTTGTTATGTGTCCACATGGGATTCCACAGAAAGAGATCTCAGCCTGGGGCATAAGAATCTACTCTCAAGCCCTCAAGGTAGTGAATTATGGGGGTCTGAGCATGTGTTCTGTTTCTGATTCTGAAGACAGCTAAGGCTCATGATCAGGCCCTTAAAAAGGCCCCTGGGAACTACTTTTGATGGCATTTCGGTGCTTGGGATAAGGCATAACCTTTCCAAGATCCTGTCTCAAAGCCCATGCCAAAGTTAACAGTACTCTGAGACACTCTCTCCTCCCAGCAAGGTGGATCCACAGAACACATAACCCTCAAGGATTGCCACTAGCAGTCCTCCCAGGGAACACTTCAGACCATGTGTTTCAAGACCAAGTCCAGCTAAAAGCCACAGACTGATCCCCCGTACTTTCCAGATGTCCCTTGAGAGCCATGACAGCCAGCTGGCTGGCCTACCCACCAGGGTCCACGCTTTTACCAGCTGTGATCCACCACTGCCTGCCCAGCCCATCGATGTACTTCAAGGCACAGCTTAACTCCTGGACCAGCCTTCTTCCTACCACCCTCCTGCCCCATTCATCACAGTCAAGCTCCGGCGCATTTTCATTTTCTTGCCACTTTTGTGCCAAAAGAAAATCAGTCAAAGAAAACACAATCCATGCAGCAGTATCAGGCCACAGGCTTTTTGTCTCAGCCTAACTGACAGCTAAGGGAGGAGAGCAGCAGAGCCAGCCTAGCTGAGCAGCAGCCATGGCTCTGGTTCCAGAAACAGAAGTGGACACTGCCACACCCAGGTGCATCTGAGTCCCCTTCCAATGCATACTCGGGAGTAGGTGACCTGGGCTCTTCTCAGACTTCCTACTTGACACCTCCCTTCCACCTGTAATCCTTTGGCCCTGACTGATGCAGTGAGCAGTACCTATCTGTGGTCTGCCATAAATCCTCCCAAGTGCAGGTGCACCCAACCCATGCCTGTAGTCCCTGCTTGGGTGTTCCAGTTTACCACACCCAAAGTGCACCTTGCCTTATTATGTGACATGGTTATTTTTTTTAAACCTATGAATGTGCCTTAAAGCACAAGGCTTAGAATGTCATTAATTTTTGCTTCCTATGCAAATCAAGCTTATTTTAATTTTTCAAACACACTGCTGGAAAACCTGATCTTGGGTTTATCTCTACCTCTACCTTTCTTCTTTTTTTTTTTTTTGGATGGAGTCTCACTCTGTCGCCACACTGGAGTGCAGTGGCATGATCTCGGCTCACTGCAACTTTCGCTTCCCGGGTTCAAGTGATTCTTCTGCCTCGGCCTCCCTATCTCTACCTTTTGTGGTAGAAAAAGTACCTTTCTTTCTACTTCATGGAGAAGCATTTGCATATATTCCCAGAGTTTTCCAAGTCCATGTTGGAAGCAGAGTAGGAGAGGAAGCCTGCTGTAGGAGAAGTGACATAGATTTAGGAGTGAGATGCCCCAGGTTTCAGTCGAACATGAGTTCCTCTCGGTCTGTGTAGCCACTTTATTCTCTGACATTCAATATTTTATCTGCAAAATGAGGGCATGGATGCCTATGGAGCATAGGGTAGTAGAAAATGCATTGGCTTTGGAGTCAGATGTACCTTGTTTTCAACCCCAGCTCTGCCACTTCAGAGATAAAATAAAGATGCTGCATGTAGAATGCTTAGTGCCACACCTGCCATAGTGAGCCCTTTAGTGGCACCTGACCCTGCTGAGCCCTCCCTTGTTTGAAAGCACTCTCCAACCCCCACTTTCCGGTACCACATTCCCCTGCTTTTCATTCAAATTTATTGGGCACTTCTTTTCAGTGTCTTTACTGGCTCTGCCTTCTCCTCCCAAACACAAAATTTTGGAGTTGCTTGGAGGTTAGTTCCAGAGCCCTGTCTTTTTCCTCTCTTTCAGGAAGCTCAGCCCTCCCACCTTTGTCTCTCTAGTCCAGACAACTCCCAGGGCATTGAAAGGTCTTGGATAAACATATGCCTACCTAAGGACCTATTTGAACTTCTCAAAATCAGAACTCTTGTGTCTTCCAGCCAAAGCACCTTCTCACCCCTGTGTATTCTGTCTCAGTCAATACTACCACTGTTGGCCTGGTTGCTGAATCCAGAAACTTAGGAGACTTTCTTGACTCCAACCTCTCTGTCTTCACTACTTTTCTAATCCATTATTGAGCTCTGTGATTCTATGTTAAAAAGACATTTTGAATCTATACTTGTCTCCATGACTCCTTCCACTACCCTTGTAGCAATGAAGGTCATCACAACCTCTTGCTCTTACTACTACAGTAGTTTCCTAACTGGTTTCCAGCTTCCAGACCTTTTCCTACCCAACACAGTCTCCAAATATGTATGGTCTTTCTGACTCATAAGTATGTCATATCACTCAGCTGCTTAAATTCCCCTTGGTAACTTCCCATTTTATTTAGAAATATTAATAAATTCAGACTATCCTTCAGGACTTAGAATGTTCTTTATCATCTGGCCTCTGCTTCAATCTTCAACTTCACTACATGCCACTCTTCCAGCCACTGGTTATACTGGTCCTCTTTTCCACCTTGAGGTCCTCAAAGGTTCTATTCCATGGGCTTAGGACTCCCTGCCATTTCTGGTGTACAGGACCTTTATCTAATATTGGACTCAGGTATAGGTCCAAGGGAAACGGAAGTAGGAGATCCCATGGATTTATAATTGTTCCTACTCTCTCAAGCTACATGTTTGACCAAGAGTCAAGTTCCTGAAGTGGTTATTTTCCCTGGCAGTACCCTGATTTCTCATATAAATAGACTTTTCTGGGCCTGTCCTTCCAATAGTTCGGACCTGTCAGTAGGTCTGAATTACAGGGGTAGAAATAATCCTAAAGCATATGCTGGGATGCTTACTGCATACCAACATGGGTATCTCCAAATTATCTTGCCTGTTGGAGTTAATAATTCTGGGAGTTGGCTAGTTAGCAGGCCTAGGAGAATGACCACTATGGAGGCATCGCATTCTGGAAGAACTTCTTAGTGTATTAGTCAAGCCATCCAATATTTTGGCCCAGCTTATTTCTTCATTCACTATTCTACCCACACACATGCATCTTGCTATCCACACACAATTCATTGCTTGATGAATTTACCTTTCACAGCTCTGTTTTCATTCTCTACCTGTAATACTTATTTAGCCACTGTGGAAGCCACACTCTCCTTCAAGTCCCAATCTGAATGTCAACTCATGAATACCCTGAATCTAAGTGTTCATCCCCACAGTAGCTTAGTGTTGTCTTCTTGGAGCTCCAAGTGATGGTGCTTATTTCCCGCTAGTGGCCCCTGCCACATCCTACCATGGTACATCAGGCACCATGCTGTGCATTTTATGTCTTATCTAACATAGTACCTACGAGATAGGGTACCATCAATAGCCCCAGTATACCCATGAGGAAAATGAAGCCTAGAAAATAAAGTGGCATGTCCACATTCTTAATTCAAACCCAATCTGTTCTACTCTATCATGCATTGTTTTAGCCATTGCACTATTTTGCCTCATTTCAAAGCATGACTCTCCATATTCCTTGAGGCTCATGTTTATATATACTAGGCCTCCACATTATATGAAACACTGACACTTTCCAGGCCACACACTGTTAATAGAGTGGTTTCCTATTCTGCTTCTGTAAAGTCTCTTAAAAGTCGGGGGAAAGGTAAAGAAAGGTCCATCCACAACAGCATTAACTATCTGTTATAATGAGAAAAAGTTGAGAAATTGATATCTAAATGTTTCCAACACCAACATTAGCTTAAATTCTCATCCCCACCCTTGGCCTAGGAGGGTCATACCAAGACAAGTCAGATTGCCCTTTGGAGCCCATTCATTAGAGAAGGGAAGTGTTTTATGTGGCCTCAGCTTGGGATGAAATAATGATTGCCTTTCCTCCCAGCAGGTCTCACCCCATCTCAGGAAGACGTCAGGGGTCATCAAAAGGACAAACTCTGGGTTGATGAGTCATTCTGGGAGAAGGCCAATCATAGGATGGAGGTGGGCTCCAGGGACTGGTGAAAGGAAATGGTACCTTTTCCTTTAAGAACTGAGGTTGAATTTAACGTCAGTCTGATGGCATGAAAAACCACCTGGGCTGTCTGGCTGGGGATCCAGGAAAGGGAACAAGGGTCCCCAAAGAGGAAGACTTATAGACTAGTTTCTGCCATGGCCCTTGGGAAATCTTTGCTGCCAAGTCTCAGGATCACAGGTGAGGCAGGTGTCAGAAATATAGGCCCGTTTTATTTTTTCCATTTGTAAATCTGGCTCCATTAAAAGAAGGAAGAAGTGGTGGGAAAAGTATACTTTTGAGGAGGCAGTAGAGCGGTGAGGCCAACAAACTCTGGTTTCTCTCCAAGCCAGTACATCTGCTGTGGTGCCCTTGGAGGACCGTTGAATCATACGGTGAAAACGCTGGAGCCTGCAAGTATTACAGCCTTTTCTGCTTCTACTGCCGTTACCACCATCCTCAACACCAATACCATAACCTCGGCCACTATTCCAACTACCACTACTATCACTAGCCACTCTTTAGTGTCATTGAATTATTTGGCAGGTACCATTATAGGTGATCTGATGTTTATTTTTCATTAATGCATATAACAGGAATTATTATCTTTAATAATGAGGAAACCAAGGTTTAGAG
Organism: Homo sapiens; assembly: GCF_000001405.40. Lineage (NCBI taxonomy): Eukaryota > Metazoa > Chordata > Mammalia > Primates > Hominidae > Homo > Homo sapiens. The sequence goes on along the minus strand of NC_000007.14, from coordinate 40,884,983 downwards.
AGGCCAGGCAAGCTGACCAAGGCATACTTCTAAGTGGCAGAGCTCTTACCCAAGTACATCTGACACCAAGGCTCTGCTCTTAACCACTATGACAGATGAAAGATTCCCTTTGGGGCAGAGAAGAAGAGTTCAGATTAACAAACCACAAACTGTAAAGTAACGATAAGTCCTACTCCACATCTCTCATCCCCAACTACTCTCCTGCTCATTCATACTTTGTGACTCCATTGCACTCTTTAGAATAACCAGTCTCTCTCCTCCTTTGGGGCTATCACTCCCTTGCCTGTTTCTACCAAGCAAGAGGTGATTGTCATGTTTCTTCTAAATTGCTATAGCCATTCTTGCCTTCTCAGCAGGTCATTGTGACCTCTGCTTGAAAAATGCGGGAAAAAATTCAGGAAAAACTCTCATCCCTTAATATCAATCACTGCGGAACAGGCGGGCCAAATATTAACATGTGAGGATTTAGCCAAGCAAGGAGCATCTCCAGCCTCATCATAATGGCATCCAGAGAGCCCACAGCACCCCACTGAGTTCAGGGAAACTCAGTCATAAAGGGACATCCCATCTCTCCAGGGATCCAAAACCATTTGTTCCCTCACCAGAGGGTTATGAGCAAAGGAAACATATTTGAGTCTGGAAGCCTGAACATGTTTTTCAATCATGAGCAAAGCATTAATGTTGATACAAATCTGGACAGGGAGACAGTCTGCTGAAGGTTCCTGAAGTCTTTTCTCCACTATGCCAGCAGCTGAGGAGAGAATCAGCCAGGTAGCAGTTTCCTATTGCTGGCTTGGAAAGTTTTCCAGTGGACTCTTCAAGCATAAATATATTGGAATGAGTCTGATCCCAGGAAAAGAACCAAATGTCAGGAAAGTGGAACATAAATCTTGCCTAGGGTGGAGATTCCTTGACAGTAAGATTTTTTTTTCACTAGTGATACAAGAGAGAATGTGAAAGTTCAGCCTGATTTTGTGAGCTATGATCATAGTATTTCTCTTTCTGGAAGAAACTTGGCATTGCCTCCAGAGTGTTTCTGTGATTTAAGCTTATGGAAACTGAATTTACTGGAGACTCTGTCTGTGGTTGCATATCCTGCTCCCACAGTGGGGATCCAGTTCAGTGGGATATGCCCTGAAGTAGGTAGACCAGGATTGACTGATGTTTTGGGACTGAGATAGGGATAAATCAATCCACTGCTTATACTTATAGTAAAACACATGGGAAGTTAAGCATGTTTACGTTACAAAATTCATACATTAAAACAGGTAAAGTACATCCTGGAAAGTCCCACCCTTAACTTCTAGAAGGCCAATTTAACACTATTTACAACAATTATAGCAGCCAACATTTAACAAGGCCTTATTCTGTAGTAAGCATTTTGCATGTATTGTGTCACTCAGTCATCCTGACAATTCTGTGAGATAAATAGCTATATTATGCCTATAGGTAAAACTGACACAGAGAGGATCAGAAACTTTTCTAAGTTCATACAGAATATGGGTCAGAGTAAAGATCTGACCTTAGGGTGTTAAACTCCAAGGCCCATGCTGTTAATTTCTATGTAATGCAAACTAAGGATCAAATAAAAGAAACTCGAAGAGTCCCAATTTAATTGTTGTTCTCCATTCTCTAACCCTTGAGATTCTCAAGGTCGCACATGAAGGTAGACTGTAGGAATAAAGAACAGCTGAGTTACTGGGGCCAAGGTCCCAAATCACCAGAGGCAAGCTGTTTTTTATTCCAAATATGCAAGGGAAAGGTCTTCACCTCTTGCAGTTCATGAGCTGGACAGATACCTAATTAAGAAGCCTGTACTGTTAAGAAGAAAGCATGGTGAGTTCTGATGAACTGACCACACAAACTTAAGTTGGGAACACCAAGTTCTCATTGCCTTGGTTTAATCTCATGCTTTCAGTTAGGCAGGACAACTAAACCAAAGTGTTGTCAGAGCCAAGGACTAAGGCAGCAAAAGAGTCCTAGGAAGAAGGAGGAGAAAGCAGGCTGATCCACATATACTAGAAGCATAGAAAGGTTTTCAAAGCTAAACGAAGGAACAGATGGAGATGGGCTCAAGTTTTTGAGCTTCCAAACAATATGGAATAATTCTGAGAAATAACCAAGGATGAATTGTTGCTCCTAGAATAAAAAAAATATGAATCCAGTTTTACCTGATAAAACACCAATTCTGATGAACTTTTTATCTCTTCTTGACTTCAAACTTGAACCAGGAAATTAATAACATATTCATTACTTTGTTTCATTGTTTTTTCTCATCAATTACATTTATGCAATTTCAGGAAGGCCAATGTTCACCTGTAACATCTTTATTAGTTTTACCTTTAACCTGAATTCAATGGGTAGCAGACTTCACATGCAATTAGTGTGAGCCTTAATCAAAGAGCTTTATTGTGTGTTCTAACAGGAAGCATATCTATAGTCCTCTTCTGTTAATGACAGTGGGGATCTTGAGAACACACACAGACACACACAGCCTTGATGTGTGCTACCAATAAGATACATTCTACAGGGACCATTGAGTATTGCCTTCCATAGGAGAAAAGAGGATAAAATTTTATAGCAGGAAGTAGCTAAGATGATCCTCTTTATAACCTGACCATAAAGAAATCCAACCAGTGGATGATAGACACCAGAGCTCCATGCTCCACAGAACAACTGGGTCATTTTGACTGCTTCTGAATAGAAGTAAACAGAGCTTTATGTAAAATTGTTTATACTGGCCAGGCTTCAAGAACTTCAACTTTAGTGTTGGATATTTCAAAACCTTCATAAATTAATGGATTTTTCCTCCATAATTTGCAGCCCAGTGGATCATCTTCTGATGCCTGGAGAGCAATGGGAGGCATTCCTGTGTGTGGCAGATCTGGTCAGTTGCTCTCATCTATAACAAGGACATTTCATAACTTCCAATACTTTGTCTAAAAGGAAACTAGAAGCAAACAAAGGTGTGAGAAAAGGGACCTTTCTCAGAGACTTAGACCAATATTAGAGCCAATGTTGATTTCCTTAGCAAACCAAATGACCCTCTTCGTGATGGTTTTCACATGTGCATTTTTACTACCCTAGTCCTTAATGTTACTTTAGATTATGCCTTTTTCCAGGGCTTACCCTTTAGCTTGTCAAGCTCCTCCTTCGGCTTTCCCTGGGGTGGGAGCGAGAGCTTCAGAATAAACACAGTTCTTCTATCAACAGGACTTCATCTTGACTCTCTCCAGAACCACACTGTGTGGTAGAAGCCAGTGTCAACTTCCACATGGTGAAGGATGCCACTGTGCCTGAGATCTGGAAAAGAGATTGGGGTTATTTCCCAGCCTGCTGCTTTACTTGGCATGCAACTATCATGTTAAGAAAGGGCTTAACAATGTCCTCTTTTATATCAGGATATGGGGCCACCCCCATCTCCCAGCCAAAACAATAAAAGGAGCATTTGATATGCAATAAAGTGGCTGTTGCTCAGATGACCCATCCTCCCAAGTTCCATAAACATGTACCTGAGTCTTAAGGGAGAAGGCAGGGGGCTCAACTTGACAGAGAGGTTTCACTAAAATCTCTGTACATCATTGAGTCCCCAGAAGAATTGCTTTTCTATTCATGTAATGAATGGAACACAAATATGAAGAAGAGGAATTCTTCCCACTTTAAAGGGAATGGGAGCAGCTTTAGCACACCGGGGAATGTAGGAAACATAGAAGAGTTGTGTTCTATATAGCAGCGACAGGTTATGGTTTCAAACTAGCCAAGGCTTTGGCTGATGGGTCATGAGAAGTAGTTAATGATGGGTGCCTCTAGGTTTCTGAGAACATGGGAGAACATGTTACCCACGAAAACATGAGGACAGTGGCAAGCTACTTTACAAGAAACTGAAAATCTCATAGTGGAGGATGAGATGGTGAAGGGATAAGGTAGAAGTTATGTTCTGTTATGTTTTCTAATCCCAGTTTTATATTCTACATTGGTGTGAGACACATATGCTTGTACAACTTGGCCTCATAATCATTCTGCATAGCTTTCAAGGACCAAATGCTTGAGGGTCATTCTCTCTCTACCTCACAATAAGCTGTTGCCCAGAGGATCCTCCCTGGTTCCATCAATATCCAATCTCTTCTAGGCCAGATGGAAAATCTAACTGGCTACCTTTGCACACTTACAACAGAACTTCTGTCTATCAGCTGTACTCCTTTTTCCTGTCATGAAACATTGGTTCAGCATAGGTCACTGAATCATAAACCATTAGAGTTGGAAGGCAACGAAGAGATTCTCTGGCCCAGTGATTTTTTAAACTGTTTTAAATAAAAAGTCTTTTTTCCAATGAAATTTTACTCAGTTCTCAAAATATAAAATAAATATAGTAGCTATGATTCAACATGGCATTTTGATCATAACTTTTTATTACTTTTACCCAGTAAATAAATATAGATAGTAGAATTACAAACAAAAATCTTCATTTTGCAGTCCCTAATGAAGCCATGGATTTAGGCAGGAACCATGAATGGGTGCTGAAATCATAAGATGAAAGATTGATGGAGAGCTTCACAATACAAGGATCAGGCTGACATCAACAGAGCCCAATGATCACACCTATTTTAGTAGAAGTGGGTTAGTCAGCTATGTTGTGCCTTCAGAGCATTTGCAGCAGGGAGTATAGAGCATAACTTATGAAGTACTCTTGCCTGAATAAATAAATAACTAAATAAACCCAAAAATCTTTCCTCTGGTTTCCAGGAAATCTAATCACATCAGTTTCCAGGAGCTATGGGTCATAAAAGAATAAATCAAACAATACCATGAGGAAGCAATCAGCCAAATTCAGAATGTAGGACAGTCTACAGAACAAATATCCTAGTTTCTCCAAACGATCAAAAGAATGTGCAGTGAGCTGGATTACTGGCCAATTATTCACTCCCTTTTCCTGTGAGAAGATTATACATTGAGGCCTATTGCTCCTTGGCTGGCCATTCTTTCAAGGAACAGAGTATGTTCCTGTCCCATTGGTGTTGACTGGGCCTCATGACTTGCTTTGACCAATGGCAGGTAAGCAGCAGAGACTATGCCATGTCCAAGCTAAGCCATGTCAGCTATGCCATCACCAGCTTTCTTGCCCTTTTATGTCTGCCACAAGAACGTCCTGCCACAAATAGCCTGGGTCCCAGAAAAACAAGACACATGGAGAGAGGCCAAAGCACTGCCCAACTGCAGACAGTGTGCACTGTGGTCCAGAAATTTAAAAATTTAATCCTTTATGTTATAGCTGTTGAATTTGGGGGTCATTTTTTACCACAATAAAACAGGTAAATGTAATATGGAAAAAAATATGCAAAATGAAGAATTATTATAGAATAAAAGAAACTGGAGAAATGTAACCATTGAAGACATTTCTTGAACCATGATTGGGCCTCATTTCAAACTATCAAATCTCACTTTGGGGACAACAGAACCAATGTTAACAATCTTTGTGTATGACAGAATGTTAAGGGACTGTTGATTTTGTTAGGTATGAGAAGCTCATGCATGCATGTATTTCTGAGTTAGAGATGTATACTGAGATATTCATGACACACATGACATGATGCCTGGATTTGCTTCTGAATACGTCTAGAAAACAAAGTAAGAGATGAATAAACTGTTCACAAAACATTGATAATTGTTGAAGCTGGATAATGAATACATGGAGGTTAATTATACTATTATCTCTAACTTTATATATGTTTTAAAATTTTGCCTAGTAAATAGGTTTTAAATCATAGTGAATAAATTAAAAGGTATTTTTAAAAATGACAGGACATGAAGGAAGTCATCGGTAGACAAAATTGTGAAATTCCTTAAATATGTAAAGTGGTTAGATGAGTGGTAACTTAGAAAGTAAGATTGAGGGGCTGGGCGCGGTGGTTCATGCCTGTAATCCCAGCACTTTGGGAGGCCAAAGCAGGCAGATCACAAGGTCAAGAGCTCGAGACCATCCTGGCCAACATGGTGAAACCCTGTCTCTATTAAAAACACAAAAATTAGCCGGGCGTGGTGGCGGGTGCCTGTAGTCCCAGCTACTCGGGAGGCTGAGGCAGGAGAATCATTTGAACCAGGGAGGCAGACCTTGCAGTGAGCCAATATTGCGCCACTGCATTCCAGCCTGGCTATAGAACAAGGCTGCATCTCAAAAAAAAAAAAAAAAAGTTTGAGAAAGCTTCATTCTCAAGTATGTGCATGTGTGGTGGAGGGTGGCAGGGGTTTTTCTGGTGGAGGGTGTTGATCTGCCCTGGAGAGCTCAGCATAAAGCCGAGAACTTTACCACATTCACCCATCCAGACATCTGCACACAGAATGATATCTGGTAAAGTATTTGCCTTCCAAGTGAAAAATAACAGGCTTCATTTTCCTTTAAACAAGGCAAAACCTGTCTAAGGAAAACTAGAGCAGCTAATGTGGGTACTGGTGCCCAAGAGCAAAGCACTCCAAAATGTAGCATCTAGGGCTTTTCAGCCCAATAGTCAGCTCCTTCTGTTTTCACCCTAAAGTGAAGCCTACCAGACAATCAGCCCTGTCCAAAGAGGAATGCCAAACAGGCCAATATTGCCTTATTCTTAGATGTGAATGGACTATGAAGAATCGCTATATAATTGGGGAAGGTCTGCAGCTCAATAGAGATAAACACAGGAAAAGTGACACCAGAGAAAACAGAAATAACTAGGAAACAGAAGATAATATTTTTTAAAAAAGAAAATCTTTCAATTAGCATTCTCAGAGATACTGAAACAAGATAATGTTCATAAAACAAGAGCAGAATTCTATGAAAATGGAAAAATAAGAGGTAGTAGAAAGGACTGCTGGAAATTAAAATTCAATCCTAACTCCTACCCTGCCCTGGTTTTAAAAAAAGAAGAAGAAACAACAAAAGAAGATATAATGGAGTACCCCCAAGAAGGGAAAGAGAAATGTGATACTTTCTATCACTGGGAAAGTGAAGGAAACATTTGGGGCACCTAGAAGTGGGAAGTATCTGAAGCGGATAAGAGAAGAGTAGAATAGCCATTTATCTGACAGAACAGTAGAACTCTAGAGCTTTGTTTAGATCTTTGGTGTTTTCATCATGTCTGGTTTTGTCACCATGTCGTTTCAGAATATGTGACATGCACATGTGCAGAAGCAATTTAATGTGATGAGCATATTCTAGAAATATAAAACCAAAGAAGATTCAGCAGCATATGGAGTAAACCCTCAAGTATCTAATAACTCAGCCAGGCTTTTATTTCTAGAACTGAGAATCTCAAAATCTAGTCCCTACATTCATTGTCAGCTCTTGGTGTATACAGGTTAAGATTAAAAACAAATCTAAGAATCTCTCACAGGGATGTAAATTAGCTAGAGAAGTTCCCATCATTTTGGTTTTGAAAGTTGGGACTAAGTGGTTTTCAGATGAGAGCTGTGTTTGAAATTTTTATAAAAAGAAAATGTTTGTGTGTTGAGAAAAACTCCATTCACACACATACTCCCCACTCATTGAGTGCATATTAATTCCCTGCAGTACATTATCAAAAAACTAAAGAATATGTCAAAATTACGTTTACACTGGTGAAGTCTAAAAAATGCTATCAAAATGTATAGAACCCATGACTAATGATTTTGGGGGAAAATATCCAATAATGAACCTTGAAATCACATGCCATTTCTGGTAAACACATACAGACACGCATTTGGGTATAACATGAAAGGTATTCTTAGCACTTGCTAAATTGTTTATTACATTTTATCTAAAGACTATTTAATGTGTTGATTACAAGCTATGTTTCAAAAGAAATTGTTCATTTGGGCACATGCTTTGGCTGAAGGAAGCTTCAAGAGGTTGAAGGAAGGAAGAGATTCCTTCAAAACAAAAAGAAGAGATTCCTTGAAAACAAAGTTGAGTAGATATAAACTTTAAATGATTTTGAACTTTGTCTAGGCTCTAAGTGAAAAAGAAAAATGCGTGTGTATATTAAAGAAGAGAAAGGCTTTTATGAATTCTAAGAAAGGGTACTGTCAGAAAAAAAAAGATCTCGGGGAAATTAGATCGTGGATGCTGTGGAGTCCTGGAATGGCTCCAGGCTGCACAGGCCCCTCCAGGAGCAGTGGCTGCACAACCAGTGTCTGTTCACAGCAGGAACCTGTGGCTCTAAGCAGCAGCCCTGGGATGGATGCACAAATACAATCCATTCAGCATGGTTATCTGCCAAACCACCCCAAAGGCCTCCACCAGCCCCACACACCGACCCCACCTCCCATGGGCCTGAGACAACCTAGGAAGAATTTGGAGAGCCTCTGATTTATGGTGGTGAAGCTTTCCTTCCTTTCCAGCCTGCTAGAAGGAAAGAAGACAAATGAAACACTACTCATACACAGACTTCTAAGCCATGGGTGGCATTTGCACCTAAGTTATATTTTCAACTTGGTATACACATGGGATCCCCTTTCCTTTAAAGTATTTAAATAACTTTCTAGAAACTTCAATATGCCCAGCCTGTATTTCTTCTAGTATGGTCCTTCTGTTCTTTCCAGGGAATAAATTGACAGACAGCTGTAAGAGTGTGGGTTTAAGAGTAATGTTTTAAGAGTGGGCATTCTGGAGTCTGACTTCCTATGTGCACATGAAAGCTCTGGCATGCATGGTTCTATGACTTAGGAAAGTTACTTAAGCAATCTAATTTTCAATTTGCCCACCTGAGAGATAGAGATGAAGACAGTGTCAATCTTACGGAGTTATTATGAGTAGTGAGATAATGTCAACAAAGTTGGAATATTCCCCTGCCCAGAGGTATTATGGTTGCAATTAAAAAAGGAAACAAACAAACAAAAAGCAATTCAAAGTGGCCAAAACAATAAGTAAATGTATGTTTCATATAAGTTGGAATCCAGAAAAGCAGCCTTCAGCACAAAATGATTGACAATTCAATGGGTTGTCCAAAACCCAGGTTCTTTTCCCCTCTTCTATGCTATCCTTGGTATTGATTTCATTCCAAAGCTTCTCTCTGTCTTGGTCACATAATGGTGGCCCATGGACAACGTTATGACCACCTGTGGCATTATTTCTTGTTCATGTTCAGTAAGAAAAGGTGAGGCAAACTTTCCCAGAAGCTTTCCAGGAGGCTTCCCTCATCCCTTGGACCAGAATTAGGTCCCATGCTCATTCTAAAATAATCACTGCAGGGAGACTAGGACTGCCAAGCCTGGCACAGACTCATCTTTGCAGGAGAGATGGATGGAGGGGAAGATTACTTATAGATTCTGTAAAGGTTAGCTTTTATTAGCATTATTGTCTACATTAGGAATGCACTTGTAGACTTACAGGAAGTTTAGAAAAACTTGCAACTGGTTATTGCCTCAAAGGTCTTGAAATGACAAAACACATTTGTTGTGTCACTTCAGGTTGATTTCTAGTGGCTGTCTAAAGTGGTACTTAAGAAGGATTCAGGGGTTCCAACTGTGTTGGAGAGGAGAAGGAAAAATGATTAGTTATAGGAATTAGCCTGGAATGGAAGATATGGCCTCATCAATGCCATGGGTAGGACTGAACAACTGGGTGCTGTTTCATTTACACTCTTTTGTTCTGCCACCTTTTGAACTTTAGACAATATGGAACTACACTAACATGTCCTCAAGCTTTTTTGACTAAAACCAGAAGCACATCCTCCCCATGGAAAAATAAATTTCTGAAAGAAAGATTTCTGAGAAAGTGAGTTTTCTCAACAGTCCAATTCAACAACTATTTCCTGAACACTAACTTATTTCCTATGCTGTGCCAGGTGCTAAGCAGAATACAAAAGATGTGTGAGACACAAATTCTACCCTTAAGAAATTTCCAATCTATCTCAGAAGAAAACATGTGCGCAGTAAAGGGTTAATAGTAGAAAAGACCATCTAGAACTCAGAGTGCAAGGAAATTGCTACCGCCATTTTAATTGGCCATGACTAACTTGACCAGGGAGAATCCCATAATTAAGTGCAGTGCCGTTTGGCAGAGTGGCATATGGGATCTGCCTAAATCTGTAACAGGGACTGATACTTTCCATGGAGCAGGCAGACAGATGGCCTGAGTTTTTCAGACTTAGCTTCAATTTCTCCCATGTATTAATCATAACCACTACTGTGACCTTGTATAAATATATATTCTTCCAGAAAAGGATAGATCTTGAAGCCTGATGAGGAGGTACGTTTCTAGAGCACTAAGTGTGGTGGTGGCTTCTCAGGCTCCTGCACCATCTTCCAATACAACTCTTAGGATTCCCAGTTGAACAGCATTGATCTATCAAAGTGGCTCTGCACTCTTGGCCCTAGAGAATATGTTATACAGAGAATATATTGTATATCACAAATTCTTACGTGCTCATATCAGTGCTACATGTCTATAACTAATTTGGAGCAGCTAAGACTGATAAAAATTTACAGGGTGATAATAACAGCAACAGTTACTCACTAACAGTCACTTAATCCAGCGCACTGTATCGGCAAGAAGAATCATGATATAAAACTGAAAAGAAAATGTCTCTGGCTTACAAGATATTTATAATCTAGTTAACTTAATACAACAGAGATATATAGAACAAAATGTATAAAGGAACATACAAGACTACTATCTCTCATCTAGGCCCCTACTGTCTCAAAGGCAGATTATGACGGTTCTTTTGGCTCAGTTTTGGTCCACTCTATACACAACTGTCAGGGCCATCTTCACAAGGTATAGCTTTGGATGAGTCATTTCCTTGGTGGAAAACCTACAACATCATCATAGTGTCTACAGAAAAATTACCCTCTTGACTTTCAAGGTCCCCAGCTATCATCTGAAATCTGCTTCTTCCCAGTCTTCCAATCTATTGCCATGTAATGGCCCTCTTTCACTACCCACATGGCTCCTTTAACTAAATTTGTTTACTTAAGATTTCTATTTCCAAATATGCCAGTGGTTGGTGTTCCTGTCTACACGGCCTGCTCACCTCTGCATGTAACACTCTTAGTGCCTCTGCTGATATGAGTCTTGTTTTCCTTTGAAGATGAAGGCTCATTTCCTACAAAATTATTTTCCTAAGCACAGCAGGTTACAGAGTCATTCCCATCTCTGAACTCCAACAACACTGGCATTTCTTAGGTAATAGGATGAGTTATTATGCATCAACTTTATGTGTCTTACCTCCCAACCTTGGTTTTAAGTTCCTTGATGTTGAGTACCTGTCCTAATCCTCTCTGTATATCCAAAGCTTAACAAACACAAAATCTTCAACAATGCTCTTGATGGCAATATAAAGTCAGGCATAAGTATTGAGCTGAGTAAAGGAGTAATCAGTTATAACCAGAATAAACTGGAATTAATTTTTTAAAGGTTTACTAGACCACTGACTTTTAAAATTGGATTTGGAAGAAAGGGCAGGAATGACTGAAGTGTGAGAAGGAGGAAGCAAGAAGGGCGTAGGTTAAAATGGTGGCTGTGGACATGGAAAAGAATGTGGACATGGAATGGGTGGGCCCGGGAGCCTGGCCACATTCTGATAATGCAATAAAATCAACAAACCAGTGCAGAAGTCTGGTTGCCAGATGCCCTTCCCATTGCGTATCTTCTAGGTGTAACTTGCTGAGGTCTATAGAGTCAACAATTAGGGCCAAGAAAAAGTCATCCTGTAGGCTCAAATTCTATCATATGACCTTTAAATATTTTTTTCCATTCAATTCTTTAAAATACCATTTCCTTTGGCAAAGTAATTTTTTCCAATGGGAAGCTCATTGGTAAGTTTTTTGGTCCTCATTTTAACCTTGTTAGAACAATTGGACAGAATTGCAAATGTTGATTAATATTTTGCACATGTATTTATCCTCTTTTTCATGTCCTTAAGTACCTCTTGAAAGCTCCATATTGTAGAGAAGACCCTATGACTTCTAGATCCGCAGGTTTTCAGTGGGGTAGGGTACGTTACTGTTATGTTCTGATCAAGGGATCAGCCGGGTTCCGCTGAGGCTGCACAGCTGTGACCCAGTCAGCAAGCCCTGACCTCAGACGCCTCTCATGCTCAACACTTTAGCCTTAATCCACCTCAGTTCTTCTCCAGAGCAGACATCTGAAGAGTGTGTACATCAAAGAGTTAGGAAGGTGTGCCAAGGAAGGTATGAATTCTCTCACTTGATATTTCTTAACTTTGTAAACACTCTACTTCCCTACAGTTCTGGGTTAGCAGATACCCAAAAGGGGTACAGTTAATTCCTCATTTAAAGTTTCTTTCTCCTTTAAACTTCACTGTTCAAAACTGTCCATCTATTTTCTCTACACTTATTCCATTCTCTGTGTATCCACAGTATGAAAGAAATAAGAATGGCAGAACTCAAAATATGGATCTTAGAAATTATGTCCTCAGAGCCCCTGACTCATCAGAGTAAACTGTGGCCCAGAGGGGGATGCGGCCTGGTCAGTGTCGCTTGGACAACTTATAGTTCTCTAATTATATTAAGAACTAAGATCTTCCCTGTAATTTGACTTGTGTCCCTAATGTAACTGCAAATTTGAAGAACAATTAATGAGGAATCTTCTTTAGATAGAATGTTTTGCTTCCTCCACGTTAGAAACATATTCATTGCAAGAAGCCAAAATAAGAATTTCACAAGAAGTCAGAACAAGAATTTTTCATCAAAAAACCACTATGGTAAGTTTTATCTGTGGATCAATTATACCGCAATGAGCCCACCTGTATCCTGCCTTAAACTTAAATAATGTAAAAAAAAGATGAATAGATGGGACGGTCAGGCACCCGCTCTCCCACCTGAAGGATTAGCTTCCTCTAGATTAGTGTTTCTCTGCAGCAGCGTTACTGACATTTTAGGCTGAGTTTTTGCTGTGGGGCTGTGCTGTGCATTGCTGGATGTTTATCAGTACCCACTATCCCCAGCTTCTACTCCCTGGATGCCAGTAGCAATCCTTCTCCCCCCACACTCCCCTCCATGCTGTCCCCAGTTATGAGAACCAAAAATGTCTCCAGACATTGCCAAATTTCCCATGAGGGAAAAAATTGCCACCCTCCTCCCAGAGAACCACTGGTCTAGAACGTGGAGGTTATTCTGGGAGGTCCTTGCAAAAGTTTCTCATTAATATTTGTGTTCCATATCCTTTACCGCCTACTCTACCACTACTGCTGTAATTTATATCCTGAGCTCCCCCGAAGAGGTTAACATACAGCAAACAACACTGCCCTTTCATAATGCCTCCTCCAGACAAGGTTTGACAAAGAGTGGAGATCACTGAAAGACGTGAATACCAGAGGGTGAGGCTCACTGGCGGGGTGGGGGCGGGGGGACTATAAAGGTGACCTACTGCAGAAACCACTCAGGTAGTTAAACTCCTCTCTGAGTTTACAATTCATTATGTATTACTGTATAACAAACTATCTAAAATTTAGTGGATTAAAACAATATCAATGTATGTGGGTCAGAAATTTGGTCAAGGTTCAGATGGGCAGGTTCTTCTGCTCCATGTGGCACTGGCTGGGGTCACTCATTCAGTTGTATTCCCTTGGTTGCTAAGATAAGCTGGATATCCAAGAAAGCTTCACTCACATGTCTGGTATACTGGTGCTCCTCCAAATGGCCCCCCTCTCTCTCCACATAGCTAGCTTGGGCTTCTTCAGAGGATGATGTTCAGACATGTAGCATGCTAGTTGATTTCCAAGAGCATAAAAGGAAGATGCCATACCTCTTAAAGACTTAGCTTAGAAATGGCACGTGGTTTTAAAAATATGTGCAAGGATACATATAGAAACAAATATAAATGTGTGGCTGGGTGTGTGTGTATGCATGTATTTCCTCCCTCGTCTGCAAAGGGGACCTAGTCATAATGATATTCCAGTAACAATTAGCACGTCTAGTATTCAGATCTTGGTTTCTAAATACCATTTTCTAGTAAAAGGAACAAGGGCTTTTTGGAGAAATGATTAATTCCAGGGCTATTGTAGGAAAAATACAACATGATCCTGAACATCTTGTATTGACAGAAAGTAAGAAAGTGTTCTTAAAAAGGTAGGAGCGTGTTGAAAGGACATTCAATTCATGCTGAAGAGGCTCTCAGTGGCCAGATCTGTGACAATTTAAGCAAAAAAACAATGAGTACAATAAATGATAACCCACAAAATAAAACAAATATCAACTAGTCCATATTGATATAAATAAATAATTGAATAAGTAAACAAATGGAGAACGGGCAACTCTTACAATAGAATTACAGTTAATAAATCTAAAAACAGGAAAAATAGAAGTAGAATACCAAATAATTGTTTAAGGCAAGAATCACAGACAGATGCTAAAATTCGTGGGCAAAACTATAATGAAAAACAGAATATTTGCATATTTTCTATGGTATCCTAGAAAATGCCTCCTCAAAAGATAATGCATTCTATCTAATCCCTGAAATCTGTAAATGTTATCTTACATGGGAAAGACTTTATGGATGTGATTAAATGAAAGATCTTGAGATGGAGGAGTTATTTTGGACTGTGTGGGTGGGCCCTGAATAGAGCCACAAGTTTGCTTACAAGAGACAGGCAGAAGGAGATTTGATGGCACACAGAAGATCATGTAAAGGAGGAGGAAGAAAGCAGACTGAGAGAGAGAAGATGTTACACCACTGTCTGTGAAGGTGAAGAAATGACCATTGGCCAAGGAATGAAAGGAATGCAGCTTGAGATGCTGGACTATGTGAGGAAGGGAATTCATTTCTAAAGCCCCCACAGAGAGCACAGCCATGTAACACTTTTCTTTCAGTTCAATGACATTGATCAGAATGAAATCCAAAGACTTCTGGCCTCTAGAATTTTGAGAGAATTAAGTTCTATTGTTTTACATGATCATGAGTGTGGTAATTTGTTACAGTTGCTGAAGTGAACTAGTACAGTCTCAGAATATTTCCCCAAAATATACTTACTGATTACAGAAACAAACAAAAGCAAACCCAGGACTTTTAAGGGGAACTTGTAAGATGCCGCCTTAACTAAAGGATCAAAGTTAAAATGACCAGTAATACAATATCAACATCATGTACATCCTGTTACGATATACTGCAAAGATCCAAAATCACCTCTGAAATTTCTTGCCAAAAATGCATAATCCTGATCTAATAATGAAGCATTTCACACAAAACCAAATTAATGGACATTCTACAAAATAACTGCACAATACACTGAAGGTAATTAAACAAAGAAAGATTGGAGACTGACCCAGATTGGAGGAGACTAAGAAAAAATGACAACTAAATGTGATGTGGAATCCTGGAATTGATCCTGGATGAGAAAAAAAAAATGACATTCGTGGGTATATTCATTTTCTGTCACTGCATAGCAAATTACTCCTAGCTTAGAGGCTTAAAACAACAGCCATTTATAAGCTTTCAGCTCCTTAAGTCAGAATTCAAGCATGGTATATCTCTACTCAGGGTATCACAAGACTGAAATCAAGCTGGCTTGGCTGAGTTCTTTTCTGAAGCTCTGGAAATGGATCCACTTCCAAACTGATTCAGGTTGTTGGCAGAATTCAGCTCCTTGTGGTTGTAGGACTGAGGTCCCTGTTTTGTTGCTGGCTGTCACTTGGGTTTTCTCTCACCTCCTAGAGGCCACCTGCATTCCTTGCCATGTGACTACTTCCACATGTCAAATCCCCTTTGTGCTTCAAATCTGAAGCCTAATGAGTTTGACCTCTAGACCCAGGTTTAAAGGACTCATGTGATTAGTTCAGTCCCACCTAGAGAGTCTCTCTATACTAAGATCAACTGATTTTGGACCTTCATTACATCTACAAATTCCTTCCATAGAAGCACTTACTTAGTGTTTGATTGGATAACTGAGAGACAGTGTGTGTGGCTGGGAATCTTGGGGACCATCTTAGAATTCTGCCTACCCAAGTGAGACAATCAGTAAAATTTGAATAATGTTTATAGATTAGCTAATAGGATTATATCAATGCTAATTTTCCAGTTTACATAATGTTACATTGGTTATATAAAATGTTAACATTAGTAGAAACTGGGTGAATGTACATGGGAATTCTATGTACTATTTTTGGCATTTTTTGTAAATCTAAAATTATTTAAAGTAAAAAGATTTTTTAAAAAGCAAGTCATAGCCCATAGCCAGGCTCAGTGGCTCACACCTGTAATCCGAGCACTTTGGGAGGCTGAGGTGAGAGAATCACTTGAGGCCAGGAATTTTGAGACTGGCCTGGCCAACATAGTGAGACCCCCACCTCTATAAAAAATTTAAAAATTAGCTGTGCATGGTGGTGCATGCCTGTAGTCCCAACTACTCAGGAAGCTGAGATGGGAGATCGCTTGAGCCCAGGAGTTTGAGACTGCAATGTGCTATTATTGTGCCACTGCACTCCAGCCTGGATGACAGAGCAAGCGCTCACCTCTTAAACAAAAACAAAGCAAGTCACAAGGCTATCTTGGTGTCATGGAATACTATGCAGCCATAAAAATGAATGAGATCATGTCATTTGCAGGGACATGGATGAAGCTGGAAGCCATCATCCTCAACAAACACAGGAACAGAAAACCAAACACCGCATGTTCTCACTCATAAGTGGGAGTTGAACAATAAGAACACATGGACACAGAGAAGGGAACAACACACACCAGGGCCTGTTGTGGGGTGAGGGGTGAGGGGAGGTAACTTAAGAGGACAGGTCACTAGGTGCAGCAAACCAACATGGCACATGTATACCTATGTAACAAACCTGCATGTTCTGCACATGTATCCCGTATTTTTGTTTTGTTTTTTAGAAGAAATAAAGAAAAAAAGACTAGCTCAGTGTCAAGGGGAGGAGAAATAAAATGCATCTCTTGCAAGAAGGAGGCACGTGCATATAGGGAGGGAGGAATAGATGGTGACTATCCTTGAAGGCTATTACAGACACTATGAGTAGTAAAATAAATATGACCAGTTTCTGTCTCATAGAACTTGTAATCTGGTGGGTGAGAGGATGTCTATTCAGCAGATATTTGTTATGTATCTCCTATAGAGTAGGCGCTATGATAACAACTGGAGATACAATAGTGACTACGATACCCACAATTATATTATAGTTTAATAGAAGAGAACCACCAGTAACCAGGTAATGATAGCTCAATGTGTGACAGCTGTTTTGGTCAGATAAGCACAGGGGACTAAGACAGCAAACAACATGCAGCGAACACTTCTAATTGTGCCGATTAGAAAGTGCTTCATTCATGGCTTAATAGACAAACATGAAGATGTACTTCTTTCTTGCTTCTGCTCCAATATTTGAAAATGTTCCAACAAACCAAAACTAAAAGAAGTTATCTATTCAGTTCACTGCTGTATCTTCTCATTTTGTGGGACTACTTTTTTTGTTTAATTTGCTTATAGAGTAGGTTTTCATATAAATGCATGTTTTCCTACTAATACAATTTTTAAAACTCCTACTGGAGTTATACATATAATTCTAGACATCTCTCATACTTCTTTTTATTTGTCCAAGAATCTGAAATTTAACTGGAAATAGGTTTCACTCATGTTCTAACGTTTTTCAGAATTTTTGGTAAGCTATCATTTATAAGCTTATAAGAGATGCTCTCTCTCTCTCTTGCTCTCTCCCCATATATATGGAGAGCATATATATACACATATATATATATGCTCCAATATTTGAAAATGTTTTATGAGCTTATGAGATGTTCTTATAAGCTTATAATATATATATCATATATTATATGCGGAGAGATAGAGACATATATATGGGGGCATGTGGTATAGAGACATAAATATATATATGGGGAGAGTTCTTATATATATTAATCTTATTTTATATATTAATCTTATTATATATATATAAGGAGTTCTTATTTTACATGGATGCGTCTTGTAAATCTACTTCCACTTTGTTCAGGAAATTAAAGGTAACAACTCTGACAACTGTCAGAGTCCTCTTTCTCCCCCCATCTGGGCCTATTCTAGATCTGAGAGCTTTTTTTGCCGAGCTAATAAACCTTCCCCCAGAAAAGCGCCCACACAGAGACCCACCAAGCTACTCATTTCACCTCATGTCACCCAGGTTGTATGAGAGTAGTTGCATAAAACATCGAGTTTGGATCGTTGTCATCTCTCCGTGGTTTGTCAGTGAGTTCAGCTAACGATTCACTTAGCAAGTCTTGAGCACCACCTCTGGCCTGCATGCTGGGCTTACATCCTTTCACTGGAGTTTTCCCAGACTGCAGAAAGTAAAGCTAGAGAATGAGACAAAACGTTTGGGACTCAGCATATGGGAAACGTGGGCTTGGAGGTGGGAGCCCAAGTCACTGGCTACTTCGGCTCTGTCGTGTTTCTGAGAATGGGGGCTTCAGTCTGCTGTAGTCTCAGACTTCTCCCACTGCACTTGTGGAGTTGCTGCATTTCTGTCCTTCCCTGTGGCCTGTGTCAATGCCATTGCAAGCACGTTCGGCTATATGAAGAGGCAATCCTAGATAGGAAAAGGGAGTTCATTTTTCTACCTCTAGAGATAGTGATTCTTTAACTGTCCTCCCAAAATGGAAGCTATAATTTTCCTGACCCTCTCCAAGGAAAGAACACAATAATGTTCATCAGGAGTACATTTCAAAGCTTCCATCAGGAACAGCTGGAAGTTTTTTGTAAAATCTAAAAACATAAATCCAGGACCGTCAGGGTGAATGTGTGTTATGCGTGTTGCCACATCTCATACCAAGAGATGCTATGGAGATCCAAATTCTAGTGGGTTCACAAAGAGGTAAGAGGGGTGGAAAGAAAGGTATTTTCCTGTGACAGTTTGACATTAATTTCTTTTCTTTCAGTATCCCAGTTGCGTCTTCTGAAGCTGAGTCTCCTGTTTTATGGTGAGTACTCGTGCAAAGTTCTAGGGGAGAGGAAGGGGTGTGAGTGACAGGACGCAAAGCAGGAAAACACTGTTCCCCCAATCTATGTGGTCAGGAGCCAAAGAAACTAACTGGAGTTGAAAGGACTGTCATGTGGTTAATCTGCAAAGAAAGAGAAAGGGAGGAGGCATGGGGAGCGATGTGGCAAAGTGTTTTCAGCCTGCTGGGAGAAGAAAGCAAAGGGAACATGAGAATGGAATCACCCTATTTAACAAGGTAGAGGTGAGGGCACCATCCTTCTGGAGGCCATTGGATTAAAATGGCCAGGGACAAACTATTCACCGCCACCTGAAGGCCAAGTAAATTTTCCTTTGCTAAGAAAGAGTAAGAAGCAAAGTCCAAGACCCAGCCTGACGCTGGAGCAGAACAGTCCCCGATCACACTGTCATGCTCTCCCTGCTCCTGCCCTAATGGAACTTCCTCTGTAACCACAACAGCAAGACCCAAGCTGTTCGGCTCCAGCGTCTGGGGCCAGAACAAAGTGTCTGGGCCTGGAACGAAGAGTCTAGACTCTGCTCTGCATTCTATTTTATTTACTTTAGGTTTTCCCCCTTAGAACTGGGTGCATGTGACATACAGCCAGAGAGCCTGAGAACTCTGCCACAGCCCAGAGTAGCATTTGGAGTACCCTTTCATTTCTTTCCCTGTGTTTCAAGGGACAAGAAGTGGCAGCTAGTTATTAAAGAGCCACCCCACCCAGAGATTAATTCAAGACTGCTTGTGGGGGTGAAGTCATAGTGAGAATTACCACTAGTTATCTTCCTAAAGACTGAGAAAGTCCTATTTTTCTGAAGGTCGGACACAGGTTTTGGTATCCACAGTTGTATAACATGGATCTATAACTCTGTGTGCGTGTCTGTGTGTGGAGAGAGAGAGAAAGGATGAGGAGATGAAGAAAGGAGAAAAGAGAGGAGGAGGGGGGGTTGGAAGATAAAAGGACAGGAGGAAAAAGATTTTTACCCCAGAGAAGGAGAGAGAGGGGAAGAGGTTCAAAGGCTGAGAAAAAAGACAGGTAAGAACGGGAGTAATCAGGACAAAGAGAGAAAGAGGTGAAAATGGAAGAGCGGGGAGGCAGCAATTGTTCATGTTGCAAAGGAGAGAGTTTCCTGTCCTGCACTTTTAACCCTAAGGTCTTAATAAATGAGAAAAAGGAGCTGCTTCACATGAAAAATCGAGGTGAGTAAATTCTGATATCTGGCTAGTGTTTGAGCTCTTTCTAGTGCCTGCCCCTCCCTCTCGGCACCAACACGTCAGGCTGGGTTCATTCTGCCTGTGGCTTCCAGAGTCTTCCAAGGAAATGTGTCCTTGGATCTGCAGCTCCTGGGTGTGCTCTCTCTTTCCCTTTCCCCCTAATCAAATTTGCCTATTCCAGTTCCCATTCCTCCAAATCTCTCCTTTTTTGTACTTGTTTTCCCTAGTGTGTGGAATAAATGTAGTAGTGCAAGTATTTGCATTCATTTGCCTATAATACTTTAACCTCCTAAAGTGACACCAGAAGACATATTTTTGAGTGGATGTTGGGGTAAAGATGTCTAGTGGAGTTGCTTCTGCTCCCCTAAACCCACCACATAAGCCTGTCCTGCATACTGCCCACCTTGTTTAAAAGTTCAGGGTCATTCCGGGCATGGTGGCTCATGTCTGTAATCCTAGCACTTTGGGAGGCTGAGGTGGGCGGATCAATTGAGGTCAGGAGTTCGAGACCAGCCTGGCCAACATGGTGAAACCCTGTCTTAAAATACAAAATTAGCTGGGCAGTGGTGGTGCACACCTGTAGTCCCAGCTACTTGGGAGGTTGAGGCATAAGAATCACTTGAACCTGGGAGGCAAAGGTTGCAGTGAGCTGAGATCGCACCACTGCACTCCAGTCTGGACAACAGAGCCCAGGCAACTGAGATGTTGAAAGGAACTTTCAGGGCCATTCATGCTCAGAAAATGGCATGGTGTGTCTGTATGGAGAAACTAAGCATCTCATGAAAGCAGTAATTCATGAAACATTTAACCCTAGTTTTGCTATACTGGGATAGTAAGAAACGCAATTGTACTTCATGCCTGAGAAAACTTTTAGACTGCAATATAAGAGCCTCTGTGATGGGTTTTTAATTTTCCCTAACTGCTGTTTGAAATGGAAATATGCATCTTTTTTCTGCATCTCTTCATCTTCCTTATCAAACACATGCACCAGTACTAGTACCACTAGATCAAGCAGGAAGAGGAGTGAGATTGACATCCTACCTCCTAAAGATCACTCATACTGTAATCAAGATAAGCAACTGTTTTTTTTCAGGCCCGTTGTACCTCAAGAATTCCATCAATTAGAAGGGCTCACTACATCAGGGAGTCTCCTATGAACAGAAGCAAATGCAAGGAGACTATCATAATCTTGGGCAATGGGTTTGAAAATGAATAGCCCAGGGTTAGGGTATGGAGGGCAACGGTGTGCATTTTTCCCACTCATCTCCTTTGCCAATTGAGAGTCAATGGTGAGCAGTTATGAGAAGGGGCTGAAGATCTGCATAGTCTGTCTAGCCTGGACCTGGCCTTCACTCTCAGACTCTTTAGGTCCATTATCTGGAGTATGAATCCTACGTATGAATGAAACATTGAGCCACGTGGGACCTGAAAGTTTCATATCTATAAAGCCTTTAAAATACAACATGACAAACCCATGGCACAAAAGAGTCAGTGGTGAAATAGCAAACTCAGGTGAGATATGAGAAGGTACAAGCTTCCCAAGGGCAGGAGTTGTGAAGTCTTCATGCCAAAGCCCTGCCTTGTGGTGCTATCCAGCCTAATGTCCTGGTATGAACTAGCCTGTATAAAATCCTCTTTGTTTTGAGATGGAGTCTCGCTCTGTCACCCAGGCTAGAGTGCAGTGGTGCTATCTCAGCTCACTGCAACCTTTGCAGGAGGTTCAAGTGATTCTCCTGCCTCAGCCGCCCAAGTAGCTGGGAAGGCAGGCACCCACCACGCCTGGCTAATTTTTGTATTTTTAGTAGAGACGGGGTTTCACCATGTTGGCCAGGCTGGTCTCAAATTGCTGACTTCAAGCGATCCAGGTGCCTCAGCCTCCCAAAGTGCTGGGATTACAGGCATGAGCCACCGTGCCTGACCCCCTCTTTGTTTCCTTAAATCATGATTATACTTCTAACCCCTAGGAGATGGATCAAACACACGCTCACACCAAGTAATTGGGTAGTCACACAAAGTTGATCAATATTCATTTCTCTTCTGCTAGAGAAGCATTCAGCATATCAGACTGCTTTCTGGAAAATATCATGCTTGATTAGTCAGAAAATCATGGCAGTAAAAAGTTTCAGAATAAAAAAAAAAAAAAAACAAGAAAAAGAAGCCCATTTGCTTACGGACACACTTCCAATTCTGTAACGATTACCCCACTGAGTTTCAGAAAATTTTCTAAGCCAACCTTAGACACAAACCTGCCAGAAGGCAGGCCTTGACACAAACTGAACTTGAGCATATGGTATATTAGTAGTGTGCTCTGTTTCAGGAATGTGTAAGATAATAGGCCCCGATAATTAAAACAGCACATTTGTTTATAAGCATAACTTGATCTGGGGCATATTGTTAGAAATTTTAGCAAGCATGATGTTTCTTTCAGGACTAATTATTCATCTGAACTTGAAATATATTCCAAATTATTTCTTCCACTAAATCAGCAGAGCACAGTAAATGCTTTCTGTTGGGTGACCAGTAGGTTCAAAATCCTGGATCATTTTGACTTGCGTAGGTGGAGTCCTAGACACTTACATATATGATTTCACTAGAGACAGTCTTTTTGTTTTAATATTGACTGTGTCATGTCTGAAGACTGAGCTGTACATGGATTTGAAAATTTTAGGGGAATTTTGAAAATTTTAGAGGAATTTTCTGTCCTCTTTGCATGATCAATATCATCCTACGTATGTTTAGCCAGATATTTAGGGTCTGCCCAGTAAGTGAGTAAATTTGCATTTCAAGATATCTACCCAGATCAGCGGAAGAAATGGTCGGGCCTATCTTTCAAGATATGTGGTTTTGCCAATTCTCTGCCATCTAATCTTTTACCATTTTTCATATTAAATGTACAAGCATAAAGAAATATTTCACTACCTGGCCTAAAGTAAATGTCTCTGAGTATGCATTGTGAATTAGCCAATGGGGGAAAAGTACTGCAGAAGGCATCCAATTACCCTTGTATGATGTGATTCTAACTAGTAGAATAACAGCAAGAGTTCTTCAGAATAAGATGTCCACAAAAAGCAAAGCAGAGAAGACAATAACTGTTTCAAAAATTAGTAAACATTCTTTGGAAAAGTGTCACAAGACCTTGTGAGAAGACAAGTTCCTATTTGTTTGGAATTCTTCATTCTAGAAACATCTTAGGCCTTACAGCATAGATTAATGACTCAAATCATTCTAATAAAGAAGAATATGAAAAGAAAATGAGTTTTAAATCACAGTTTGAAAGATGAACATCTGTAATTCAGCTTTCAATTACCATTTGGTGTGTAATGACATTAAAATAGATGTGCCTAACAGCCAGGAGTTGAGGTCATCTGATTCCCCAGACTATACCTGGGCTTAGCAGTCTTGAGCAACAATTTATCCTGGAACATACGTCCTAATCATTTCTCACCTACTGGACACAGGTGTTTTTTATACTTTATATCCATTGAAATACTCAATGCTAAGGCATGATCTAGTCTTCAACAGTGGATGCTCAGATTACAAAGCAATGTCTTCCTGTCATTCTTTTATCTGTCATGATGTATAAATTATTTAACACCTGGATAGTCATTTAAGAACCTGTTTAATTCATTTAAAAACCCTGTTGCATTTTCACTTGGCTCAAAATAAGGTACCAAGTGTAAAACCACTTCTCACCTACCTGTGCAGACAGATACCTACATCTCTAAATGCACTGGGAATATTGACTTTCTGCCACATAGCATAAAATCACCAGAGAAATACAACATAAAGCAAATATTTACCCCCACAGGGGAGAATGGAGCTCAGTTTTATAATGGACATCCGCAAAGTCTATGGTTTAAATTAGAGACTAACAAAGGGTTCAAGAGCTCAGAATTAAGTTATTCTGTATAAAATCAATCACAGAGACTGTCATTCTGCTTATTGCTTTGACTCCCTAACACAAATTTAAATGCAGATTTTATGTACAAGTAGAAAGTATCAAGAGAGCTGCTCTTTTTCAGGCCTGTATGGACGGGGCGGGGGGTCTGGTGAGGGCATGGGGGGTAAGGGGCAAACGTTTAGGACATTAATGTAAGTAGAATAAGGAGTGCATTTTTCCAGGAAAAAAATTAAAACTTTATTTTTAAAAATCCCACAAATCCATAATGAAATCATCATCTGAAAAAAAAGATGGTAGGGAACAAAACGTGGGATACATTTAAAAGGCACTAGATTCATTAATACCAGAGCCATTCTGGAGATGCCATGTAAGAAATCTGGAGTTACTCTAAATCTTCTTTTTAGTGGTATCAGAACTGGGGAGAAGGGTCCAAGCAAAGTGTTGCCTTTGCCAGTGTATTCGGATCGAGGTTATGAGGAAGAGCCCTTTTCCTTTGTCAGTGAGTTTCATGTTGGTCCACCACTCCAGCGCTGAGCAGCTCCCCGATGGCCCTGTCATCGTATCTCAGGACCTCCTTCAGGATGTGCGTTGTGTGCTGCCCGAGCAGCGGGGGCGGCCTGGCCTCTGACATCTTGAACTTACTGTATCTCACAGCTGGGCCTGCCAAAGGAGAAGGAAAGCAGGAAGCCTGTTAATGACTAACCCTACGAAATTAATTACCTAAGCAGCCTGGGGTGTTTTCCATGAATGCCAAAAATATCAATGAGTGCCAGTTACACCCTTCCAGATGCATCAACGTTTTGGAAATAAACGTGTTTTCACATGTGGCTTTTCTTGACTCAGGTTCATCCAAATGTGCAGTGCTCATCTGACTCGCTCATCACCATGCAGTGGGGCTGCATGGATGAAGCTAATTTGTGCCGGGCCTATTTGGAAGCTGGTGTTCCCGTCATGAAGACTCAGAGGTAGGGCACTCAACTGAGTGAACTCTAGGTAGGAAAGAACAGTGACCACAGAAACGTAGTGTCTCTCTGAAGCTGGAAATTTGATCCCAGGTGAAAGCAACCCAGCAGCTGACTACTCAATGTCTACTGTGTAGTTCCAAGGTTTAGTTCAACTGACTGCAGATCACCGAAACCTCAGCTAGACCCTGGTTCAAGGCTTTTGGTGGTAGAAGAAGTTATGTGTGCAGGCTTCACTGTCAGAGAGACTTAGGCTTTGCTCTCCGCTCTTATGCTCTCTAGCAGAGCCATCTTGGATGAATTGCTGAACTTCACACCATAATCTGGATGTGATAATGTTTACTATACAGACTTCAGGTAAGGATTTAATTGAGATCATAGACAGAAAGCACTAAGTAAGCATTCCCTAACCCATGCTAATGCACAAAACTTGTTGGTTACTATGATTACAAAAGCTGCCACAACATCTCTCTTGAAGCTTATAGTGTAAGGGGAAAAGGGGTGCCGGGCACAAAGTTCCTCTAAACAGAGTTGAGCAATGCTTTTAAGAACTGTTGGAAATAGATTTTACTATCCCCATTCTTCCCATGAGGACATGAAAACCCCTAAAACCTAAAGTTTTGCTCAAGGCCACATAGCTAATCATAGGGCCTGGATGAAAATCTGTGTCCGCTGGAACTGTCTCCCATTAAAGGCCATGAACTTTCCATAACATCAGCAGCCACTTCTGACTTCTCACTCTTCCACGGAGAGGCTGGACACTGGGGAACATGTTGTTTCAACTAATTTTACCTTTGTTATCACATTCAGTAAGTGGTATTTATGTTGGCTGTCCTTTATGTCTCATTTGATTAGGCTTCAGGAGAACAAATGATATAGTAGTCACAAGAAGACTTGATAAAACAGGATATTCCTATCTCAATTTTTTTTTCTGGCTTTCTCTTGATTTGAGGAGCCCATAGGAAGAACAAATAAAACCAAAGCATGAGTGGGTAAAAGAATGCCCATCAGTAAAGCAGCAAACGAGCTTTGAGCTCTTTGGAGAATTCCATTAATAAAAGTACTTTTGCACTTGCCACTGTTGACAGAGATGGAGGACTTGGGTCTCCTAACACCGTCAAGCTGCACCTTTGTGTAACACATCTAATCCACTACAGAGGGACAACTTTCAACTGATGCCTACAGTTTTTCCTTCTCTGAAGCTTAGTGACATTCATCGTTTTCTTCTCACATTTTCTTTTAAATGCCCCAGTGCATGACTACCTTTTCAAGGGTTTGTCCCTTTTCAGTAAGAGAGAAATCAACTATAGCAGACACTGGGAGGCAGGGTCCACAGCTCTCCCAAGAATGACAATAATGTGATGGTTTAGGCATCTGACCCTTACTCATTGCTCTCTCCAACTCTGTTCCATTTTGATATTAATTAAAAACAGTTTTAATCTAAAACCCGTCTATCAAAAGAAGAACTGCTTGAAGCAATATATGCCTCCTGAAGTCAATGTCATGTGACTTTACTCCACTTGAATTACCTGAAGCAAGACAGTAGTAGTAATAGCTATCATAGTCCAGCTACCATTTCTTTTCTTTTTTTTTTTTTTTTTTTTTTTTTTGAGATGGAATTTTGCTCTTGTTGCCCAGGCTGGAGTGCAATGGCATGATCTTGGCTCACCACAACCTCCGCCTCCCAGATTCAAGGAATTCTCCTGCCTCAGCCTCCCCAGTAGCTGGGATTACAGGCATGCACCACCATGCCCGGCTAATTTTGTATTTTTAGTAGAGACGGGGTTTCTCCACGTTGGTCAGGCTGGCCCAGCTACCATTTCTTAAGAACTTGTGATGCGTCAACCACTGCACCAAAGGCTTTATGTATTAATACAACATTGCATACAGTTCTCACAACGGTCCTGTCGTTTGGGTAGACTGTCAGTCATCTTTATTTCCAGATTAGGACATTGAAGGAAATGGAGGTTTAAATGTTAAAGTTAGGATTAAGGTTAGGAAATTAAAATAACTTGCCCAAATTCACACAGCTAGAAAATGATAGAGTTAGATTCCAATTTCACGTCTGTTGGGTTCAACAACTTGGATTAAAAAATAATAATAATTTATTGAGATAAAACTTAACATAACATAAAATTAACCATTTTAAAGTGATCAAGCAGCTTCTCCTCATTCCTCCCAAATCCAGGCAACCATTAATCTACTTTTTGTCCCTATGGATTTATCTATTCTGGCTACTCCTTATAAATAGCATCATATATAATTTGTGACTTTTTGTGTCTGGCTTCTTTCACTTAACATAATATTTTTGAGATTCATCCATATTGTGCATATCAGTACTAAGCGCCTGGACTTTTAACCTCCACACAGTGATCGAATGAGGGAATTCTTCAGGTCCAGCCAAACTAAAGGGCAGTTCAACTTGTGTTCCTCCCACTGTATGCCATACTTTTCTGGTAGCTTCCAGATCTACACTGAAGACTATGCTACCAGTTTAGAATGAAGAGTATTTAACCTTTTGCATAAAATATCTTCAAGAATTTAGGTTGGTAAAATGGTATTACCTGGCAACTTTTTCACACTTGCTAGGATGAAGACATAGACTGCAACGGGACAAATAAAGTGATGTCAAGATCTCAGAGAAAGCTAAATTCCCATGAGCCATTTGAAATCTGTTCTTGCAACCCTGTGCAATAATAATAATAGCAGGGACATCCCTCTCTGAATAAGGTTTGCATGAAGAAAACAAAGGGCTCAAAAAACACATTTGTTTCAAAAAGTAGAAAATGACAGAATTATTTATATCGAAGGTCCAAAGAAAATGACTAATCTGATCTTTCATCTAAAAAATTATGAGCAAGGTAAGTCACATGTTCTTAAATTTTTTGGCAAACTAACATCTATGTTCCCATCTGTTTTTAAATACGTACAAGCTGTGTGAACTTCAGAACTCTTAAGGTCTCAGAGCCTCAGTCTACACATTTCTAAAACGAAGTCAGCAATACCTATTGAAGGGTGGTTTGGGCACTGAGTAATATTATATAGATATCAATCAATATTAGTAATAATCTAAGAAATGTATGTAAAAATAACAAGATAAAATTTCGCTTATAAAATTAGCAAATAATGTGGGAATTTTGTTTGATTTTAAGAGGTTGGTGGCTGATAGGAGTGTAAATTGGTGCAATCCTTCTGGAGGAAAAATTTGTCAACTAAATATCAAGACTTTTAAGTGTTCGCATACTTGGATGGAGAAATCCCACTTTAAAAATTTTTTCCTATGGACATAATTAGGAATGTTCACAATTTTCATAGGCAAAGATCCATATAGATTTTTAAGTCTGCTCAATACTGTTAAGAGCTCTTGACTTCCTACATGGCATTCTAACCTACAGCCCATAAAAATTCTTTGCATGGGATCCCAACTTTGGTTTAACTTAAATTTTCTGTCTGCTCATTGCTTCCAAGGGTTACCTCTGTTAGGACTAGGTGTTCAGCTTCTCATTATTTCATGTACTGTCCTGCACACCTATCTTCAACCTCTCTCTTCCAGATAAAAAGGTCAAATAGTTATCATGCTGAAAAATATTAGAAAGATTTATCCAAAAGTTGGGCACTGGTTAAATAAATTATAGGGAAATTGTACAGTAATTTCAAGTTATAATTTAACTTTTGGCTTTGAGTATATATATTGCCTTCACACTCTCCTGAAACCCCACTGAAATAAAAGTATAAAAATTAAACAAAAAAACTTCATATGAATGAAAAGAATGGAAGGGATCATCACTAATGAATGGGATATTTCCAACAAATTTACAGCCCACATGGATGAGATCATGTTGATGGATAAAAGAGATAGAGAAAGCTGAAGCCTAAAATATTGTAGAAGGAGAATAAGAGCAAGCGGATGCCAGTTGGTCTGTTTTGCCTCCCAAGAGCCTTTGATCTTAAAGTCAGTGATTATGAGAGACACAGAACAGGGACTAGAAATAGGACTAAGAAGAAGGATTGAATGTCTGAATATAGAACAAGGGTCCAGTTTGGATCTGCAATAACATTTAAACAAGCTTTGTAAAAGTAGAGTACAAGCAGCTAGCATTTAGCTAGCATCAACCATTTCTTTAAAAAGAAGCTCAAGAAAGCTATAAAGGGAAAGTTAAAAATTTTTAATATGGATTTTTGTGCCCCAGTGCAAAGCCCTCGATACTCCAACATTTGAGGGGCCCATAGCCTGTCTATGGCTCTGAATCCATGTCGTAAAGACTGTCAGTGAAACTACCTTGACCCACACTTCCAAGCATTCTCATTCAGAGTAGATCCAGTAAAAGTGGAAAACATCCTCAACAACAAAGAAAAATCAATGCCAGGCATCCAGATCTTTTTTCTATAAAAGATTGATCAACCAGGGATGACTAGAAATATGAGAACCAAATAAAAGATGTTAAAAGTGGAAACAATGAAGATAACTCAAAACAGAACAAGAACAGAATGCTATGCAAAAAAAAAATGCAATTTAAACAAGATTTAGCACTTACATTTTCCAGTATTATTGTTAAAATTAGGAATTTAGAAAATAAAGTAAAAGATGCTCCCAAGGATTTAGGGACAAAAATATAGCTTGTCTAAAAAATGTGAGAAAGAAGCTAAGAGTTCTCATAAAGCAGACAAGAACCCCAGGAAAAAAGAGGCAAAAAGAGTAGAAGAGGATAAATTTTTCTTTTCTTTTCTTTTCTTTTTTTTTTTTGAGGAGAAATTTTTCAACAAAGAATATGAGGAATAGAGAAGAGAGCATTTTTTCAGATTAAAAGAGTCAACTGAGAATCCAACAGTATAGATGGAAAAAAGATTTACATCTTGACATCACATAAAATTTCAGAATATCAGCATTAAAAATATCTGAGAAACTTCCTGGAAATGGAGGAGGGGTGAACAATTCAAGACCTAAGCACTAGGACAGGAGGGTGGAAACTAGTCTTTTTTTTTTTTTTAAAGAATAAAATTAGACTGCACCAAACTCCTCACTAGTGTCTACTAAAAACTACAAGTAGAGCTTGTTTTCAACTTTTTGTTTTTTTTAAGACACAGGGTTTCGTGCTGTCTGCCAGGCTGGAGTGCAAAGGCACTATCATAGCTCACTGCGGCCTCGAGCTCCTGGGCTCACGGGATCTTGTCACTTTAGCTTCAAAAGTAGGTAGGACTTCAGGAGTGTACCACCACAGCAGGCTAATTTAAAAAAAAATCTAGAGATGGGGACTGGCTATGTTGCCCAGGCTGGTCTCAAACTCCTGGCCTCATCGTCCTACCTCAGCCTCCCAAGTAGCTAAGAATACAGGAGCATCCATGTCCACCTTTCAACTTTCTCAAGGGACATACTGTTAAACCTAGAATGGTATGGCCAGTTAAATGATTAATCAAATATGAAGTTATTTGCAAACTCTCAAAGACTAAGTAAGTGTACTGAAATAAGTTTCTTGAGTATGACTGCAGTAAAATATAGAAGCCAATGGACAAGAAAGAAAGAAAGAAAGAGAGAAAGAGAAAGAAAGAAAGAAAGAAAGAAAGAAAGAAAGAAAGAAAGAAAGAAAGAAAGAAAGGAAAGAAAGAAAGAAAGAAAGAAAAAAATTTTGATACACAATAAGGACCTGCTAAGGAGCATAGGGAAAGAAGGTCCCAGGATGACAGCTCAGACCTGGAGAGCCAATAAAAGCAGAGATGGAGAAGGAGGACAGAGGCCTTCAAAAGGAAAGTCTAAGAAGACAAAAAGCCTTAATTGTGTAACTTCTGTAACTGAAAAGTTGGAAAAATATAATAATAAGTTACATCATACAAGAAAAAATAATAATTAGATACTCTATGAAAAAAAGTGCATGGAAAAATCAAGATCCAAATAGGTAGCAAATCCAAAATATGGCAAGATTTTAAGTAATTGATGGAATATCTGCAAAGAAAATTCATTTGACCTTGATGCTAAGAACATTCATTTGAGTAGCACATATAACCTTGTGCATTCTCTTCAACAGCTCTTAGCATTAAATTGTCTATTTAGATGCCTGTATCCCCTATGGGGGCAGGAATAATGTCAATTGTGTTTGCTAATGGGCCTTCAATGCTTTTCATGGTCGCTATAAAATGAAAATATCAATGGCAAGCATTCTTTCTTAGATATTCGCTATGACTGTGGACTATGGCTTTTTGTTTCATTATTTCATTGGACTTTTCAATTTATATAAGGAAGAAATTATTATAGCTCTCATTTTACAGATCAGAAAACTGAGGCTCTTTAAAGGGTTAATTAATTTGTCTAAGATTATCCAACTAAGTGATAGAACCAGTACAAGAGCTTATATCAGGCTGGGTGTGGTGGCTCATGCCTGTAATCCCAGCACTTTAGGAAGCCAAGGGAGGCAGATTGCCTGAGCTCAGGAGTTCGAGACCAGCCTGGGCGACATGGTAAAATCCTGTCTCTACTAAAATACAAAAAATTAGCGGGGTGTGGTGGAGTGCACTGGTAGTTCCAGCTACTCGGGAGGCTGAGGCAGGAGAATTTCTTGAGCCCGGGAGGCGGAGGTTGCAGTGAGCCAAGATTGCGCCACTGCACTCCAGCCTGGGAGACAGAGTGAGACTCTGTCTCAAAAACAAAAAGAGCTTCTATCTATTAGACTCCATGGCTCATGCTCTGTCAATCAATACAAATTTGTTGAACAAATAATTGCTAACAATAAAAGAAAGTTTAATAAATACTGTGATATTATTACACATAGTAATACATATCATATTAATTAATGTATGTATACACTAATTTATTCTACATATAATTTTGGAGTATCTATCCCGGTGCCAAGATCTGGGCTGTATGATCTACATATATATTAGCAAACAAAACATAGACCTGGACCCTACTCTTCTGGAATTTACTTTCTTTCTTTTTTTTTTTTTTGAAGTGTTGTGCTGAGTGGTTGTGGGAATAAACAAAACACAATTTTATTGTCATCATCAAACTCATCAATTAGTAACATTTCTTAGCTCTTGAAACCCTTTGAAAGGCTGATAAAAGCTGTTGGTCCTCCCCTCAAAATAAGCACTTATTAAACCCAATGCTCTGGAATTTACTTTCTGATGTGGGAGGCAAACAATGAACAAACAAAAGCAAATAAATTGCTAAAATTTGCTAAAAATTATAAAATTATTAAAAACCAAGTTGAAAATGGAATAATATTGCAATCACAGTGGGGAGGGGCTGAAGTGGGAGAAAGGGCATTTCTAAATGGGACGTGCAGAGGAGGCCAAGCTGATTAGATGATCCTTAAGCTAAGTCGGAAGCTGAGCTATCAATACGAACAGTGGGGGAAAGAAGATTCCAGGCAGCATGAACAAGACTGATGTTCAAGGAATTGAAAAAAAAAAATGATCTAGTGTGGCTAGCATGTAATTTAACAGAAGAGAGGTACTAGATAAAGTTGCAGGAAGTGGCAGGGGATAGTATGCACAGGGTATAGACTATAGTAGTGACAGTGGATCTTATTCTAGGTTCAGTGGGAAGCTACTGGAGCTTTAAGAAAAGCAGTGGCAGGACTTACAATAAGGAATACTTTTGTGCTAGGCAGAGAATGTAATGAGTTTGGAGGTTGTTGTGGGTAGATCATAAGAGATGATGGCAGCCTTGACTGGAATGGTACATTAGAGTTTTAAGAAAAGTGGATGTGTTTTTGAGAGGTATCCTAGTGATAGAATGAGAGGACACACTGATTAATACATGGGCCAGGGTAGTTCAGGAGAAAAAGAAAAGGATCAAAGAAGAATACTGAGTTTCTGGGTTCATTTACCAGATAGGGAAGATTGAATGGATTGCATGGACAAGTTTGGCACAAGCCAAGGATTATTTTTTTGGACACGCCAAGTTTGAGATGCCTATGAAATATCCAAAGAGAGATGTCAGTGGGTCTTTAGCTATGCAAGTCTGAAATTAAAGGAAGAGTTTTGGCCAGCATGTGTAAAATCAGAAGTCATTTACCATCTAAATGTCCTCATTCTAAAATGACATATTTCCACAGCAATTGTATTTATTCCAACATCTCTGATGCTGAGGTTTTAAAAATAAGTTGTTTATGTGCCTTTTCTCTACTATCTAAGGTCTCTACCAAAATACATTGCATCAAAAACATTTTATGTCCACAAGGGGCAAATAAAATAAATAAATAATTATCTCTAAAGCTCATAATTTTGGAGATAAGTGCATTTCTTTAAAAGAAAGTCCATATTCTTGTCCTTCAACAGACAAATATCTATGGACTTCATGGGTATAAATTAAGGTACTTTTACTTTTACTTTAAGCCATGCTTACAGGTTATGCCCGTCTCTAAGCAAGGGCTGTGGGTGAACTGCCTGTGGTCCTCTAAGGGATGGTTCTAGAGCGGTGTAGGATAATGACAAAGGCTTTTTGCTTCAACTGCTTCATATGCCCATACCTGGGAGGCTGAACTGATCAACTTCATGGAAGCCAGAATTACAGAGCTGGCAGTAGACAAAATGCAGAGGTAGGTGTGGAAGGATCCTGTCACAGTTTCTAAATTATATATTATAACATCTAAAACTACTATTTAATGAACGCTTACTGCATACCTCACCCGACATGAGATGCTATGTGTTTGTTATCTAATTTGATCCTCACAACAACATTAAACATTTTTTTTTTACATTTACAAATGCATTTAATGCCTAAATCACAAAGGAGGAACATGGAGCTCAGAGAGGTTAAGAAATGTGTACAAGGGCACACGACAGATGCAAATATAGATCTGTTGACTTCATAGCTGTTGTTTTTGAGAAGTGATACAACAAGGCGGTTAAGACTGTGGGTTCTAGAGCTGGAGTGTCTAGGTTCACATCCTGGCTCTGCCATTTACTGACTCCATCTCCTTGGGTAATTTACTTACTGAACCTGTGCCTCAGTATCTTTACATGTAAAATGGGCATGACACTGGTATAAAGTGTCATATAAAGCTGTGAGAATTAAAAACCTTGCTTCTTATGAATCCCTGAGAACAGTACCAGGCACACAGTAAATACTCAATGTATGTTATCCTTTCTTCTCTGCTACAGTGATGACCTTAGCAACTTAGATACCTCTCATTGAGCTTTGATCACCTGCTAATTTCAGACCTAGACTTCCCAGAACATTAGCAAGTTAGCTGCATTTTAGATTTGTGAGAGCAGGCTAAAGATAAAAGTTTTAACTTGTAGAAATCTTTAATTGTCAGGGACAAGGTTTTTTAAAGTGAAGGGAAAAGGAAGGAAGGAATCAACCATTTCTTAACCACGTGTTACATAAAAAGCACTTTTCAAATATTTATTTTGCTTATTCTTCATTACAACCCTTTGAGATAGGTATGTTTCCCCTTCCTACAGAGAATAAAAAAGAGGCACGGGAGGTTGGATGATTACCCAAGCCACACTCTTTATAAGTACATACTTAGTGTCTCTAACAGCATCAGGACGTGTACCAGAAATTCATTTTATACCCTTTTACCTTTTAACTAGTTAAGTGGAAGGAACAATGAAAACACAGGACTTCTTTCACTCATTTAACATGCACTTACTACAGACACTATTATGTGTGCTTCACTCATTCATTTTGCTCAGTCCTTATGATAACCCCAGATGGCCCTATTATCATCCCCACTTTACAAATGGGGGAGACTGAGAGACCGAAGGGAAGCCACTTGCTCAGGGTCACAGAGCTGGTGAGGAGCAGGGCTATGATTCACACTCAGACAGTCCTGTGGCAGAATCCCAGCTCTTTGGCACTGGACCACACTGCTTTCTGGTGAAAGAAAGAGAGCAAAGGAAGGAGAGAATGATCTCAGCTTGAAACTGAACTCAGGGGTCCAGAAGTAGAACGCGAAGAGAGCCACTTGAGGCCCCATCCTCTGACCAGTATGTCCTCTCCATCTTTCTAGATCAGAGTCCACTAGATTCCTTGTGCAATAAATACTTGTTATTACCTCCTGTTTTCAAATGAATTTGTCAAATGCCACCTAAACCCTTGTAGGAAGTCCCGGACTCACGGCACTGTCAATACATGCCAATTTCTCATGCCTCTGAGTCAGGGGATGCTCTGCAATACCTCCCTCCACCCACCCTGAAAGGAATGAAGCCTTCACTATCTCCTCTGTCGAAAGTTACCTGAGTCAAAGCACAAGGAGGGCCTAGTGCCTGGCGCCCCCTGAGAATCCCTCAAGCTAGCTCTGTGGTGTTTTCCGTCTGTGTTTTGAGATCCCTCCGTAACACGGTCCCGGTGGTTTTGTCTCACCTCCTTTTAGAAACCTCCCATGATTCTTCTAGGGTGAAAAGGAAATCTAACCAATCTATGCAAACACCCCAAGCTACTCTAGCTATATACAGGTTCAAGCTACATTTCTATAAACCAAACCAACTTAATAATGTAAACACTTGCAGGAAACAGAGGTAGCCAAAAACATGGGGGAAACCATAATGAATATTCAAGTAATGGGAACATAATATCACATCATCATGAGGGAAGGGACCTAAACAGTCCCTTTTTCCAGAGCTCCACGCACCTTCCATCCTAATGATGCATTTCTACAGCAATGAAACAAACTATTGCTCAACTTCACAGGTCACTGGCAATTGATCAGCACTAAGGGTTAAAGTAATTAACATAGCTGGCCAGTCTGATCACAATGGAAATAAGAATTAATAAAATTTAATAAATGGAAAATACCCTAAATGTGTGGATTTTTTTCATTTGATTTTTTTCTTAATTTCTGACATGGGTATCATCAACTTCTTAAAGTATCAAGAATACATAAAAGTGAACATCTGTTTTATAATATATGAAATGTTTGTTATAACAAACATTTTTTCTTTGGACTTCTTTGGCTCATTGCTAAGATACATGCTGTAGATACCATTTAATCTTCAAGGCTTAGTAGTGTAGTAAGAAGCCAAACTTCATTTTGCTGAAAATAATGATAGCTCCAGTACTAAGTTATTGCACAATTTCCCTTCCAGTGCTTGAACTCATCATCATAACAATAACAATATTTTTATATGGCACCTCTCAGCCATAGCATCCAATGCACCAAATGGAGCCATACACTTAGAACACATTAAACCCATTAGATGTGATATAAAAACAGAGAAAGCTATTTAACTAGCATGGAATGGTGAGATAAGGCCATAGAGAAAAAATGTGGCTTTGGATATTTTTAACAGAAGAACTCAATCCATGGCACTGCTTACGGGACCAGGCGTCCCAGAAACTCAAGGCATCCTGTGGTATGTACCACCAACATAGATATGTCTCCAGTCTCACTCAGAGTTCAGAAACGCCATATATCACTACTGCTTGAATCAATTTTGGCTCATTGTTTTTTAACTTAATAAGGAGGGCCTCAAGTGCCAGTATCTATAGGTTGTCTATTTTTAACCACATCAATGACCCTTTGATAGTCATCAGTGTTATCCACCAAATTTCCAGTTTCTGCAGATAACGGAAATGAGGCACTGAGGAAAAAGTCTCAATCATGGAGGTTTATTAAGCCAGCTTTAGGGTACATCCAGGAAAAACACGAGCCATAGACACAGCTGTGGCTATTTTTCCCAAGAGTTTTCAGGCTGTCCAGTATATATACATTTCCTTAAGGGGGAGAGAAAGCATGTAGGAAGAGGGCCAGGTACAAGGTAGAGTGGATGGTTACATTCCTGTGAGACTTTAGTTAGTGCCAGGTAAATCTACATTTTACATGTAATAAGGTGAATGTTTGAAGAGAAAAAGAAGTAAAGGAAGTGTAAATTATGCAAGTTTCTCTGGGTAGGTGGAAATAATTGGTCTCCTCTTATCTTTGTTCTGCACCTGGAAAGATAAGCTTGTAATCTACACCATCGGTGTGGAATCCAACAGACTTTAGATTTAGGAGCTAGACTTACATTGCAGGCCTAAAGTTATAATTGGCACGCCCTTGTTTCTGGGAGGCCAGCAAAAGATTTGCCCATGATTGATCTGTGGGAGCAGTCTTTCATAGATGCCCAAGGCCTTTTACCTTGTGGGGATCTGGCTAATGTATAATGCCAGTAACAGCTTCATTTGGAAAAGGGCATTGCACGACTCAGCCTCCAGGCTTAACTTTCCCTTTTGCAAAGGAGTTTGGGGGTCCTGAGATTTTTTTTTACTTTCCTTTATACTAGTTTCCAGGAATATGACAGTATTACACACCCTTGTCCCTTCGGGGTTGGGTAAAACTGTGTGAGCCCAATGAATTGTGAATGAAAGAAATGTGGGCCGGATGTGGTGGCTCATGCCTGTAATCCCAGCACTTTGGGAGGCTGAGGTGGGCAGATCATGAGGTCAGGAGTTTGAAACCAGCCTGGCCAACATGGTGAAACACTGTCTCTACTAAAAATACAAAAATTAGCCAGGCGTGGTGATGCACGCCTATAATGCCAGCTACTCAGGAGGCTAAAGCAGGAGAATCGCTTGAACCCGGAAGGTGGAGGTTGCAGTGAGCTGAGATCGCACCACTGCACTCCAGCATGGGTGATAAAGTGAGACTCCATCTCAAAAAAAAAAAAAAAAAAAAAAAGAAAGAAAGAAAAGAAATGTATATGTCATCTCCAGGACAGAACCCTCAATTGTTGATTTAAGACCCTGTCGGTCTCCCTGTCTCTTTGGCAGTGTGTGAGAATGGTGACTGTTCCACCAGCCTGGGTACCTGTCAACCCATGATGGACAGGTAGTGTAAGAAATACATTTGTGTTGTTTTAAGACACTGTTATTTGGGAATTGTTTGTTATCCCACCACAAACTAGCCTATTAAGATTGACACATGCCTCAGTTTCAGTGTAGAGACCCACTTGCCTGGACTAGAGGAGAAACTCATTAATCTAGTTCCTCAGTACTCCTTTAAAAAGCATTCACTCCAGACATTCCAAATACTTTGAAATGGCTCATTTTGTGTGTAGCCAATTTTGGCCAGTGGAATGATGATACTAGCTATTATTTATTGAGTACTTACACGTGTTAAGCACTTGGCATAATGCTTTCTATATATTACCTTCTTTGATGCACTAAATGAATTTAAAAGGTAGGATCATTATGACACCATTTTCTCAATGAAGAAAGTGGGGTTAAGTAACTGTATCAAAATTACACAGCTTGTCAACTGAAGAATTTCATTAGAACTTAGGCTGGTTAAATACAAAGTGCGTGCTCGTTAACACTGGGATGTACTTCCTCCCTGCATAATGTGGAAGAAAATCTGCTCTCATATCAGTGGCTGGATAAATACCATTCTTTAGCAGATGGTGT
This sequence comes from Homo sapiens, assembly GCF_000001405.40. NCBI lineage: Eukaryota > Metazoa > Chordata > Mammalia > Primates > Hominidae > Homo > Homo sapiens. The sequence goes on along the minus strand of NC_000007.14, from coordinate 40,846,686 downwards.
TATAAAGCAGTACTGTATTATAAATACTTATATATTTCATGATTGCTAATCCATTAAGGCATTTATCTTTCATTTGAAAAAGAAACAGGGCAACTTGTATTTGATTTATCTATCTTGTTCCAACCCACTGAAATGTCATAGTAGATTATCCATTTCCTACTGGAAAAATATATGGCCCATAAGGAAATACTATTCATATTCATTAGTAAACATGCTGTCTCCCCTCAAAGTGTGCTACCCAAACCTTCCGCTGAGGTCTCTGAAAAATGTGGGACTGGAAGAAGCTCTCTCCTGACTGTTTTTTTTTTTTTTCCAACACTAGTGTTTGCGTGTCATTATTTTAGACACTCACGAATACTCAAAAGGGTGAAGAAACACCTTGCT